>NC_000014.9:55369288-55672319 GCF_000001405.40 Homo sapiens
GGGCCCGGTGGCCCGGGCCCAGAGGGAACCCAAATCAACTGCTTCCTTGGCAGAACTGGCCACACGCACAGGTCCTCCTTCCACCAGCACTGGTCTGGGTAGAAAGACCTTCGACCCCTGTTCTCTTAATTATCATAAGCATGTTGGTCACCATCACAGGCCACTTGGCAAATAGAAATGTTTGTCTCCCTGCTTAAAAAGACAAAACAAAACAACACTTTAACCTCTTTGTTCCAGACACTATCTTAACTTAAACAGAAAATGTTTACTAGAGTGTAGTGGGAGAAGAACTTTCTTGATGCAGATTTGGTATGTTTTGGTCCATGCTCGTTAACGGTGTCCAGTGTAAGCTTTAAACCAGGAGGTCACCGAGGCTGCTGCAGAGGAGATCATCCCACCTGCACTGCTGCTCGCGATGGGTGGGGACGCCTGGGTGCTCTGACTCTGGGAGACTTCCACAGACTGGGAAGGGATATCACAAAACCGGGGACTAGGCAAGTTCTCCCAGTCTGTGCCCAGGTCGGTTTCTTCATCGCTGACGCGCTCATCTCCGCTCTCATCTGATTCTCCAGCAACTCCGGGATCCACAAATTCCATGGACTCCTCAAGGTCTGCTCGTACTTCAAAGGGCCCTGACCTGTGTGCAGACAATGAGGGTCTCTTTAGGATAACAACCATTCTCAACACCAGAAAATATGCCATCTTCCTGAAGGCCCTCACCTGAGGGGATGAGGGACGCCGCACACCCCATTCATTCCCCAAGTCTATGCAGCACTCCGTGTTGACATATGATTGCGTTTTCCTTTACCCAAATAATCTCCACCCAAGTTATAAATAAAATCATGATACCACACTTTCCCACAAGTCTGCCTACTTCATTGGTGATGACCGTGCATAGGAAAAAAACCTATTCACTGAGATGGCCCATGCTGGTCCTAAGTCTGACTTCCTGTTGTAAAGAACTGCAGTGTCTACGAAGTAAATACACGGCACTCCAATGAGACAATTCTAACAAAAAGCCACTTGATGTATACTCTGGATATTATTTAGTGTAATAAGTAATAAATGGTATACAAAGAAAACTCAGTGGGTTCCTGTACATATTTAAAAATATCACCACAATTTTCTAGGACACATTTCTAGCACAGAATGAGGCACAACTGTTTAGAATATATTCAGAGGCAATGTTGTATATTTCTGCACTGTATTTCAGGAGAAAACAATTTTTATTTCTCAAAGGTCCCTAATAACACCCTCACTGCCAAGTCCAATAACCCTTTCTTAGGCCTCATCCTCTTTGCTGGCACCTCAGCACAGGGAACCGAGTCAGCAAACCTCAGAAGCCTTTCTGCATTTCTTTTTTTTTTTATTTAGACAGAGTCTCGTTCTGTTGCCCAGGCTGGAGTGCAGTGGCGCCATCTTGGCTCCTGCAACCTCCACCGCCCAGGTGCAAGCGATTCTCCTGCCTCAACCTCCTGAGTAGCTGGGATTACAGGCACCTGCCACCATGCCCGGCTAATTTTTGTATTTTTAGTAGAGACGGGGTTTCACCACGTTGGCCAGGCTGGTCTTGAACTCCTGACCTCAAGTGATCCACCCACCCCTGCCTCTCAAAACGCTGAGATTACAGTTGTGAGCCACCACGCCCGGCCGCCTTTCTGCTTCTTTTTCCCCTCCCTTTCAAATGCCCCTCAGCTCCTGCTCCAGGGCAGCCAGGCTGCATGTCCTCCCTGTAGGCAGCCACCCCCACCCACTGCCTTCCAGGGAACTGCCCTGCAACCAGCTACAGGGTGGGACCAAGGTGCCGCTCTCTCCCTGCTGCTGCCCCCAAGATAAGCACACGATGCCTTGGTTCATTTAAGGGTTTCACTGATAACGACTTTGGGGAAAATAGGAGAGGTCGAAATAAATAGCAGGCAGAAATGAGAGCCTAGAATCGTATAGCTTGCCATTTCAGCCTATGGTCCCAAATTCTCCACAGCCTTCACAATGATGAATGGCTAGCACTGGCTTCCAACGCACCTCACCAGGTCTGCACCGTTGACTCACTTTTTACAGAAGCAAGCAGCCCTCATTCCTCCCAGACACCTGTGCTTCCCAGATGGATTAAGCAATAATAATAGCTAACATTTATGCTCCAGGGACTGTTTTTAGGGCTTTATTAAATTGGAAGATACGCCATGGGGTTTCCCACTTGGTCTCCAGTGAGCAATTTACATTTTCCAAGAGCCCCTCAGGCCGGGCGCGGTGGCTCACACCTGTAATCCCAGCACTTTGGGAGGCTGCGGCGGGCAGATCACGAGGTCAGGAGATCGAGACCATTGGCTAACACAGTGAAACCCTGTCTCTACTAAAAATACAAAAAATTAGCTGGGTGTGATGGCGGGCACCTGTAGTCCCGGCTACTCAGGAGGCTGAGGCAGGAGAACGGTGTGAACCCCAGAGGCGGAGCTTGCAGTGAGCCGAGATGGCGCCAGTGCACTCTAGCCTGGGCGACAGAGCGAGACTCTGTCTCAAAAAACAAACAAAAAAACAAAGAGCCCCTCAGACTAGGGGTGCTCTCAAGTTTACTAGGCCCCACCCTGCCCAGAAGTCAGTATTTTGCAAGGGTGAAAGGAGTAGGACTTTCTACTGCCCCTTGAATTTCTCTGCCAGCAAACTAATGGCCACTGCAGTTTTTAGCTCTGAGCACCCTCTTCTCAAGTTTCTCCTTGCACTTCATTTCTTTTCTCCCCTTTTTCTTTTCCTTGGCAAACAGTTCTACTCTAGAGCCATCTTTTCCGATTCCTCTCCTAGCGCCACTCCCAAATATCCTCTGGTTACTAAACCCTCAGGCTCATCTCACATATCTGAACCAGTCTCAAAACTTTAGCTGGCTGGGACTCCTCCCCTCCCACCTCCCACTCTGTCTGGGGTCACCAGGGCTACCTGTTATCATTAAATAAGCCCCCTTTCCATTCTCAATTTGTCACCCTGGCCCAGGTCCTCACCATATCACCACCACTTTCCCATCTGCCTCCTCTTGCTGGAGAGCTGCCTCTCTCCTCCTGGCACGCACCCACTAAAAAAGTTCACAATTTAAATTCCTTCCCTGGGCTCCCTCCTTTACTAAACCAAAGATGCTCTGATTCTGTTCTGTTCAGCTGTGCAGTCTAGGGGACCTCAGAACTGACTGCCAGGCTAAGTCTCTCATCTTCCCCAGGATCCCCCAAAGGTCCCAGTCAGCTTTTTACCACAGCTCACTCCTCCCTTCCTTCTTTCCCTTTCTCCCTCCCTCCCTTCTTTCCATCCTTTCTTCCTCACTCCTTCCCTTCCTCCTTCCCTCCCTCCCTTCCTTTCTTCCCCAGTCAGCTTTTTCCACAGCTTGCTCCTTCCTTCGCTCCTCCCTGCTCCCTTCCTTCCTTCCTTCCTTTTTACCACAGCTCCTTCCTTCTTTCCTCCCTCCCTCCAAGGCTCAGCCTGTTTTCTTCTTTGATGCTGCCTTCTCCAATCCTGGGGTCTTAGTTTTCCCAGGAGACAGGCAGAAGGGACAGAGAGGAGGAAATGTCCAAGTTCCCGGTGGACTCCGGTTCTCTGCGTGGAGAAACCCACCTGGCACGGAGCAGGCGCTCAGCTAAGTACAATGAAAAGCGACTGAATGGAAGACTCCTCAAGGGGCCAGTATGGAACAATTTTGGTTCCAATGATCAACCTACATTTCTGAGAAGCCACAGAGCAGGAGGAGAGGCCCCTGCGATGTTTCTCCACCCAGTGCCTCTCCCACTTCTAGATTAGAGATACATCACCTGCCTGCCAGACCCCAAGCTAGAGACACAGCACACACAACCAACTAGCAAAATAATTCATCCTATTTTGCTTAATGTCTTTGGGGAATTAAGATTATAAAATTGTTTCCTAATTTTTAGTTTAGCTGAATAATGGATATCTTTTTATTCAAGACCCTGAACCAGGAATACTCATTTTCTCATGGTGCTGCAGGGAGGTATTCTACCAATTAAGGCAACAAAAGGATCTTTCTAGCTTTGTAAAAGTCACTTTTATAATATATCCTATTTCAAATATGTGGGAGTGTGTGCATTGATGGACACAGAAACTGCACAAAGGATAAGCAATGGGCAAAATATTAATAGGTCAATCTGGGTAAGGGTGTATATGACTGTACTATTTTTATTACTTATTTTTTTATTTTGAGATGCAGTCTCACTCCGTTTCCCAGGCCAGAGTGTAGCAGCACGATCTCAGCTCACTGCAAACTCCGCCTCCTGGGTTCAAGCGATTCTCCTGCCTCAGCCTCCCAAGTAGCTGGGGTTACAGGCACCCGCCACCACGCCCAGATAATTTCAGTACTTTTAGTAGAGATGCAGTTTCCCATGTTGGCCGGGCTGGTCTCAAACTCCTGAACTCAAGTGATCCGCCCACCTCAGCCTCCCAAAGTGCTGGGATTACAGGTGTGAGCCACCATGCCTGGTCCTATTTTTATTTTTTTGTAATTTTTCTGTAAGTTTAAATTTGTTTCAAAAAAAAAAAAAAAAGTTTATCTTTTCAGAATAGAATCCTCAGTTGTGCCGGTCTGAACAGAAACAGGAAATCCCACCCAGGTTCCATGAACAATCTTCTCTACACTTTGATTCTGATGAAGCAGGTGTGAAAAGGGGACTCCTGAAGTTCTACTTCCTGTCCTCTGGCCATAAACTTAGATGTGACTCACAGCCTAATTGTGTGTGCAATTCTCAATGGAAAACCTGACTCAAGAGTAAGCCTACAGAAAACTTCAGACCCGCTACAAAAATTCACCTCCAGTATGAGTGCTTTTTTCCCTCAACTACCAGCAACGCTGGATTCATCGAGCCTTCCTATTTTTGTCAAACTGATGGTTGCAAATGGAAACTTGTTTTGAATTGCATTTTAAGTTTTTTATTATTTTAATGTTTTTTTTTAAAGAGATGGGGGTCTCACTGTGTTGCCCAGACTGAAGTACAGTGGCTATTCACAAAAGTGATCACAGTTCACTGCAGCCTCCAACTCCTGAGCTCAAGTGATCTGACTACTTACATTTCTTGTGTGAGCCGCATGTTTTAATCTTTTGTCTATTTTTCTAATAGGTTGTTGGTCTTTCCTGTACTGATTTGAAAGATTTCAGTTGTCTAGATTTTAATCTGTTGTCTGTTATAGAGGTTGTGGAACCTATCTATGACATGTCTTTTAACTTTGTTTATGGCAGCTTTCACTAGACACACTCAGAGTTCTGACACAGGAAGATGTCTAACTCCTTTCCTTTATGGTTTTTGGGTTTTGTGGCTTACTTGGGAATTCCCTCACCACCCTATCATTATAAAACACTGTCCTTTTGCTTATTTTATAGCTGTATTTTTTTAAATAAGGTTTTTTATATCATCTGGATTTTATTTTTGTATATAGAATGTGGTATGAACTCAACTTTTCCCCCATATGAATACCCAACTGGCCCAACGCTATTGAACCATTATCTGATTCAACGCCTCCTCTATCATAAGATTATATTTCCACATATACAAGAGTCTGTTTCGGGACTATTTTCTTCCTCTAATCACTCCACCTATTTGCATGCTAACAGCACTCTGTTTTAATTACCTTTATGCTATGTTTTAAATGGACCAACCCCATCCCTCATTATTGTTTTCAAAACTTCCTTGCAGACTATACTTCTAGTTGAACTTTAGAATCAGCTTGTCAAAGCTCCATGAAATACGATCAGTCTTCCTTTTGAGAAGTAGCCCTTTTGCAACACTGAGCCTTCTCATCCTGGAAAATCATAAGGGTTTTCCCTGCCTGTGGCTTTCTTTCAGCTCCACTCCTCATACGGTGTGTAGAGCCATTCAAATAATACATGTGGAATAAAAATAAGCTTCATAATTTTTATAATCATTTTACATATATTTTATTAAGATCACTGCTATGGAATTTATAGTTTTTGCTGCTACAGTAAAAGGAATACTTTTTCCATTAAATTTCCAAACTGGTTGTTGTTGGCACACAAGACAGCAACTGTTTTTTGTATGTTTATCTTTTTCTTTGTGAAGAGACAGGGCTTCATTCTGTCATCCAGGTTGGAGTGCAGTGGCACAAACTTCCACAGCCTGGAGCTCCTCAACTCAGGCGACCCTCCCACCTCAGCCTCCACAGCAGCTGGGACTACAGGCATGCATTACCACGCCGGGCTAAATTTTTTTTTTTTTTTTTTTTTTTTTTTACTTTTTGTAGACATGGAGTCTCACTATGTTGCCCAGGCTGGTCTTGAACTCCTGGGCTCAAGTGATCCTCCCACTTCAGCCTCCCAAGTAGCTGGCATTATAGGCGTGAGCCACCATGCCTGGTTTGAACTATCATTTCAAACAGTTTC
The DNA here is from genome assembly GCF_000001405.40 of Homo sapiens. Classification (NCBI taxonomy): domain Eukaryota; kingdom Metazoa; phylum Chordata; class Mammalia; order Primates; family Hominidae; genus Homo; species Homo sapiens. Next base: position 55,375,668 of record NC_000014.9, read on the forward strand.
TTAGTTCTCTTGGATATCCAGTTCAATAATTATACCATCTACAATACTCCCAACTTAGTTTCTTTCTTTCCAATATAAATACACTTCACTTCTTTTTAAAAATGCTTTGCCTTGGCAAGGCCTTCAGAGCTGTTAACACAGCACTGATAGTAGGCATCCTTGATTGTTCCTATGTAATCTATTGCATAAATTACATCAGTATCTATGTAAGTAACGTGCCATGAAGTATAACTTTCCTTGTAGGTTTATGATAGATATCCACTAGTAATAATCTACTTTTAACTTGCTAGTAATTTTCCCCCCTAATTATTAATGGGAACTGCATTTTATTTAATTCTCTTTGGCATCTATCAGGTCGATCTTATGTTTTTTCTTCTTTAATCTGTTAATGTGATGAAATAATAAATACTGGTTAACTGCATGAGTGTCTACTACTGTGGAGTCAGCCAGGTGTGCACTGAGACCCTGGCTCCACCACTTGTACTGGCTCTGTGACCATGGCCATGAGTTACTTGACCATACTAAGCGTCAGTTTCTCCTGTCTATAAAGTAGGAATAATATCCAAGGCAAGTAAAGTGGTTGGCCTTGTGTCAATAAATAGTGGCCCAATAAATATTAGCTCTTATTAGTAAGGATAAATTTCCTAATTTGAGCCCTTTACAGGTAAGGTACAGAGAGGATGGTGAGTAAACTCACAGAAACCAACCATCAAAACTGGGATGGATTTCTAATGTTCACGTTTCCATGGCTCATGAACCAATGAATGGGATCAGGGGTGAGAGGCATGAACTCCCTGTAAAATGGCACAACATTGTAAGTATATGTGCAGTTTCCTGGCGAGTTCACAGCTTTTTATAAAGGAGTCTATGTCCTGGAAATGTTAACTATCTGAGGTGGGGAGGGGGAGGAAGCATAAGACAATGGTTAAAAGCAGATTATCACTGAAAGTTAACTGCTGCATGGGGGAAGCCAGGCACACGTGTTAGTGGACGAGGCCTCCCCTAATGCCTTGGGTTTCAGTAGATGGATGATGCGGAAGGGAAACCCAAAAGAACTTTCCCGCCATTTGTCTTTTCTTGAGTTCTCTTTCAAAAGTGTAAATATATAACCATATCACATCTCTGCAGAAATGTATGGACAGACTGCTAAGAGCAAGGAAAAAAGGGCAAACACCCAGCACAGGCGTGCATGGATGGAACGAAAGCTAAGGCTCGTACAGTACATGCTTTCATGGGCTGAGAGAATAAAAAGATCTCACACACCAGCCCTGGTTGGTATTTTTTGTTTAACTGTTTTTAAGCTCATTGATTTCAAACCAGTTCATCCCCTACACCTCTAATACCTTTTATCTCCAACAAATGGTGATCAGATTGACTCAGTGATAAGAAAATTGTGTGGCCAGGCACGGTGGCTCAAGCCTGTAATCCCAGCACTTTGGGAAGCCGAAGCGGGTGGATCACCAGAGGTCAGGAGTTTGAGACCAGCCTGGCCAACATGATGAAACCCTGTCTCTACTAAAAATACAAAAATTAGCCAGGCATGGTGGTGCACACTTGTAATCCCAGCTACTTGGGAGGCTGAGGCAGAAGAATCGCTTGAACCCAGGAGGTGGAGGTTGCAGTGAGCTGAGATTGCACCACTGCACTCTAGCCTGGGTGACAAGGGTGAAACCCCATCTCAAAAAAAAAAGGAAATTGTGAATTGTTACGACGGACAAGGAGTGAGGAGGAGCAAAAGAAAATGTGCAGGAAACAGGGCAGACACTAGGTAGGGCTAGAGAGTTCACAGCTTTTTATAAAGGGGTCTATGTCCAGGAAGGGCTGGAGAAGAAATAGACGCAGATCCAAAGACATGGCCTTTGGACTTCAGGAAAAGCACAAAAAGGCACTACTCCAGGAACATGTGGGTTCTTCAACTGCGCTTCAGGTATTAAAAATGATTGATATTAATTTTTTCTAAGACATGATTACAAAAAAAACCCATAAAAGTTCAAATATAATTACCTTTGTTTCTTTCTGTATTGGACTCCACTATTTTTGTCCGGTTTGAGGAGTTTGGGATTAGGGAACACGACTCTACTATGCCAACATACAACTCCTCTAACAGGATTCACAAAAACACTTAGAGAAAAGCAACAAATATCTTCTTACCTGCCTAGGTGTTCAGAGCTTGGACTGACCAGGTACATTAGATTCCTGAGGGTATGCAGTGGTTGTAATTGATCTAAATTTACATGCTAAAAAAAATTAAAGAATTGGTTAATATTTTCAACTATTTAACAAAGTAAAAATTAGTTCACAACCTATTTTTCATACCTGAGAAAAACAAAGGTAAAGAATATTTGCATTCAGTTTCTTCACTGCTCGAGTAAATTTCTGCTTGCTTAGATTTTCGCCACAAAATTCACTGTAAAACAAACATACAATTTATAAAGTTGCATTTTTTGAGGAAATTCTATGTTAAAATTTCCATTTACAGTACAATTAGGTATAACACATACTCTGTGCCCTTTTACTCCTTAGTAAATTGCACTTAAAGACTTTCTAAGAATACACCATTCCCCTCAGAGAACAATTATACTGCATCTATACAAATTACAAATGCACATACCCTTTGACCAAGCAATTCCACGTCAGGACATTTATTCTACACAAATATCTGCACACTAATGAAATGAAAAATGTACAAGATTATTTCTTGAAGCATCAACAGCAGACTGGTAAGATCTTGACACCTTTACAGAAAGGCAAACTATACAACTGTCATCTGCTTTATGCAGAATGGCAGTCAAAGGCTTATAACGGCCCTATGAGGCCCACAAGATTTGCACCCCATCTTCCTCTCTGCCCTCGTTATTCTATCCAGGACTTTGCAACTGCCATTCTTTTTACCCACAGCCTCTTTCCTTAGGGGTCCACACAGCTTGCTTGCTGCCTCCCTCCCTTCCTCCCTCCCTCCCTCAGTTCCCCTATGATCACACACCTGCCCACTCAAACACAGCAAGCCCCTCTCTCACCACATTCCCTCTTACCTTTTTTGTTTGTTTTTTAGGCAGGGTCTCACTCTGTCACCCAGGCTGGGGTGCACTGGCATGATCATAGCTCACTACAGCCTGCAGCCTCAATCTCCTGGGCTCAAGCGATCCTCCCACCTCACTCTCCCAAGTAGCTGGGACTATAGGTGTGTGTCACCACATCCAGCTAATTTTTTTTTATTTTTAGTAGCGACAAGGTCTCACTATGTTTCCCAGGCTGGTCTCTAACTCCTGAGCTCAAGTGATCCTCCTGCCTCAGCTTCCCAAAGTGCTGGGATTACAGGCAGGCATGAGCCACCATACCTGGCCCTCTCATCCTGTTTTAACGTTCTCCACAGCACTTACTGCCATGTGACATGCTGTTGATTTGTTTACTATTTATGCTGGGCCCTCCATGAAAATGTGAGCTCCAAGAGGGCAAGGATTATTTTTTTGTCACCAATGTACCCTCCAGTGTTGGCACACAGTAGGTACTTCATAAATATGTGTTACATAACTAAAAATTTTAAAAGCAAAGTGTAAACAGTGTTTATTTAAAGGGGGAAGATGATGGCCGGGTGCAGTGGTTCATGCCTGTAATCCCAGCACTGTGGGAGGCAGAGGAGGGCGGATCGCTTGAGCCCAGGAGTTCAAGACCAGCCTGGGCAACATAGGGAGACCCTGTCTCATACAAAAAAATACAAAAAAAAATTAGCCAGGTGTGGTAGCATGAACCTGTGGTCCCAGCAACTCGGGAGGCTGAGGTGGGAGGATTGCTTGGGCCTGGGGAGGGACGGAGGTTGCAATGAGCTAAAATCGTGCCACTGCACTCCAGCCTGGACGACAGAGTGAGACCCTGTCTTAAGAAAAAGAAGAAAGTAAACTTTTAATTTTTTAAAAAAATTAAAAAGAATAAGAATTTCTTTAAGTGGGAGAAGATGGTAATAATATGTTTATATATGCTTGAAATGCAATGATAGTTGGAGGGTAGTAGGAAGATTGTAGTGCAAACTGGGTAGGCTGTATATCTTTAAATTTTCTGAATTTTATTTATTTTTGAGACGAAGTCTCATTCCGTCACTCAGGCTGGAGTGCAGTGGTGTGATCTCAGCATCACTGCAACCTCCAGCTCCCGGATTCAAGCGATTCTTCTGCCTCAGCCTCCAAATAGCTGGGATACAGGCGCAGGCCACCATGCCCAGCTAGTTTTTGTATAAATGTTTTGAATTTTAAACCATGTGAGTTTTTTATTAAAAAACAACAACAACAAACAAAAAGAATTCAGGGCAGGGCACAGTGGCTCACCTGTAATCCCAGCACTTTGGGAGACCGAGGCAGGTGAATCACTTGAGGTCAGGAGTTCAAGAGCAGCCTGGCCAACATGGCAAAACCCCCCTCACTCCTAGAAATACAAAAATTAGCCAGGCGTGGTCGTGGGTGCCTGTAATCCCAGCTACACAGGAGGCTGAGGAGGGAGGATTGCCTGAAACTGTGAGGTGGAGGTTGCAGTGAGCAGAGATTGCGCCACTGCACTCTGGCCTGGGCGACAGAGCGAGACTCTGTCTCAAAACAACAACAACAACAACAACAACAAATCAAAGAATTCAACGGCTGCGATTTAACATATGAGGATCTGCAGCAAACCCTCTGAACATCCTGATACTCCCCTTTATATTCTCTGTGGTCTTCTGGAAGACTTCACGTACAACTGTAAGATAATGAAACGAATCTGCACATAAGGCTTTTGAAATTAATCTCAATATTTCAATCCGACCTTCTCTGTCTTGGTAATACTTACATTCTTATTTTTGGTTTATTGGAATAAATAAAGACAAAATAGAAACTTGAAAGAGCCATGATAAAGATGACATTACCACCTTCAATTACTTGCCTGTTGCAGAGCTTTTTGGGAAGATTTACATCAAGTATATGAGACAGAATGTTGACCAGCTGAGTTGCATAGCACAGCGCAGCACTGATGGTGTAGGCAGGGTTACTCTGCTCCATGTCTGCAGTAAGAAAACAACCACCATGTACAAAACCTTAATTCCAACAAAACTACTAATAATCCACGAGTTTATCATTTATGATTTTATCATGATAGCACTGTTACGTTTTAGTGCTTCCTTAATAGATGCTCCATGACCAGACATAAATGGTCCATTCTTTGTGTGTATATATATATATATATATATTTTTTTTTTTTTTTTTGCTGAGAGCAATGTAACAGAGCAAATGGGCCTAAATAGACCCAACATAAATGAAATTAAAGTCTGACCTGTGTGAACCTGATAACGTAATATCAAAACAATAAATGCCCAACTTGAATGTCACCTCTCCAGAGAGGGCTCTCCTGACAACCCTACGGAAGAGTCATCCCTTCCTCTGTACCCCATCCTGCCCCAGGATGCTCCCCTAGTTCCTTCCATGGCACCCACTCAATGTACAGCATCTCGATCATTTACTTGCTTCCTACCTTTCTCCCCTGAGAAGGGCAAAGGGCCACCTCTGTCTTGGTCACCTTTGTATCTCCAGCACCCAGCAATGTGCATGACACAAAGCATGAGCTCACTAAATATTTACTGAGTGACGAAATGAACAAAGAATCTTTCTCCACCAAAGAGAAACTGCAGGGGTTTTAAAGGGTTTTCCCATTGGGGCCTTTCAGTCTCCATTTAGGACTACTAAAACACATTACAAAGTTATACACTATAAATATGGGTCTAAACGGGTTAAATATACTTCTTTAAATAACGTCCTCTTACATAAACAAGACAATATTAACCCCCAAAAGGTGAGACATCTAAAAAATGTTTTCAGTCCATCAAGTGATGAATGAATAAATAAAATGTGTCTTATCCATATGATGGAATATTACTCAACCATAAAAACGAATGAAACACTAATATATACTATCATGTGGATGAATCTTGAAAACATTACGCTAAGTGAAAGAAGTCTGACACAAAAAGCTATATGTTCTGTGATTCCATTTATATAAGCTGCCCAGAACAGGCAAATCTATAGACACAGAAAGCAATGTGTGGTTGCCAGGAGCTGAGGGGAAGGGAGAGTGGGGAAATGTGACACTTTCATGCCATGGGGTTTCTGTCTGGGGTGATCAAAATGTTTTGAAATGACATGGAGGTGATGGGAGCACAGTGCTGTGAATGTACTAAATGCCCCTGAATGGTTCACTTGAAAGCTCTTCATTTTGTTATGTCAATTTTACCTATAACTCTCTCTATATATAGATTTCAAAGGATATGCTGCTTCTCACCAGGCCCCTGGGTTGTTTTCTTCTCCTCCACCCAGCTGTAGTAGGCAGAGTAGTCCCCATTGTTAGGGAGGCTAATCCAAGGCCCTGTAATGCTAATGCTGGTGTCTCCGTTGTGATCGTCACAGACCCATCGTCCTGAGAGGTAAGTTGTCCTCCGGGCTTCAGCAAGCTTGCTCACAGTGCTGGAGGTCATGGCACTGTCACTCTCTGAAGACACATCTGCGGGGTCTCTACAAGTAGGAAGACACACACGGATTTTCAAGAGAGAGGGTTTTTAAGGGCATGCAATATAACTGCAAGACATGCTAGAACATCGAAAAGCTGCCTATGAGCACAGAAATTTTACATTAAATTTTTATTTTTTATTTTAGAGATGGGTGTCACTCTGTTATCCAACATGGAGCGCAGTGACAGATGTAATCATAGCTCACTGAAGCCTTGACTCCTAGACTCCAGAGATACTCCTGCCTCAGCCTCCTAAGTAGCTGGGACTACAGGTACCTACCTACCACCACACCTGGTTAACTTAAAAAATTTTTTTTTGTAGAGATGGGGTCTCACTTTGTTGCCCAGGCTGGTCTTGAACTCCTGGCCTCAAACAATCCTCTGAAAGTACTGAGATTATAATCATGAGCTACCGTGACCAGCCAAAGTGCAAATATTTCAGTTGTGAGCCACCATGCCTGGCCAGGAATTTAACTGAAATATACGTAGATAAGAGCTTGCTATCAGAGAGGAAGATCAAACCAGCTGTGGCACAGAAGCCCACACAATGTGAGGAAGACGGAACCATGAGGTAGGGCTGAACATATAAGGTTCTCAAACTACTTGGTCTCAACACCTCTCTACGTGTTTAAAACACTTTGGAATTCCAAAGAACTTTTGTTTATATGGGTTAGATTACTGATACTGAATTAGAAATACTGAGAAAAATATAAATAATTCATTCAAAAATACCAATAAACCTATTATACATTTTTATGAAAAAACTTTCAAAACAAAAAATTAGTAAAGAGTGACACTGTTTTACATTTTTTAAACTCTCTTTAATACTCAAGTCTTTCTGTTGTTCTTTCAAGTAAAAATAGCATCCCACAAAAAGAGCAGCTAGTTCAGCGTGCAGCTCAGTCTCTCAAGTGCTTTTCCTTGAGCCAGCAATGGTACTTCAGTGTGCAGCACAAGGGCCTTACGCACGCGTCCCATGCCATCATATGCCACAGCCAGCCCTGTATTCACAGGTTCCATGTCTTGAACTAACCGAGGACTGAAAATATTCGGGGGAAAAAAAGAAAGAAAATAAACAACAGGGCTAGGTGCAGTGATTCATGCCTGTAATCCCAGCACTTTGGAAGGCTGAGGCAGGCAGATCACTTGAGGTCAGGAATTCGAGATCAGCCTGGCCAACATGGTGAAATGCCATCGCTACTAAAAATACAAAAATAAGCTGGGCGTGGTGGTGGGTGCCTGTAATCCCAGCTACTCGGAAGGCTAAGGCAGGAGAATTGCTTGAACCTGGGAGGCAGAAGTTGCAGTGAGCCGAAATCATGCCACTACACTCCAGCCTGGGTGACAAAGCGAGACTCCATCTCAAAAAAACACAAAAAAACAAAACAACAACAACAACAACAAAAAAAACCCCCAAGAACAACAAAAAATAACAAGCCCATCATGATGACTCATGCCTGTAATTCCAGCACTTTGGAAGGTCAAGGCAGGTGGACTGCTTGAGCTCACGAATGGTGCTATAATCATACCATTGCACTCCAGCCTGGGCAACAGAATGAGACTCCCTCTCAAATCAAAAAACAAAAAAAAACCCACCATGAGAAGTCACAGCAGGTACAAATGCAGTGAGGGGGAAGAACATAGCATGCTTGGGGAACAGAGATGGTCAGTGTGGCTGGTGTGTGGGATGCACAAGGGAAGTGCCAGGCGACAGTACTGGGAAAGCAGGTAGGAAGCAGGCAGTCTGGGAAGGGCCTTCTGTGCTGCACCAAGTTTAGATTCTGTCCTCTTGGCCAGTGGTTCTTCGTATCTTTCCTTCTGCCACAACATACGTATAAGATAGCTGCTACTGCCTGCCACAGATAAGACTGTGGCCAGTTCTGAGCTGTACTGCTGCGTCTCCCTTCTCCCACAAGAAGTTGAGAGAAAGGCAAACAAGAAACCTTATTAGAAGGGTAACTTTAAAACCACCAGCTTCTTTTTAAAAAATTAATGGCATATAATAACATACACTAAATAAAAGATTAAAACAGCACAGAAATAGTTTTTCTTCATATTTTCTCCTCGTGTGTGTATTTTCTTTTTGAAAAAAGTCAGCCTTACAGAAAAGCTGCAAGAATTTTAAAGTTTCCCTGTATACACTTCACTCAACTTCCCCAAAGTATCAATTCAGGAAAATATTATACAATAATCACAACCAGATAATCAGCACTGCTACAACACTATTAACTAATTTACAGACCTTATTCACCTCTCTCCAACTGTCCTGCTAATATCTCTTTTGGGGTTCAGGACTCAAGATCACACATTGCACTCAGCTGTCAGTCTCCTAAAAACTTTCTATTTTGCTCTATTTTGAATCTGCCTTTTTATTTTTCTATTTGCCAACTCTTACTAATGACAAAATACTTAGAGTCAAGAGAGCAGCTTCTCAAGCTGGAAGTAGCAATCAGTCTTTTTGGTTTTTAGGAAGCCAACTCTGGCAACAGACTAAAAGACAGACTGAAGAGAATAGTTATGAAACTAGCAATAGTCCAGTGAACGTCAGTTTCCAGGAAAAGGTGCTGGAGAGTGAGAGCAGCCAGAAGAGACAGGAAAATCCTCAATTAGAGCAGCCTGGTGGCTTGTGGGAATAAACGGAAGCCTTCGGTAGTAGTTTCCAAATCTGCTGATCAGCAGCAGCATCAGGGAAGTTTAAAGATATAGAAATATTACAAGATGGACTGGGAGGTTGGAGGGGTGCCCTCTGGAACCTCTATTTCTCAGATGAACAGCCAGATGGGGGAACCACTGTCCTGTCTGTCCCACCAGGGGTTATCCATGCACTACCGCCTAAGACCGAAGTCACGGTATTCAGTGCTTGATAACAGTTATCTTAGCAGCGGTCACCAGGAAAAGGCTAAGCCAACATGTAGTGCCCACCATCTAAGAGACCCCAAGCTCTAGATGTTTTCTTATGTATTTGTCATGATTTCTCTGTGAAAAAGGCATTTTTAAATCCCCATTTATCAGACAAGGAAATCAAGATTTTGAGGTCCAAGAACATGCCTCACAACACACAACTAATAAATGGCCCAATACCACCCATCAGATGGTTCTCTGGTTTTTTTTTGTTTGTTTCTTTGAGACAGAGTCTCGCTCTGTCACCCAGGCTGGAGTGCAGTGACACAATCTTGGCTCACTGCGACCTCGGCCTCCTGGGTTCAAGCAATTCTCCTGCCTCAGCCACCTGAGTAGCTGGGACTACAGGCACGCGCCACCACGCCTGGCTAATTTTTGTATTTTTAGTAGAGACAGGGTTTTGCCATGTTGGCCAGGTTGGTCTCAAACTCCTGACCTCAGGTGATTCGCCTGCCTCGGCCTCCCAAAGTGCTGGGATTATAGGCGTGAGCCACCACTCCCAGCCATCAGATGGTTCTTAATCAGGAGTGTGAGTCAGCACCTCATCTAGAAGCTCTAGGACAGTACACAAGTGTGGGCCCCACCCCTCACCTCGCTGCCTCCCCAGCTTTCTGCGGTGCGTACTGTTTGTTGAAACAGATAAGACTTATGTTCCATCACCAGGAAAACCAATGACCCTAGAATAAGACCCAATAAATAAGGTAATGACATACTTTAAAAAGTATTTGGAACTTGATCTATTCCTGGAGTCAAAAGACTTGCTTAATGTACCTCACACCCGTCTTTACTTCCTCGATTGGAAAAATGACAGAGGTGAGCTCTAATATATGGGATCGTCGAAGATTTGCCAGACGCTCATAATGACTTCTTAAGTCAATGGTCTTTTTTTCTACCAGGTCACCAAGTTTGCGATTATGCCTCTGAATCTTCTCCTTTTTCTCTTGGTGCCGTTGTGCTCGACTGTAAAGCTTCTGATTCTTTTCCTTGGTTTTGAGAAGGCCTTCAGAATCTAAAATAAATAAATCACACCCAACAATTATCTCTGCAAACAGTTCCTGTGTACTGCAGAGCTCCACCCCACAAACATGCGTGTTTTCCCTTGCAATCTAAACTGAAAGCAAAACCTGAATAATATAATGTTCACTAAGTGGAAAATTTGAGAGTTTAGTTCAAGTAGATATTACACATAAAGCAAAGAGAACCATGATTAAAATGACTCTGGATCTCTATTTGTAATCATCACTAGTAAAAGGAGTCACTCAACAACTATCGAGTTTAAGTTTAGCACAGGAAGGACCTGATTTTCCTACAGTGTGCACCAAAGAATAGTCACATTGGGCAGAAAAGAGATCTAATTCAAGTTTGAAAAACTTACTGGCTATCTGATTTCCCTAGAAACTTCTTAGGTGTGCCTTGGGCTATAATCAGAGAACCCAGGGATAATCTCACAGCAGGTGGTCATCCAGTAGAGGAGAAGGGCAAGAGAAACAGCCCAAGAGCTCTGAAAAGTCACAGTGGAGTGTGGCAGCAACCAGCAGGGTGGGTGGGAACACATCTGGTGAGGTATCTAGACACGCATGCCCAGCATTTTAAGTGCTGCAAGGGAAACAAAAGCCTGGCCACACAACCACGAGGAGACATACACTCGTCCTGTCAGATTTAGGTCCTTTTTGTGGAGTCCTTTTGAGTTCTGGATCCTACACCTGCTAGGGCTGTTGGGCTGTAGCTAAACTTCACTTGAATGACAAAAACAAGCTGTAAACTCTCAGACAGATATCTAGGAGTTGCTTAGGCAACTTAAACCCAAGTTCAAAATCAAGTTCATTATTTTTCCAGGAAAATCTTCTCCAGTTTCCCTACTTCAAGATTATTTTTGACGTGTCCACTGCCTAATCAACCCTTGATGGTCAATTCCATTTCCAGTCCAAGTCTGTCTATCTAGGCCTTTCTTTTCATTCCTACTATCACAATCCTAGTTAACGCTCACCAACACTCTGCCTATCTCCAACACGGCTCGACTCCACGCCTTCATGCCCTCTTTCACTTGCTCAATCTTTACAAATTATAGTCAATGCTCAGTGGTTCTCCACTGCCCATCAAATACAGAGCAAACCCCTCAGCCTCAAGGCCTCCTCCAAATTGGTACATATCCCCACAGTTCCCCTCTGCACACCCTTCGCTCTAGCTGTACTCAATTGCAACATATTTCAAATCCTTTCTGCAAGATGGAACCACTTGAACGTATGGATGGATGAATGCTGAATCAGTTATCACTCCCTAACACTCAGGCTATCTATTTGCTCCTGTTTTCTAAATGTTTGAATTTTACTCATTCAGGAAGGCCCCCCTCCATAAACACTCCCCAGACCTTTTGCTCTTCGGAACCCTATGGTAATGTGTTCAGACTCTTCTGATGGCGCATAGCTCTTGGTTCCTCAGATGAGGTCCCACTGAAGCCTTGCTGTCTCCTAACTAGGGTATAAAACGTACCTGATAAATGTCCATGGGTCCAAACCACCCTCCCACCCTCTTTCACTGAGCACCACTGAACTTAGGTATTTGGTTGCACGCATTAGATTTCTGACAGTTTTTTCGTTTTGAGACGGAGTTTCGCTCTTGTTGCCCAGGCTGGAATGCAGTGGTGCATCTCGGCTCACTGCAACCTCCGCCTCCCGGGTTCAATTGATTCTCCTGACCCAGCATCCTGAGTAGCTAGGATTACAGGCACACACCACCACACCCAGCTAATTTCTGTATTTTTAGTAGAGATGGAGTTTGACCATGGCTGATCTCAAACTCCTGACCTCAATGTGATCCGCCCGCCTCGGCCTCCCAAAGTGCTGGGATTATAGGCATGAGCCACTGCACCTGGCCAATTTCTTACAGTTTTGAAACAACAATCAGCCAGGTGTGGTGATGGGTGCTTGTAATCCCAGCTACTTGGGAGGCTGAGGCAGGAGAATTGCTTGAACCCGGGAGGTGAAGGTTGCAGTGAGCCGAGATCGTGCCACTGCACTCCAGCCTGGGCGAAAGAGCGAGACTCCATCTCAAAACCAACAACAACAACATCTCTTTGCCATCCTGCTTAATGTGAATGTCCTAAAGGTTCAGTCTCTTGGTTCCATCACATGCTAACTTATTTTCATTATCTTTACCAAGCTCTTTACAAGTGCTGAAATTAATCTATCCAGCCATGATTCTGAGTCATACAGTGGTCAGATTTCTGGGGGAAGATCCATTTCAAATTTATTATCATGACCACTTGCAGGTGGCAGGAAATCATCAGTCACCTCATCTGCACCCAGTGCAGACTCAGCAGGCAGTCATCCTCTCTCCCTACCATCTCCCCATAAACATCAAAATGTTTGGTGCTGTATCTGTAATCTACTCTTGCTTCTTTAGATAAGTAACTCTGACTAGAGCACAGATCAACTCAACACTGCAATGGCATATAACCTAACTTCCCTATCTATGCCCTATATCTGTATTATACTATATAATGTATATCATGAAACCTTAAGTCAAAAGATTCTAGAGAAATAATTCATCAGTCTCTACAATTTATAATTTGTGCCCTTTCATGACTACATGTCATAATTCAACAACAACAAGCTCTTAAGCATGAGTCCGAGCATAGTTTCTGGCCTCTAAAATTGTTTGCAAATTTTCTAAGTCTGGTCTAGAGGGTGGGAAGGAGACATGTACATTCTAAAAGAGCAGCAGTTCCCAACCCTGGCAAGTCATCAGAACCACCTGGAGTAGTGCTATTCAAAGTGTGGCGTCTAGATCTGGGCCCATCTGTAAACTGTTAACCAGTCATGATGAGAGGAGGACAGAAATACAGAGTAAGCACGTTGAAGCTTTTTTTTTTCAACATGGCGATTTGACATTGCCATCACGTTCAAGCATGTGATCATTTTCCTAAGTCCAGGATAGATCCTAGGGTTCTCTCTCTAGATTTTAAAAGGGTCACCAGGTGACTGATGATTTGCTAGGGATGGAAACCACTGTTATAGGGTCCACTCCTTTAGATCTATGTCTAATTCTTTGTGGTGGTTGTTTTTGTTTTTGGGAGTTAGGAATGTGTTAAAAAGAGCTGATCAGAGCTTTTAACATGCTCATCAGAGAAACACGCATGATCAGTAAATTCAGCAATTTTCAGGAGGTTCACAGATGCCCGGTGGCAAAGCCCTGAATATCATGGTAAGACGGGGAGAGCATGAACTAATGTTAAGGAATGGGTTTTGATGTTGCTACTGAACAAAGAGCCTTTGGAGAATGCATGCAAGACTGGGTGGAAAGTAGGTTCTATATAGTTCTGGGCACTGTTCAGTGTGCTGCCCTAATTCTCTAGTTTAGTAATCCCGTGAAACTCCACGTGAGCACTTTATTAGGACAAATGTTTTCAATGGAAGCTTTACACCATTACATGCCACTATAAAAGACTTGCTTCTGGAAGCAATGAGTAGACAAGAAAAAGGGATTCACGAGGTCTGATGGTGACTCATTCTAAACTTTAAACAGTGATCTTCAGAAATTCATGGACTGCAGCTTGCTGCCGGCACTCATTTAATGTTACATAAACATGCTCTTTGAGTCTGAAGTAAATCTGATTTTCAATGTGAAAATAAAATATAAAAACTGCTCTTGGAGTTATTTCTAAACAGAACTTGTCTCTAATCCTAATGTAATAGAAATGTATATGATGTTACATTAGGATTAGAAACGAGTATTCTTGGGGCAAATGGGAAGTGGCTTAAGGATGTAGGACTTCTAAGAGAATTCATTTTGACAACGATCTATGATAAAGTATAAAGTGTACAAATATGATGTAAGATTAATACAGATTACAATGTGGAGACTCACTAAGGGAAAAAAAAAACAATATTCTGTGCTTCTGGCATGGGCCAATAATTATTACAAGTGAGTACCAAGTTAAGACTCTGAGCTTCCTGCTAGCCAAGGCAAATGGGAACATACATTCCTTAACTTTTTTTTTTGAGACAGAGTTTTGCTCTTGTTGCCTAGGCTGGAGTGCAATGGCACGATCTCAGCTCACCGCAATCTCCGCCTCCCAGGTTCAAGCAAGTCTCCTGCCTCAGCCTCCTGAGTAGCTGGGATTACAGGTGCCTGCCACCACGCCCGGCTAATTTTTGTATTTTTAGTAGAGATGGGGTTTCACCATGTTGGCCAGGCTGGTCTCAAACTCCTGACCTCAGGTGATCCACTCCCCTCGGCCTCCCAAAGTGCTGGGATTACAGGCATAAGCCACCGTGCCTGGCCAACTTTTTTATTTTTTTCTTTTGAGACAGAGTCTGGCTCTGTGCCCAGGCTGGAGTGCAGTGGCGCAATCTCAGCTCACTGCAAGCTCTGCCTCCTGGGTTCACACCATTCTCCTGCCTCAGCCTCCCAAGTAGCTGGGACTACAGGCACCCGCCACCACACCCAGCTAAGTTTTTGTATTTAGTAGAGACGGAGTTTCACCATGTTAGTCAGGATGGTCTCGATCTCCTGACCTTGTGATCCGCCTGCCTCAGCCTCCCAAAGTGCTGGGATTACAGGCGTGAGCTACCACGCCTGGCGCCTAACTTTTTTAATTGAGAAAAGAATCTGGTTATTTAAGGCCTCTGAAATTGTGTATTTAACTTTTAAAAATTCCTTATACAAATGTTTTACAAGGAAAGATGAGGGCGAGTAGTAAAATTCTCCAAGTTGCCACTGCCCCACCATCCCCTTCCTTTCTGTGTCCCTCTAGTTTATTAATCCCATGAAATTCCACATAGGCACTTTCTAGGGCTGGAAGGAAGGACACGAATTACTTACTTTTCTCCATTTCTTCATTTCCTTTACATATTGTTTGTTTTAACTGTTCAATCCTCATCTTGCAGGACATTATTTTCCATCTCTGAAAAAAGCATGTAATAAATATCACAAACGTTGGTCTCTTATGGTTAATATGATTATCTACCTGGGATCACTGCTTATTTTCAGATATGTCAGAAAACATAATGAAGAAAAAGACCTTATGTTATAGCTTTTGTAACTATGGAACATTACGAAAAAGAGAACGATGTTTTTCTAGTTCAATGCAGAGAAAAGAGAAATTAGGCCAGTGCGGTGGCTCACGCCTGTAATCGCAGCACTTTGGGAGGCCAAGGAGGGCAGATCAAGAGGTTAGGAGATCAAGACCATCCTGGCCAACATGGTGAAACCCCATCTCTACTAAAAAAATACAAAAATTAGCTGGGCGTGGTGGCGCATGCCTGTAATCCCAGCTACTCGGGAGGCTGCGGCAGGACAATCACTTGAACCAGGGAGGCGGAGTTTGCAGTGAGCCGAGATCACGCCACTGCAGTCCAGCCTGGCAACTGAGTGAGACTCCATAAAAAAAAAAAAAAAAAAAGGAAAGGGAAATTACGAGAAAGAAATTCACATAGTTTTGTATGTATCAGTAAGCAAAGAGAAAAAAGTTGAAGGACATTCTCTAAACCCGCTCTAGCTATATAGCTACTAGCCACATGTGGTTACTTAAAACTCAATTTAAATCATACAAAATCAAAAATTCAGTTCCTTACTCACACCACCCTCATGTCAAATGTTTGACATCACATATGGCTAGTGGCTAATGGACTGGACAGCGCAGATACAGAACTCAAGCATCATCACGCAAAGTCCTACTGACGTGCAGCTCCAAACCTCTAGTTCTGGTTACTGAGGAGACGGTTAACATAACCAAGTCATCTCACCCAATAAGCAACTAGTACTTGCAAGTTAATAAAAATGGCAAAAAACATTATTTTTTCAGTGCATAACTCAAGTAAGATTTCCTGAAAAGCCTCAGAAAATTATATGAAACATGAAATTGACTCTTTATATTACCAGGAGTTAGGTTCAGCACCCCCTAAAGCAGTGGTCCCCAACTTTTTTGGCACCAGGGACCAGTTTTGTGGAAGACAATTTTTCCACGGACAGGGTGGCAGATGATTTACAGGAATGAATCTGTCCCACCTCAGATCATCAGGCTTTAGAGTCTCATAGGAGTGCACAACCTAGATCCCTCGCATGTGCAGTCCATAATAGAGTTCGCACTCCTATGGAAACTAATGCCACCACTGATCTGACAGGAGGTGGAGCTCAGGTGGTAATGCTCACTTGCCCTACTCACCTCCTGCTGTATGGCCTGTTTCCTAACAGGCCACAGCCCAGTAGGTATATGTGGCCTGGGGGTTGGGGACCCCTGCCTTAAAGTGAACAAAGGATCAATAAAAATAGGATCTATGGCCGGGTGCAGTGACTCACACCTGTAATCCTAGACTTTGGGAAGCTGAGGCAGGCACATCACTTGAGCTCAGGAGTTCGAGGCCAGCCTGGGCAACATGGCGAAACCCCATCTCTACCAAAAATACAAAAAATTAGCCAGGTGTGGTGACATGCATCTATAGTCCCAGCTACCAGGGAGACTGAGGTGGGAGAATCGCTTGAGCCCAGGAGGCAGAGGTTGCAGTGAGCCAAGATTGTGCCACGGCACTCCAGCCTGGGTGATATAGCAAGACTCCACCTCAAAAAAAAAAAAAAAAAAAGAAGGATCTACTAGTTAGTTAAAAAGAATGATTATTCTCTAATGACTCCGTAAAGTGAATAATTAAAAGCTTAAAACAATGCTCAAATGTTCATGGTGTTACACTTATCTAAGTAGTCTGATGGTAAGAGACACAGAACAGATTACAGGGATGTTATGGTGAGCGAAACTCTAACATCTCGAATAGAGTCAGACATTCAAAAACAGATCCACAGGGACTGAGGGGTTCAGAAATATATCAGATATGACCTATCCTCAATTTTAAAAGGTAACAGAGTCTTTAGAAATGAATATTGAAGTCTTAGATAGAAAAACTAGAAACATTACAGAAAACTCAGGAAAATCTTCCACAGAACATGTTTTGTTTACTAAAACATTCAGAGAATAAGCAAAATTCACTTCTATCACAAATTTTAAGTATAATGAAATATATGACTGGGCGCGGTGGCTCACGCCTGTAATCCCAGCACTTTGGGAGGCCAAGGTGGGCGGATCACGAGGTCAGGAGATTGAGACCATCCTGGCTAACACGGTGAAACCCCGTCTCTACTAAAAAAACACAAAAAAACTTAGCCGGGCGTGGTGGTGGGCGCCTGTAGTCCCAGCTACTCGGGAGGCTGAGGCAGGAGAATGGTGTGAACCCAGGAGGTGGAGGTTGCAGTGAGCCGAGATCGCGCCACTGCACTCCAGCCTGGGTGACAGAGCGAGACTCTGTCTCAAAAAAAAGAGGAAAAAAAAAGAAATATATGAATAATGTTTACTGTTGTGAAAAAAAATTACACATTACAGAAGAAAAACAGAAAATGTGACTGTTAGCCTGACTCCTTCCCATTTCTCAGGGGTAATCCTTTAAAATTAAAGTTTAATGTGTATCTTTTCAGATTTTTTTTTTTTTTTGAGTCAGGGTCTCACTCTGTTGCCCAGGTTAGAGTATGGTGGTGTGATTACAGCTCACTTCAGCCTGACCTCCCTGGCTCAAGTGATCCTCCCACCTCAACCTCCCAAGTAGCTGGGACTACAGGTATATACTACCATGCCTGGCTAATTTTTGGTTTTTGTTCGTTTTTGTAGATATGGGGTTTTGCCATGTTTCCCAGGCTGGTTTTCAATTCCTGGGCTTGAGCAATCCACCTCGGACTCCCAAAGTGCTGGGATTACAGGGCATCCACCACCACACCCAGCGCAGATTTTATAAGAGTATATTTATATTTAAAATACATAAATGAAATCATACTTTATCCTAGTTTATTATTTTTTTCCATTAATAAATACAACTTGGACATCATTCCACAGCACGTAGACTGACCACATTCTTTTTAACAACTACACAGTATCATAATTTTTTTTTTTTTTTTTTTGAGATGGAGTGTTGCTCTGTCGCCCAGGCTGGAGTACAGTGGCGCAATCTCGGCTCACTGTGATCTCTGTCTCCTGGGTTCAAGTGATTCTCCTGCCACAGCCTCCTGAGTAGCTGGGATTACAGGCGTGTGCCACCATGCCCAGCTAATTTTTCTATTTTTAGTACAGATGGGGTTTCACCATGTTGGTCAGGCTGGTCTCGAACTCCTGACCTTGTGATCCACTTGCCTCAGCCTCCCAAAGTGCTGGGATTATAGGCATGAGCCAACGTGCCTGGCCCTTTTTTTCCTTCATAATTGAGATTTCACTGGTTGTGTTGAAGATCAGTACACAGACATTTCAATTTGTACCCAATTCTTAATATACATACCCAAAATCTAAAAGCCATGTATTTTAATTCTTTTTTAAAGTTATTCCAGTGACTTTCCAGCTTAAAATCTGGAAGCAAACTTTCCTTATAAAGTCATCAAGTACCACTATCTTCACACATTGATAAGCTGTTACGCATGTCCCACCAATTCACAACTGAATAGCATGTACACTACAGATTCAAATTTTCAATCTTTCACAGCACTGTATCAAAGTTATTAGGAAAACAGGACTACCACGACCAAAGAGCTCACAGAGTGCACGAAATTCTGACAGGGAGAGCCATCATCAAGGAGCAGTTTTCTTTAGGAAACAGTTCTACTAAAAAACAACACGGGAACAGAAGTAATTAAAAATGTTCAATACATTAAATGCAGGACTGTGACTCCATAGTGCCATTTAGTATGCCTGGTATTATAGGATATAAAAACTAACCCCCCAACTACGGAATGCTAAGCTGACACCCAAGACAGTAAAAGCCTCCCACTACTCAATATCCCACACTGTCTTCTGGTTGTACCAAAAAGTAAACAACCAGAGAATGATTTCACCTCCTAAAAAAAAGCACTGACACTTCAAAGGGGCTCTCCTCAGTTTTAGTTTCTTGTTTTCTGCAGGTAAATCTTCAGTTTCTTGGTTAGCCACTTCTGACTTTTCCCCCTTTGCTCCCCTTTTCCCTTTTGTTTGCACTTTTTTGTCTGAAGATTTATCCTTTCCTGCTGCTTTCTCAGCTTCGTTTCCACTTTTGCAGGAGCAGGTTCAGCTGATAAGCGTGCCGATCTCCTCTTGGGCTCTTCCTCTGTGGCCCATTCAGTGGAGCTGACCTTCCTCTTGGGCATCCTGGCTGCAGGGAAGGCGTGTGCCAAGCGCCTGCGAGGCATAGTGCATCTAGAGCCTCAGCAAAGCCGGGCTGCCTGGCTGCTGCCACGCCTCTCCCAAACTCTTTAATTGTTAAATTTTTTGTTTGTTTGTTTGTTTGAGGGAGTCTCACTTTATTGCCCAGGCTGGAGTGCTGTGGCACGATCTTGGCTCACTATAGCCTCTGCCTCCCGGGTTCAAGTGATTCTCCTGCCTCAGCCTCCCAAGTAGCTGGGATTACAGGCATTAACCCTTGCACCTGGCCGGAAGTTTTAAACTGTTATATGATCTGTCAAAATGCTTTCCTCTACGGTTTATAAAGGTTCTCCCCACTCCAAGATTATGTAAATAGCCACCCATATTTTCTTTGACACATTTAATCATTAATCCATTTGGAGTGTGTATGATAAATAATTTTTGCAAAAAAGAATAACAGCCCATTGTTTTTGTTTTTCTATGTCAACATGTCAGGTTTCATAATTATCCTTTACAATGGCTCCATAATTAATTGCCGATACCCCATTTTTGGTAACTAGATGAAATATTTGAGAAAGCCACGCTACAAGTGGATTAAGTAGAGGACTGCTAAATACGATTTTTAAAAATTTTAATTAAAAATAATTTTATAAGCTCTACCAACTTAAAAACATGTAGCCTCAAGTAAAAAGAACATGTATTACAACTTACCAACTGATCTGTTATCCATTTTCCTTCCATAGCTTTTAACACTCTGTGAGGAAAAGAGACAGAAAATAAGCTCTTAAAAATAATAAAATTCTGTGAAGTTCAAAAATGTAAAATCAAACACTTAAAATTAAGTCCTTAGAAATGGCTAGAAATATCAAAACGGGACTTAGCATTTAAAGTGTTTTCCAAATTCCCTGTTCTCTGCAATTTTTTTCATCTCCTTCCTTTTGTAGTTCTGAATATTGCTAAGAGCCTTTCTACAAATGTCCACAATAAATCTGCCTAACAGTCTTAGCCTTTGTCCTCAGTCATCATCAGTAACTGCCATCCGTCATAATTCATAGCAATAGTTACAAGAGAATTAATGATCTAATAGTTCCCAAAGAAATGATACATGCCAGCATCTCCACATATTGGTTCTATGGAATAAAATGTTCTATGGGAAAAATAAAGTTTTTGTGTTTGAGTAATTAGGGAAATTGCAGAGTTAAATAAATTCAAGCAAGTTTCTCTAATACAGAATATCCTGGTAGATTTAAATTGCTCATGAATGTGTTTATCAGACCACTGCAAACTCTAGAGAAGCTTGGGTTACACTTTGGGAATCAGTGGCCTGAGCATTAACTGTTTTCATCGGGGGTGTGAGACATCCACGTTGGCATGGTTTGGGGAGATGCCACAAAAGAGACAACCCTTTTAGAACCTTGAGAGTTGGGCAGGGCGTGCTCAGAGAAGAGGAAAAGCACTGAGGTAAAGAGAAACTGAATGAAGGCACAAGAGATGCAAACCTCTAGGGTGCATCTAGGGAGCAGGTTTTATACCAGAAGGTTCTATAGGACAATTCTCAATCCTAGGGGGTCAGAGATTCATCAGGGGTGCCTGTTAATAACTCAGATTCCCACCATTCCCCCCCACAAAAAAAACAAACCTCAGATTCCTAGGCCTCTCCCCAGAGCTACTGAATCAGAATCTCTGAGGATAGGATTCCAAGAATCTGAATTTTTAACCATTAACTCAGCTAATGAATTCTGATACAGGTAATGTGCAGACCATATGTTGTAAAATACTGATATGGACAAAAGAAGAATGGTAAATGGAAGCAGTAATGTCCTATGGGAGCCACCAGCACTAATTTAAGTCTACTAATCATGCTGACTGTCCTGGACCCACACATCAATTATCAGTGCCAGGGATTTGATTCACTGAGTATCTACTGTATACCACACACCGGATCTGAGGCCAGTATTTTCTAGAAACTTGGTAACTTCTCCTGCTTTACCTCTCCCACATGCACTCCTTTCCTACACTTTAAGAGGTTGTATCCTAAATTCAGTAAGTTAGCAATCCGTATATCTGCATACCACAGCACTGAATTCAACCAAATGTTGACTAGATCACCTCCACAAATTAAAAGACAAAACAAAACACTCACTCTTTCTGAAATTCTTCTTGCTTGCTCTTAAGTCGGCTTAACCTTTCCTTCTTGTCGATAAACCTGTAACAAAAAAATTCAATGTCTTATTTAAATGGTCATTTTTTCAGTTCAATGAGACTATGCAAATTCCCAAGAACCAATCATTCTGCAGAGTCATGTGAAAATGTCATTGTCCTGATAGTAAATACACGTCTTCTCAACGGGGTGCACACAACTGCTAACCATTTGGTTCTTTTAAAACTAAGCTCAAATCCTCAACTTTAAAATTATTTCCTGTGTTTATAAAATATGTCTATAGATATCTTCCGCCCAGATTAAATTATTTGTCAAAACAGGCACATCAGAACACTAAAGTGAATTTGAATTCAAGGAAATTGATGCTTTCACTAGAAAACAAATTTTAATTACTAATCTGGATTCAATCCTGCTCTCTCCTATAAACTGATTCCTTATAATAAATTTTTAAAAATTGTAGACTTTTTTTCACTAATTTTATTGCTAGTTATCATAGGCTAAAAAATTACTTGTAAAAGTTATCAAAAAGAAGAGGTATCACATTGCAGTAATTCTTTTTTTTTTTTTTTTTTTTTTGAGATGGAGTCTCATTCTGTCACCCAGGCTGGGGTGTAGTGGTGCGATCTTGGCTCACTGCAAGCTCCGCCTCCTGGGCTCACGCCATTCTCCCGCCTCAGCCTCCCAAGCAGCTGGGACTACAGGCGCCTGCCACCATGCCCAGCTAATTTTGTTTTTGTATTTTTAGTAGAGACGGGGTTTCACTGTGTTAGCAAGGATGGTCTCGATCTCCTGACCTGGTGGTCTGCCCGCCTCTGCCTCCCAAAGTGCTGGGCTTACAGGTGTGAGCCACCGCGCCCAGCATAGTTATTATTTTCTATTTGCCAGTTTTCTATCTTTATTTTCTTCTTGCCAACTTACTTGGGTTTTTTGTTTTTGTTTTTGTTTTCTTTTTGCAGTTTAAGGTGATAACTCAGGTCAATTTTAAACTTCTATTCCTTTTAAATATAATCACATGAAGTTTAAAATCTCCTTCTATGCACTGTTATAGCTATATCCTAAGATTTGATATTGTGTATTTTCATTATCATTTAGTTTGAAACTTTTAATCTTCCATAAGAATCCTTCTTTTACCCATCCATTATTTAGAAGCATATTGTTTAATTTTCAGATATACAGGCTTTTCTAGGTAGCTTACTGTTATTGTTTCTAATTTAATTCATTCTGATGTAGTTACAAAATATATTGTGTGATTTCGATCTTGTAACCTGAGACTGTCTTATGGCTTTGCATATGGTATGCCGTGGAGAAAGTTCCACGCGTACTTGAAATAACGTGTATTCTACAGCTGTTGGGCAGTGTTCTATAAATGTCTTCTAGATCTGTGCTGTTCAATGTGGTAGCCACCAGCCACACATGGCTACTGAGTGCCTAAGATGTGGCTTGCTGCTTAATAAGGGCATGGACAAAAAAAAAAAAATTGTATGACTAACATCATACAACTGACTGTGGAGTGAACGTGACCCACTGACCATTTTCAAGGGAACAGGGATAATGACTCATGCTGCAGTAACATGATGTGGTGTTCAAGAATAGGCTTTTGGCTATTTCCCAGCAAAAAGGAAAACAATTCAACAGGCCATAACAGACCTAAAAATATTCTGGACAAAGAAGTCTTTCTAAAATACTATTTCTGTAATCCCATGTTGGAAACATACCCCAAGATGTCTGCTTCTAAGAGGAATAAATAAAATGGTCTAATCATGACCCTAACAAATTTAATAGTCACTGAAAATGCACAATATACATTAAACAGAAAAAGCAAATAGGCAATATTATATGTGACAGAATTATATACTTATAATGTGACTATTTAAATTTAAATTAATTAAAATTATATTAAAAGTTCAGTTCCTCAGTTGTACTGCCATCCACATTCCAACAGCCACATATGACTTACCGGATGGTGTACATACAGAACATTCCCATCATTGTGGAAAGTTCTACTGAATAGCACTGTAATGTCCAGTAAGGTGGCAACAGCATGAACCAGTATTAGAAAACTCAGAAACCAATGTGGAATGTGGATGAACCCATAGATTCATCAGTCAGTCTATCAGGCATTTACTATGTACCTGCAACACAAAACAAGGCATCCTCCAGAATACTAAGAAATCTAATTATAAATTCTCCTGCAGTTGACTGTGAATTCTTGGACCTATCACTTGTTATATGCTTCTGTTTCCTTGTATCAAAAATGAGAGACTAATATAGTATTTACTTTTATATCAGTGAGACAACAGGGTGATTTATGTTCTGATAATTAGAAAATAATAAACTCACAAGTTAGCAATCTCAAACCATGCAAAGGACTGACAGGGAAAATCAAATCTTGACTTCAGAGGCCATAAAAGTTCTCCTTTGAGGTCTGTTGTAAAAATGCCACTTTGCTCTAAAACAAATTGGGAAGACAGACAACTGTGTCTAGCTTAATAGTGAGCTGGTTGATTTTCTTGGACTTTGTTAAAAACACAAAAGAAACAAACTCTTACAAATATACAGATGGCAGCAGGAATAACAAACAAAAGATAAGTCCTAGTGTATCAAATATTGAAAGGAATGGCAAAAACAGCAATTACTTTTGCACCAACCTAATACTTCATGAGTCACGTCCTCCTTCATGAAAGAAATCAAAAATAGGTGGTGTCAGTAAAGCAAAAGAGCAAATGATACCAAACCACATGCGTGGGTCAGGGCTGCAACTGCTCACTCAGTCACTCATCCAGGCTCTGCAGTCTCCATCCCACCACTCACAGAAGGAGATAAAAAATTCATTCCACAAGTCTGTGCTTTCTCAATACAGCTTCCAAGAGGTGAAAAATAGAGTATCACTATATTCAAACCAAATTTAATGATACATATTATATATATAGTTTTTAAAAGTGTGTGTAGGGGGATCCATATTTCACATATTGTTTTCCAAATTGCAGCTGTCACATAAAGTATCTTGGTCTCTTTTTCCATGCCAGAACATATTGATCTAATTCACTAATAGGTACACGGCATTTCACTGGATGGACACCATATAATTTATTTATATAAACCTCTACAGGTGAACACCATTCTTCCTTCCAAATTTTCACTATGATCAGTAACGATACAAGTGAATAGCCTAGTGCACTTTTATAGGCTTTCAAGTTTCTCCATGAGAAATTCCTACAAATAAAATAAACTGGGCCGGTGCGGTGGCTCACACCTGTAATCGCAGCACTTTGGGAGGCCAAGGCGGGTGGATCACCTGAGGTCAGGAGTTCGAGACCAGCCAGGCCAACATGGCGAAACTCTGTCTCTACTAAAAATACAAAAAATTAGCCAGGTGTGGTGGCGGGCACCTGTAATCCCAGCTACTTGGGAGGCTGAGGCAGGAGAATTGCTTGAACCCGGGAAGCGGAGGTTGCAGTGAGCTGAGATTACGTCACTGCACTCCAGCCTGGGTGACAGAGTGAGACTGTCTCAAATAAATAAATAAAATAAAATAAAATAAAATAAAATAAAATAAAATAAAATAAAATAAACTGCTTAGTCAAAGAATATTTACAGCAAAATTGTGGGCAATCCTCAAATTTCCTCTAAAACACTTTATACAGTTTACAACCCCACCAACAGCACCTGTTTTCTCACACTCTCCCCAAACACTGGACATTTCTTTTTATTCTTTGCTAATCTGATTGGCCTCCCATCCCTCCCTCTGAGAGATGGTTTGTAATTCATTTATTTGCATTTATTTCATTATGAGAAAGTTTGAACAACTTTTCATATTTTACTGGCTACTGATTTTTCTTGTTATTTCCCTATGTCCTTCATCCAATTTTTTATAGTTTTTTTTTTCCTTTGAGGATTATTTAGCAGGGAAATTGGCCATTTTTATTTCACACAAATTATTTTTTCTATTTTCATGTTACTTATGTTTCTGCTCTACAGAATTTTCTGAACTTTTATGTAGGCATACATCTTTTTGTTGTTGTTGTTTAATGACACTAGTTTTTGTGCTGTTTTCTGAAAGAAATCTGCCAGTGAACCTGTTCCATGCCTGGCTCTTACAACACTATTTTCCGTATTTTCTCTCCCAATTAAAAAAGTCTTCTATATTATTCACTAAATTATTCCATACTTATATGATTTGGGTTGTTCCCCCCTAAAAAGTATTCTCTCAAATGAACTTTGTTGTTTCATAAATTCTTCCATACTTTTATGACTTATGATTTTTTTTTCTGTTAAAAAAAGGTACTCCCTTAAACTGACTTTCCAGCAGTCCCTCTGTGATACAGATTGATGGGAACAAGGAGAAGGGTGCTCGCACACAGCCCCAGTGGCACCAGAGAAAGCACACAACCCAGCTCGGGCTTCAGAGGCAGCCACCCAGGAGCGCTGCCTGTCCAAGCTGAGACCTGAGGGTGAGCCAGAGTTGATCCTGTTAAGGGAAGGAAGGGTATGGAGGCAGAGAAAATTCTATGTAACTGCACCAAGCATTTCAACACGCCAAGTGGGAAAACAATGACGGGAGTATGCTACTAATGAGGTAGTGGTTATGAATGCGAGTCTCACTTCCACTCTGTTCCCCGGCTACAATCATGGGCAACTGAGTGGACCTAACCACAGGTCAGACAATTCACATAAATCTGCCTTATATTACCAGAAAAACAACACCAGGGCATGCACTCTATTAGGGATGCAGACTATTAATTCTGTGCTAGGAATAACTAGCCTCACCGTAACACCCACAATTTACTGAGCACTTACTATGTCCCAAGCACAGCACCTTTCATAACATAACTCTCACCCCTCCACCTGCCTGTCTAGTCCTTTCCCTCATCCTAGGGCTAAACATTTACTTTGTGCCTAAGGTTATGGCAATGAAAAGTCTCAGAAACACTACTAATGTATTTTAAGAAAGGCAAAAAATAGATTTCAAATAAGCAATTGAGGGCCTAAAAAAAAATATTCGACCTTTTGATTCGGTTATTGCATTTCAAAGAATCTATCCTAAGAAAATAACAGAGATGAGGAAAGATTCATGTTTGAAGGCACCAATCACAAAATCAGTCCTAATAGCAAGAAACTGGAAACTAGTGTTCAATGGGAGAAAGACTAAATGATAGTATATTGCCACAAAAGACATTAAAATATTTTTATCGGCAAAGATATGAGTATGCTTTTATTCTTTAATCATACAAGAGTATGATTTTCATAGGCAAATAAGATTTAAAAACCTGGTCCTTATCAGGATTTTTTAACTTTATGTTAGAATATTTAGGATATGAGAAAGCATAGCATAAATATATCCCACTGTCAGGAATAAAGGTTAAAAATCATTTACAGAAATTAGAAACAGGCCAGGTGTGGTGGCTCACACCTGTAATCTCAACACTTTAGGGAGCCTGAGGCAGGAATATTATTTGAATCGAGTTCAAGACCAGCCTGGCAACATAGTAAGACTCCATCTCTACAAAAAAAAAAAAAAAAAAAAAAAAAAAAAAAAAATATATATATATATATATATATATATATATATATATATATATAAATAGCTGGGCATAGTGGTGCATGGCTACAGTCCTAACTTCTCTGGAGGCTCAGGTAGGAGGATCATTTGAGCCCATGAATTAGAGGCTGCAGTGAGCTATGATCCTACACTATACTTTGGCCTGGATGGCAGAGTGAGAACCTGTCTCTCAAAACATAAAATAGAAACAAAGTGTTGTTTAGTTTCCTCATTTGTAAAATGGGAATAATGCTTACATACTCCTTGGTAAAGGGATTAAAAAAATGTGAAAGCAGTGGGTACAGATGCTTAGCACACACATATGCCAGCTTTCCATTTCTTCACTGCAACGAATGATTCTGCACTTAATCTTACCATGCATTAAACTCAACTATAGAATCAGACCACAAAAAGAGACTGAGGGATTATGAAACCAGGATAAGGCAGTTCTAACTACACTCGCTTCTTCTGCACACAGAGAAAATGTATACTACAGTTCCTTCATTCAGCTTACTCTAAACTGGGACAGCCTTTAGAAACAAAAATAGAAAAATTCATTTTTGTTTGTAAAATAGTAAATAAACAGAAAAATAAAAGGGATAGTCATATATAATCTTTTTTTTTTCATGAAGTGACCTGAATGATTCTAACTTTGGGTTTTAAAAAGATAAAAGTTTACAGCTGTAAAAGGAATAATATTGTGTACCGGCATGAAAAGACGTTTAGGTATGTTAAATGACAAAACAACAACAACATCAACAACAACAACGAACCAGCAAAATAGTATGTATTGTGTGATCCCACTTTGGCAGAGAATATGCATAGGATATTGAGGACTGTGCATCATCTATAATAGAGGCACCTTTATGTGGTGGGATTGTGAGAGAATTTTCCTATTTCTACAATGTTTGAGCTAAACATTTCAAAATTTCAAATGTCATATTTACAACATTTAGCTCTCTTTAAAAACATGCATTTTAGATTTAAAATGTAAATTTAAAATTCAAAATACTCAAATTCAACTACATCTTGTTTGAAGAAAATATCCAAAATAAAAATGTTTTTAAAATTTGATGGGATGGAAATGGTCACTGAGAGTTATTCTTTACCAAGGAGGAGACCCATGGAACTGACCTTCTGGGAGCCTGGATTATATAATTTACTTGAGGTAGATCAGCTCAAGAGGAGTTCACAAATATCTATCCCAAACAGGGTCTGATTATTAAGTGTACTAAGTTTTCCATTTTAAGACATGACTACAAATTCATCTGAAAAATATTTTAAAGGATTAAAGTAGGGCTGGAGACTTTCACTTGGCTCTGGCTGAAAGTAGTTCAATTTTACTAAAAAGACACTCACTGAAATCTCACAATGACACCTTAACCACAACCCTGATCCCTAAAGCACTCTGCTCCCTTCTAAAAGAAAACACATGCTCTCTCTTAATCCTTACACTGCCCTCTGGGATGTGCCATCACTGCTCTGCCATGCGCAAGTAAGCACTCAATTTCCATCATCACGTCAATTCAGTACCTTCCCTAGCAACAGGAAGTGGCAAATCTCAGGATTACTTTTATATAATCACATTTTATTTTCCATGAAGTATGTCTTTTGGTGTTCAAAAGAGACGAGATTATGAAAACTCTTTTGCATTATGACAGGCCTTGAAAATATCTAGAGGGAGAGAACCTGGGCATTCCAGGAATCTTCACACAAGTGGCAGGGTGTACAGGTGGGGGGTGCTGCCTCTCCAGGGTTAATCCCAGCCCTTGGTTCACTAGAGCACATATGACCTTCCAAAGATACAGCGCAATCTGTATAACAAAATGGAATGTTTTTCTTTTCCGATACTGTTATACACACACATGCAGAGTATAAAAATATAGTTCAGATCTAAATGTGAACTTAAGATTAGTATAACCCAGGAGTAAGTCAGCCACAACACCCCTGAGACTCAGTTTCCTCTGCTTAAAATACATTAATAACTCATGGGGTGAGGGTAGGGAAGAAATGAGATAGTAAATGCAAAAACCTTTTATAAGTTCTAAAAGGTATAATCATAAGAGTAGCCAGTGATACTAGCTGAAAATAAGTTATATTTTCTTAGCAGATCCACATTTTCTGGTGGAAATACCATAAACAAACTCCATGGGACAGGAATTGAGACCCTCTGAAGGACACAGTGAAACAGTCGTAAGGCTGATGAACTCTTGTCTACCTGTAGAGCTTTTGTTCTGCTGAGTTCAGTATACAGAATTGAATTCTCAAGACAATAGATTTTTACGGGCCACAGTGGCTGACAAACAAAAATATACTGAAGGGAGAACAGAAGTATCTAAAGGATATTTTTTGGATGTTGGTTGTGCCTTCCCCTTGAAATCTGCAATAATATTTAAATTTCTTCCTCATCCTTTATCCCATTTCTCAATTTGTTTAGGGCATGCATTTCTGTTTCCTGGCAAAAGTATAATCATATATTCTAAAACTTGTCAGTGAAGGTAATGTGGCATCATTCCTGAAAACATAATTATAAAGTAGTATCTATATGTTCATACAATTTGTCTCTCTTTTTAATCCACATGTGAAAATCAGTGGCTCCTAAACCAGCAGATACATTTCCCCAGGTATCCTTAGATTAATTCTCAGTCCCATTCCCCCACCTAACATGAACTGGTAACCAATTTCTTTCCTGTTGTGAGTGGAAAGATTACTTCAACCTATCAGGTATCTACTGGGTAGCAGTGCTATTTCTGGTGTCAGACAAATACATAATCCATACAGTTCTGTTCCTGTAATTTTAATATGTCCAGCAGTACAGATCCAAAGACTGTGTTGGAGGTACTGCCTAATATCATTCTTCTTCTTCATCCCTTAAGGAAGCATACAGTTTAAAAGGCAGATGACAGGGAACACGCCTTCAGTTTACACTGAAGCCTGGGTCTCCCCTGGGGGTGGGGTGGCGGGGGGGGCAGGGGAAGAAAAGGCAGATGTGAAAGCAGAGGAGGTATTGTTCAGGACTGGGGGCAAGGTGGGGGATGAGGAAAGGATGATGTGGGTGAGGATACCAAAGTTGTAGGGAAGTCTTCCCATCGAACAACGACAAAAAAATAATGAGTTTAGGTATTTCTCAACTAATCTGCCAAACTCATATTGTCCCCAAAAGTAAAGACACATGGTTCCCTTCTTAAGAGTCAAAGGAACTAATTAATGTGAGATCAATTTATTTCTTTAATACTTAATTTTCCTTGAGCTGCTAAACCACTAAAACCTAGATATTCAGCTAGTCTGTTAATGAAACCTGAAAAAAATACATTTACCTTTACAAGAACTTTGATATGCATTATCACATTCAAGATCCATGCAGGCACAGACGGTTTGGCTAATTTACTGAAAATCAGAGGTTAAACAAGGGTTTTAAAACTGTGCTGTAAGGTTCCAGATTTTATTAACAAGTGGTTTTCTACAGTTAGTGAGGGGCTTTTCATGAAGTTAAGGGGAAAAAGAGTCTAAAGGCAATCACAGAATCAAAATTTTCAAAAATTATGAAGATAGAATATCTCACAATCAACCTGTGGCCCTCAGAGTTCAAGGCCTATTGACAGTCGGTAAAAATCCTTGAGAGCAGAGACCTGTCTTTCTCCTCTGTATTGCCAGAAAATTTTGTGCACATAACAGTGCCCAATGAGAGCTCATTAAAAAATATCTGGCTATTAGAACAATGGTCCTGGGTCTCGAGATTCTTTCACCTTATTAGATACTGGGCACTATTCTGGAAACAAAGAAAAACTAACAAACTATTCTTCTTAAAGCACATAGTCTGGAAAAGAGAAAGATGGAGAGTTAGGTGAAGCTGACCTAAGCAGACCACTGTGACAGTCCTGTTATCCCTGAACCCTAAAATTTCTTTTTTATTCTAAATTTTGAATGGTTATTTGCTTTATATTTTTCTGCTTGGTCAGGAAAAGAAATCTACCACAACATATCTCTCTTCTGAAAATCTAATGCTCACATTTAGCCAAGAATTTTTGAGATTGTCTTTTTTTTTTTTTTTGAGATGGAGTCTAGCTCTGTTGCCCAGGCTGAAGTACAGTGGCGTGATCTCAGCTCATGGCAGCCTCTGCCTCCCAGGTTCAAGCAATTCTCGTGCCTCAGCTTCCCGAGTAGCTGGGTTTACAGGCCTGCAACACAACACCCAGCTAATTTTTGTTTTTGTTTTTTTGAGACAGAGTCTCGCTCTCTCGCCAGGCTGGAGTGCAATGGTGTGATCTTGGCTCACTGCAACCTCCGCCTCCCGGGTTCAGGCAAGTCTCCTGCCTCAGCCTCCTGAGTAGCTGAGACCACAGGCATGCGTGCCACCACGCCCAGCTAATTTTTGTATTTTGACTAGAGACGAGGTTTCACCATGTTGGCCAGGATGGTCTCGGTCTCTTGACCTTGTAATCTGCCCGCCTCAGCCTCCCAAAGTGCTGGGATTACAGGCGTGAGCCACTGCCCCCGGCCTCATTTTTGCATTTTTAGTAGAGATACGGTTTCATCATGTTGGCCAGGCTAATCTCGCTCTCCTGGCCTCAAGTGATCCGCCTGCCTCGGCCTCCCAAAGTGCTGGGATTACAGGCATGAGCCACTGCGCCCAACCCCTATGTTGAGTTTTAAAAGTTGTATTGCTTTTGACATTCCTTCAACAACATGCCTAAGTTCTGCTACCTGCTGCTGCTGGGCTGGTGATCTGAAAGAACAAGACCAGAATTCATGCCTTCATGAAACTACATTCTGGATGTGGCTATCTTCCTCAAATAAATAATATTACACATTGTGTGTGGTACCATGAAAGAAATAGGGTACTGTGATAGCAAATAATGAATAGGGGAAAAGATGGAGGTGGGAACCTATCTTAGTGAAGGAGGTCAGGAAAGGCCTCACCGAAGAAGTGGCCTTTAAGTTGAATGGTGAAAGACAAGGTATCAATCAGGAGGAAAAGTGTTCCAGGCAGAAGAAACGGCAAGGAAAAAGCCCCATTGGTGGAAGTTTCATGTGACTGAGGATTTGAGAGAAGGCCTACAACTGTGGAGCAGTGAAAAAGAGGGAGCACAAGGATGAACTTATTTGAGTGCGTAATACATTCTAGGCATCATGCTAACCACTTTAAATGCATGCTTTATGTAATCACTACTAGAAACCTATGAAGTTAGATACCCTGCCATTTACAAAATGAAATAAACATGAAGTTAAGAAACTTGCTCAGGGCCAGGCATGGTGGCTCACACCTGTAATTCCCGCACTTGGGGAGGCTGAGGCTGGTGGATGGCTTGAGCTCCAGAGTCCAAGACCAGCCTGGGCAACATGGCAAAACCCTGTCTTTACAAAAAATACAAAAAAACTAGTTAGGCGTGTTGATGTGCGCCTGTAGTCCCAGATACCAGGGAGACTGAGACAGGAGAATCGCTTGAGAACAGGGAGGTCAAAGCTGCAGTGAGCTGTGATCTTGCCACTGCACTGCCTGGGTTACAGGGTGAGACCCTGTCCCCTCCCCCCTCAAACAAACTTCCTCAAACTCACATAGCAGCCAGGCGTGGTGGCTCATATCTGTAATCCTAACACTTTGGGAGGCTGAGGCAGGAGGACTGCTCAGCCCACAGGTTCGAGATCAGCCTGGACAAGATAGGGAGACCCTGTCTCTACAAAAAATTTAAAAATTAGCCAGGTGTGGTGGAGCATGCCTGTAGTCCCACCTACTCAAAAGGTTAAGATGGGAGGATTGCTTGAGCCCAGGAGTCTGAGGCTGCCGCATGCCATGATTGTGCCAGTGCACTCCAGCCTCGGTGACAGAGCAAGATCCTGTCTCAAAAAAAATAAAATAAAATAAATCACGTACCAAGTGGTAGAGCTTGGAATCAATTCAAGGGAGCATGAGTCAAAAGCCCACATTTTAAACTCAACCTTAGAGTCTAAATTAGAGAGGCAAACAGTAGCCAAATCACATGAGGCTTCGTATGCCATAGTAAGGAGCTTGGATTTTATTTTAAATGCAATGGGAGCCAATGAAAGGTTTAAGCAAAACAGTGACATTATCTTATTTACATTTCTATTGTGGCTGCTGTTTGGAGACCAGAGGCAAGGTAAGGAAGAGTTGTCTGACTAAAAGAAGGGAGATCACTACGTAGTCAGGAGAGAAATGATGGTGGTCTGAACTAAAACTCGGATAGATTCAAGATATATTTTCACATCAAAGTGAATTAGACTTGCTGAGTTTTGGATGCAGAGAGGAAGAGAAAAAGAAAAGTATAGGATAACTCCCAGTTTTCTGGCTTTAGTAACAAATGGATCATGATGAATAATACTGAAACGGTCTAGAAACTGAGTTTGGGAAAGAGGGACAGAGTCAGTTCAATCATTCCATAAATCTTTATTGAGTTTCTACTATGTGAGAATACAACAGTGTATAAAAGAGAAAAACTCTTGCCCTCATAGAGTTTATATCACTGGGGTGGGGGCAGTTAGACAAATTAATATGTACAACCATCACATGGTGGTAAGTGTTATGGAAAAGAAAAGATAATAAAGCTGGTTAAATACGCATGAGGTTAGCATTTTAATAGAAGGATCAGAAAGAGTCTAACGTATGAGCAGGCACCTAAAAAAAAAAACAAAGGAGGCAGCCCTGAAGATTTCTGAGAGAAAGAGTTCCTGGCTGTCTAAATACCACTGCGAAGGTCCTGAGGAAGGAGTGTTCTTGGTATGTTTGAGGACAGACAAGGAGGCCACAGTGGCACAGCAGATTAGGTAAGGGAGAAAATAATAGGAGATTAAATCAGAGGAACAGATAATATAGAACTTTGGTTAAGGACTCCAGCTTTTACTTTGGGTAAAGTGAAAAACCACTGGAAGATTTGAACAGAAATGGAGGAGTAGCATAACTGTGGCTGCAATATGGAAATTGTACAAAAGGGGAGCAAGGACGGAAGCAGAGACATAAGAGGAAATAAGTTTATGTCTCTGGTAGATTGGACCAGGTGATGGTGAAAGGGTAAGATTTAAGATAAGTTTTGAAGAGTAGATGGGATTTGTTGTAAGATAAGTTTTGAAGAGTAGATGGGATTTGTTGATGGGACTAAACAGAGTTGGGTTAAGAGAGGAGTCAAGGAGAACTGAAAGGTTTTTTAGCCTGAACCAAAGGAACAATGAGATTGACATTTACTGGGTTGGGATGAGCATGGGAAAACAGATTTATGATGGAAAACAAGGAGTTCAGTTTGCCATATTAAAATGAAGATATCTATTACAAATCTAAAAATATTGATGTTGAATAAGCAGCTGTTTTCTGGACTTTAGAGAAGACTAGGTTGGAGATACAAGTCTGGCAGTCTTAAGCATATAGATGGTATTTAAATTATGTGAATAGACATAGTAAAACGTGTAGACAGACAAGAAGGTCCAGAACCAAATCCTCGATTCACTCCATCAGTTAGACATTTCCATCTCATACCCCGTATTCTTATAACTGGTTTAATTTTTAAAGCTATCACTTACTACATAAGCAGTTTCTAAAGTCATCAAGAGCACCAATAAGACACAGCAACAAAACTAAAAAAGAGTTTGTCATTCAAACCTCCTCAAAAGAGAAAGGAAAGAACTCCATCCACGATCACAGAAATACTAAGAACTCAAAACATTCCCAAATATAGAGGATATAAAGTCTAGTGGTTAAGTGCGGGTACATAGGTCCAAGCTGTCTGAATTTTAATTCTTGTACCAACACTTAACTATTTGTGTGACCTGGGGCAAAGCACTTACTGTGCAGCTTCCTAATAAGTTGGGGATAAGTCATTCGGTTGTTGCGAATGAATTAATACCTGAATTTTTGTGCTCAGAATGCTAGCTATCTTACTATCATTGACTATCATTGACACTAAATTGTTGAAACATAAGTTGAGAGTGGGAGATCCTGCAGCTAATCACACTAATTTTTCAATTTTCTTAACCAAGAACTTGTAGCTGTTTAGATTTCGAAATGAAACCAAAACATTTTCCTAAAGGCAATTCTCTTAACTAAAAGCATGCAGCTCCCAATCTGAATTTTAAAACAAGGCCAAAACACGTTCCCAAATTCCTAAGAATCTAAAATAATCTTTAGAGGCAGGGAGGGGAAAGGGGCGTTAACAGCAAGCCTCAATTCACACATTAGAGTAAGCATGTCTGATAACAAAGTCCATCTGTGACAGACTACCAGGCCCAAATCCCTCTAAAGCAGTTATTTGATTCTCTTCTACTCTCTCCTCTAGAGAATGAGTATAAATATGCTTTCGAAAATAGAAAGCCAAGCTTTTGAATGGGAGTACATACAGCAAAGAGCTGGGAATCTAACTTAATGGCAGCAACGGGAAAACTTCTCCAGAGAGTCACCACTTATTCCTTTTTTCCCCAGTGACCAAGAGCACCGTGGGGTCAAACTCCTCTTGGGTGGGTGATGGGGAAACGGCGACCTTCCCTCATCTGGCCCCTACGCTGTCCTCTGGTAGCAAAGCTCCGGTGCAGAGCAGCTAGCTACACTCCCTCTCTCTCGCTCCTCTCGCTGGTATCTGGTGCCCGGACGGGGAGCCCCAGGTTCCAGCCTTCGGCTGCCTGGCTGGAGGACACACAGCAGAAGAAACAATAGGGCCGTGGCGGCCGCCGTACCTCTCCCGGTCGCGGCCGTCGAAGTAGACGAAATCGCCGCTCTGAACGCATTTGGCGCAGGTCAGCCGCCGGCGGGTAGTGTTGCACAGCGGGCAGCGCTCCACAGCCACGTACAGCCCCTCCGCATCGTCCACGGAGTCCACCAGGTCCCGGGCGAGCGGCCGGGGCCCGCAGCCAGGAGCCTCCAGCGCCCGGGCTCCCTTCCCACTGGGAGACGCCATGATGGCCTGAGAGGAGAGCCAGTCACGTGGGATTTTGTTTTCAACCGGGTGCATTCTGGGCCAGGAGGAGGGGCCTGGGGAAGGGGGGCTGGGATGCCGGCGAGCCCCCGGACCCCTCCGCCGCCGCGTGTTCCTGTCCCGGGCACTGTTGTTTTTCCGGTCTGCTGAGGGGCAACAGGTCCCGAAGCAGGGGGAGAGTTATATTAGAGGGGCTAGTCGGCCAAACAAAATGTCATCTGCTGGCTCAGGCCAAGACTACGAGTTAAAGCCTCAAACTTGTGCAGAAAATTGTAATACCATACCCTAAGGATTCTGGGAAAACGGAATGGGAGCGGAATAAGGGAATTTAACTTGCTGTGGATGCTTTAAAATCTGGCTAAACTACAGCAAACAAAGTAGGGTGAAGGGGCTGGGTCTTGGAACTAGGTTGAATTTTGGCTCACTCACCTGCTTAATAGCTGTGTGACTTGGGGCAAGTTCCTTAATCTCTCTGCGCCTGTTCTCTCGTGTTAAATGGATAGAATTATAGTACCCATCTAATGCCGTGAGGATTAATATGGTTAATAGTATTATACTTTACCAATAGTGAAAACAACCAAAGTGAACGTGCAAAATCAGAATTGTATCCTTCTGAAAAGTTAATCACGTGGCTAACGTACCTTCCCTACCCTGGGCCATGCTCTAAGAGAATTTGAACTAGGTAGATGGTTAGGACTTCCCTTCAAGTTTCTTTTGGTGGATAGGGGATATATAAGGTGATGTGTTGGGAGGATCATATCAGAGTAATTAGTGTTTGAATATGCCTCTAAACTACAGAGAAAAGTGAGTTTATAGGTGAGATTAAATAGACCAGTGATTCTCAAGGATGATTTTACTAGGCTATCTACTGATAAACTGCCCTGAATTCTCTCTCTAGCCAGGATTCCTTTCTCAAGTTCCATACCCAAAGATCCAGAACTACTTACTAGGTATCAGGTGACATTCCAGGACACCACAAACTCAAAGTGTTGGAAACTGACTTCTGCCTCCCTACAAACCTGTTTTCTTACTTTGGTAAAGGACGTAATCACTGATGATTTACAGCCAAGAGCCATGATTCATATTAGCCCGTCCCTCCCTGTTAATCTCCACATCACCATCGAAAACTGGTGATTCTACAAGCTAATTAGGTCTTGAATCTGAGCCCTTTGCTCCTCCGTCTTCTTAATCTTACCCAGTCTTTTTAAATACAAATCACGTAGGATTACAAAAACAAGCAAAAGCAAAAATTCTCTATATTCAGAATACAGTTTACACTAAACTTGAATGGTTCCTGAAAGTTTAAGATTTATTTTTAAGTGAGAAGTCTTTCTCTCTGATCATTTCAAACAAAAGGATTATTTTTTAAGGTCTCGGGCTTATGTTTCATTTGTATTCAGACAGGATCCTTCACAGTGCTTAATACCTAATGATCAGGATCAACTGTTCAATATTTTAAAAGGCAAAAAATACACATTAATTCCTATCGTGCTAGATGATATCACAGATAGTATCTAGCTTATGCAGTTATTTGAAACTCCTATATGTTGCTATATATTTTCAGAGAACGCATATTAATGTATTACTTAACAGCAGAGCACTGAGGTTTTTGGATACAAAATGTAGTTTAAATATTTCTTTAAGGGGAGGGGGCGGCGCCACACTTCTCAATGAAGAGAAACATTTGTACAGTTCAGAATTTTTTTTGACACCTATTATGCCATGAACTCATAGGGAATAGGTTCCAGCAGCCCAGGCTCCCTCCATTGGTTCTAAGTGCTTGTCTGGGTGGAGCAGGCTGGCGCTTCAGTTGAACTCAGACACCTCTCCCTTTGACGTCTTTTTCTGATTATTTACCTTCACGCGTTTCAGGAAACTTACTTGGCTCTTAGAGTGCCAAGGCCCAGGCAGATGGATCAACTGAGGTCAGGAGTTCAAGACCAGCCTGGCTCAGTAAGCACATTCATTCTCTTGGCAAAAATCTTGCCCTTGTTTACAATGCCAACAGCATGCTGGGTAACACTGTAGACTCTTCCAGCTTTGCTGTGGTAACATTTGCGGAGCACTCCTTTTTGAAAAGCAGCCATTCCCTTGATGTCTACAATATCACCTTTTTCGTAGATTCGCATGTATGTGGCCAAAGGAACAACTCCATCTTTTCTAAAAGGCCTAGAGAACATGTATCAGGTGCCTCACCTCTTTCCCTTTGTGTTCGTCATTTTGGCAAATTACTGGAAGATGGCCCTTCCGGCTAAAAGGAAACGCATTGAGTCTTCATGATGCTACAATATCATTCTAGTGAGACCCTAAATCTCTCAAATTTTGAAATGTTTACTTGTTCAGTTTTTAAAATAACACAAAAGGAGTCATTTTGAATAAGAATTTTTCTTCGTTTCTTAGGTTACTTACACAGAGTCGCCCTTTAATAAGTAACGTACTTGTAACATCTACAATTAAACGTAGAAGAATCCAGCTGTTTCTGTGCTGGGCTTATGGACATATTCAAACCAGAATAATGTGAGATGCTGAATGATATGCTCAGGCTTTTTTAAAACCTTTTAGAATAGGATAGATGTTTTCAAATGCTTCATAGATCTCAGAACGTTCTTTGGCACCTATAAAGAAATCCAGGTTTATATAATTTTTAATATAAAAATACCAACATTTACTTAAACACTAAAATTTCATTGTATTGTCTCCAATTACTTTTAATATGACATCTCTTTAGCTGTACCTGAGAAATGGCATTTATTCCGGGTAAATAATTTGGCAACTACAGCCATATTTCCACAAGACAGAAACCTTAGAGCAGAGTTTTCTAGAACTTCTCTGTGGGTGTCATCTTTGCTCACACAGTGCTCAGTATGAAATGTGGAATGTTATCTCTACATGTGCCATGAATATGGCCTCAGAGTAATTTCATCAGCACCTGCGGGCACTTAGCTACCAGCAAAAGGGACTTCTTTTGATCCACGTCCTCTCTAGTTAACATCTTGATTCCCTAATATTGATAACAGATGGAGACAAATGAGCTTTAAATTTGTTTTAAATTTTAGTTTAAAATTCTAAATTTAAAAGAGTTTTAAATTTTAGTGCATGGGAAGGGATTATTAGAGGGGAAAACTGTACTACTGTCACTCGTAAAGTCTTGTTTCAAGAAATTGTAAATCATAACTGCTGTAGGAATTACAGGGATAAAAACATGAATCAAACAGTCTCCACCATTGAGAAGTATTAGTCCCTACTCATCTCTCACCAACAACCAAACACCACCATTACCTCCAGCTTCCAAATTATGCAGGCACGTTGTGCTAAGGGTCATGTACTTGTACTACTTATATTTATATGGAGCTTCAGCTAATCAGGACACTAATCAGTTAATCTGATATTTTGTGGGCTGGAGGCAAGGAAGGAAGAAAGGAGGATAATGAAAGGACTATAACAACTGTTAGCATGAAGAGAAATGGAAAATAGCTTTAGTTGATAAAGACTCTTAAGAACTATAAAGTACATTGCTGATAGGAACAAAAAATGGCTCAGCTACTGTGGAAACTAGTTCGGTGGTTAAGTTAAAGAATTACTACATGACCCAACAATTTCACGCCTTGGTAAATACACCCCAAATTGAAAACAGGTACTCAAAAAAAATACTACGCACTTTCATTGCAGCACTATTCACACTTGCCAAAAGGTGGAAACAGCTTAAATGCCCGTCAATGGATGGATAACAATTTATAGTGTAGGCGGGGCGTGGTGGCTCACACCTGTAATCCCAGCACTTTGGGAGTCCCAGGCAGGTGGATCACCTGAGGTCAGGAGTTCAAGACCAGCCTGGCCAACACGGCGAAACCCCCGTCTCTACTAAAAATACAAAAGAAAATTAGGCGTGGCGGTGGGCGTCTGTCATCCTAGCTATTTGGGAGGCTGAGGCAGGAGAATTGCTTGAATTTGGGAGGCGGGGGTTGCAATGAGCAGAGTTCGCACCATTACACTCCAGCCTGGGCGACACAGCGAGACTCTGTCTCAAAATAAAAAAATGTATGGTGTGTATATACAATAGAATATTAGTCATAAACAGAAATGAAGTACACATGCTACAACATATAGCATGTTTCTTAGGCTCATCTAAGTGAAAAGCCAGACATGAAAAGTCACATGTTATAAGATTCTATGTATAAGAAGTATCCAGAAGAGTTAAATCCATGGAGACAGAATTCAGATTGGTAGTTGCCAGGGGAAGTGAGGAGAGGGGAATGGGGGGAATGGTTTAATGATATCAGGTTTTATTTTGGAGCAATAGAAATGTTTTAGAACTAGGTAGAGCCGGTGGTATATTCACAATACACAACCAGCTACTAAATGCCACTGAACTGTTCACTTTAAAATGGTTAAATTTGTTATGTGCGTTCACCTTAAATATTAAACAATCAGGGATGAAGTCCTTATAAGCTTAATTTTTTAAGAAATAAGGGCAGGCATGGTGGCTCACACCTGTAATTCCAGCACTTTGGGAGGCCAAGGTGGGAGGATCCCTTGAGCCCAGGAGTTTGAGACCAGCCCGGGTAACATAGGGACACCCTGTCTCCATAAAAATAAAGGAAAAAAATAAAAAGAGAAAAAATAAAGAGAAGAAAAGTTATTTATTCATTGCCAAAAAGTTTACTATCTGTAGGTCTTCACCTTCAAAGATTTGCGGTGGGGAGGAGAGTGAGTTACTGACACACATAAGAGAAACTGGTTCTTTGGGGTAGAAAAAGCCACAAGTTTCAGCAGATTTTTAGTTCCAGCTCTAAAATTTTGGTTTCTACAAAACCAAACTCTTTAGAAACTAAACAGTGAGTTGGTGAAGAAGCAAGAACCACTGCCTCTGGTTTGATGGACTTTTTGGGCTTCTAGCTGCATTCGTCTTGAACAACCTTGTTAGCAGACAATGAAGCATAATAGGTACAGCAAACACACACATGCCCCTCTCCCAAAATCCCCAAAACCAAGGTTCTTCTTTTCATATTTAATTGAGGAACAGTGTCCAGGTCCAGTATTTTGGACAGCCATGAACTTCACTCATTTTCCATAACACTTTTATATTAAAAAATCCTAACTAGGAGGTGGTATAGCTCAGGAGTAGAGCATTGGACTTCAGACCGAAAATCATAACTAAGAGCATTGCATTCAAGCTCAAGGAGTATACCATCTGGAGGCCCCTGGGGGGCGCCCTTTCCCAAGAGGGAATGGACATTTGAGGGATCATTATATCATAGAGAAACGATTTTAGACATAGGAGGACTTTAGGGAAATTAGTACAATTTCTTCATTTCATAAAGGCATAAGAAACAGATGTTACCTGAACCATACAGCAGCAGCTGTGGGAGAAGAGTGCGTGTAACCGGTGTTCCTTCCTTTACACCAAAAGTCAACAAATCAACATTGCCAGTATTTGTAACAGGTTGTTAAAATGAGGGGATTTGGTCAATTTAGTCAAACATTTCCTCACTAAAATATTGCCATCAAAAGTTTAAGGGAACCTAAATTGGCTCCATAGTCCTATTAATAATCAATCAATAATCAAAAACCCCAATTTGTAATACCAGGCTCCAATGAGATGACCCTTGCCTTAAAAAAAAAAAAAAAAAAAAAAAAAAGTCTCGCTCGGTCACCCAGGCTGGAGTGCTGTGGCACCATCTCAGCTCACTGCAACCTCTGCCTCCTGGGTTTGGGTTCAAGTGATTCTCATGCCTCAGCCTCCCAAGTAGCTGGGATTACAGGCAAGCACCACCATGTCTGGCTAATTTTGTCTATTTTCAGTAGAGATGGGGGTCTCGCTATGTTGCCCAGGCTGGTCTCAAACTCTTCGACTCAAGTGATCTGCCCACCTTGGCCTCCCAAAGTGCTGGTATATGAACCTTGCCTTTTAAGCAAAACTTACCATTCCTTTTCTTCAGGCTGTAATTTCTGGGGAATAAATACCATTCCTAACCTTGGTGACTAAGGTGAAAATTGTGTGGCCTGGTGCACTAGAGAAAGGACTGGCTTTGAGATCAAACAATATGGGCTTAAGTGCCAGCTCTACCTCTAACTAGCTTTAAAATAACAGGAAAATAAATTACTTAACCACTTTCAGTTTTCTTACTTGTAAAATAAGGACAATAAACCTTCTTGTAGAGTTGTGATAAAGGATGTGAGCTAAGGTTTGTAGAAAGTTGGGACATTTTATAAAATCTAAGCCATTTTATTACCCTAGAGGAATATACTTCCAGCTTAGGGACATTGGCATGGCTAGTCCAAGTACACATGGCTTATCATTTCATTCTGATAAGCCAGCAACATGTAATTTATTTATGTCTGTCTCCCTCAGCAGGGCTGGATTCCTGCCAGATGGGGAGTATATTAGATTCACCTTTGTCCCCAGCCCCCAGCACATTACAAGTACTTGGTAGGCACCCAAAATTTATTAAATATCTGTAATTTGTTGATAAGGTTTATAAGTTCATCCCTACCCCTTAGTCAGCTCCAAATATCAACCTCCAATACTACGTGGATTTTCCAGTTCTGTTCTTACATCAAGTCATAACTGCACATATTTTCCCGAGTGATGCCACAGTCGTGTGTGTATAAGTCAAAACCTTACAAGTTTGTAAAAATAGCATTGCACCGCTCAAGTTATTCATTTTATGACATATACCAATTTACTATTAGTTGGGGGTTACTGTTAACAATTGGGAGGCACATCCTGTCGTGTCTCTGGCCCACTCACTAACAAGTCTTGGCATTTTTCTGCTGCCCTCTGACCTACTCATTTCCGAGAAGCACAGATGTTGAGCTGATTAAGGGTGACCCTCAGCAACAATGACACAACTTCTTAGTTCTTTATGCTAGAGGGAAATAAATAAATAAGCGTTTTCCTGAAGCATCTTTGTCTTCATATTCCTATCATCAGGGCAAGGCATCACAGCAAAATTCCAGTCTTTGTCAATGATAGAGAAAAAACCAGGAGAGTGTGTTTTCACTAAGATAATAATAGCTCAACAGTGCCAGGCACTGGTTTTCTGCTTCCTTACAACACTTAGGTAGATTCTATGGTCACTTGCATTTTGCATATATGGAAACCAAGTCGGAGAACTTAAACTCACCAAGGCCACACAGTCAATAAATGGCAGATTATGATTAAAACTGGACAACTCTCCAGTCCATCCTTTTAGCCACTACACCTGCTGACCCTCACTGCTAAGAGAATCTTAATCATTCTTTCAGCTGACAAGGAGAATTAAGAAGTTGGCCAGGAGACCACACAGGTGTTATTGTAGACTTGCAAATTGCTGTGGGACAGGGTGAGCCCAGTGGGCTCTGGAGCCTGGCTCCTCACATGCCTGTTGCCCTGCGGCACACACAGCTGCTTGATATCGTTAAGTTTACTAAGCCGTTCCATTTTACAGGTGAGGAAACTTAGGTATAAAGTACAACTCACAGAGTTAACCAGACCCCATGTGAAAGTCCTTATGAAGCAGTGTCTGTCATATGAGTGCCCAATATGTTAACTCTGATGATTATGCCTGATCTTAGAAGTGGAAGTTGACATATTTGCTGTTTGTTATACCCCATTCCAGCAGAACCTAGCTATGCTATTAATTTTACTGTGGTTTAAGAAAAAAACATGGGCCCTAAATGTCACACCAGCCACAGAAAACAAGCACAGATCCAGAACAGTGTAAGCTGGGCCCAGGTCCTGTTGCTTTCTGCTCAGGACCATGACAGTAGAACAGCAGGGCCTCTTTGTTTTCAGCTTACTTGACTATAATTAGGACATTCAGAAGTAACCTTAGACATGGTGGCTGTAGCTGTGGCAACTCAGGGGAGTAAGACCATTTTATATGGATAAATTATTTTCAAAGACCTGCAAATGGCATGATACAATGGTTTCAAATTGCCACACATCTGTACTATGGGCATTGGCATTCTACAGTTCCCAACTAGGCAAGAGCTGGAATTCATTATTTTCTACAGTCAGACTCAAAGTTCATTTGTAATTGCAACACTTTACATTTTCTAGGCAAGTTATTTACCATTATTGAGATACTGCTTTCAGAACATCTCTGTAGAGTACCCAGTTGTGCCATGCTGCACTAGGCCACACATGAGCTTCCCCAAGCTTCAGTTTAGGGAGGAGCCTGAAAGGAGACCGCCTTGGTTCCTTTCCTGAGGTGTTCACCTGAAATTAGGCCCTTAAGGTTTTTTTTGTTTGTTTGTTTGTTTTGAGACAGACTCTTGCTCTGTTACCCAGGCTAGAGTGCAGTGGCACGATCTCGGCTCACTGCAACTTCCGCCTCCCAGGTTCAAGCGATTCTCCTGCCTCAGCCTCCTAAGTAGCTGGGATTACAGGCACGCACCACAATGCCCGGCTAATTTTTGTAATTTAAGTAGAGACAGGGTCTTGCCATGTTGGCCAGGCTGGTCTTGAACTCAGCCTCCCAAAGTGCTGGGATTACAGGCGTGAGCACAACGCCTAGCCAGGCCCTTAAGTTTTTAATCCATTTGCGGGTGAAAAGAGTCTAGAGACACAGGATTAAGTAATAAGGAACATTTGTCTCTAAGGCTGAGGCAAAAATAACCTAAACTGCGTAGCTCTAGGCTAAATAGTTTAAGACAGTATAGCATGAACAGGTAAAACGCC
Source organism: Homo sapiens (assembly GCF_000001405.40). Classification (NCBI taxonomy): domain Eukaryota; kingdom Metazoa; phylum Chordata; class Mammalia; order Primates; family Hominidae; genus Homo; species Homo sapiens. The sequence goes on from NC_000014.9 coordinate 55,420,506, forward strand.
AAGAGATGATAATTATTTATCATTTCAGTAGTAAGTCATGGATTAACTTTTACTTCACAGTATAAGCAGAATTTGGATTTCAGTTAATGTATTTAATCCTCACCTCCAGAAAAGTCCATGTCTTGCAAGAAATTTAAATTTGCCTATTCTGTATACTTAGAAATTTTAAGGGAAGTGTACTGTATAGTCTTCAGTATTTAGTAACAATCCTTTACTTCTGTGATTTGAAACTGGCAAATGTGTAAATGAAAGCTTTTTAAAAGAAATTTGGGGGTTGGGTGCGGTGGCTCACTCCTGTAATCCCAGCACTTTGGGTGGCCGAGGCGGGTGGATCACGAGGTCAGGAGATCGAGACCATCCTGGCCAACACGGTGAAACCCCGTCTCTACTAAAAATACAAAAAAAATTAGCTGGGCATAGTGGCAGGTGCCTGTAGTCCCAGCTACTGGGGAGGCTGAGGCAGGAGAATGGCGTGAACCCGGGAGGCGGAGGTTGCAGTGAGCCGAGATCGCACCACTGCACTGCAGCCTGGGCAAAAGAGTGAGAATCTGTCTCAAAAAAAAAAAAAAAAAAGAAAAAAGAAATTTGGGGTAGGTGGGAAAGCTGATCTGAATTAAGGGCATTTAAAGAAATCTATAATAGGAACTTTGCCTGTATTTGGCAATTTGCACTTTTAATAAGATTTATTTGTAATGATACATGGCACTTATGAAAGTTTCCTTCCAAAGGACTTGAAAGTGTGTTTCCCTAAGTAGGGTATGTATTTGCCTCTGATATCTACACTATTCAATTTTATTGGCAGGCTTTTCTCACTTCCTCTAGGACATGTAGAGGTAAACTTTATGTCAGTCACTAGGGGGTCTTAATTACTCCAGACTCTAAATTAGTGCCATCTGAGGAATTGTAGTTTTGCTGCATTCAAAACGTTCTTGGATTCCAAACAAGCTTTCCCCACTTTGTTTTTAATTTTTTAATTAAGATGAAGTCTCACTCTGTCACCCAGGCTGGAGTGCAGTGGCGCGAACTTGGCTCACTGCAGCCTCTGCCTCCCAGGTTCAAGTGATTCTCCTGCCTCAGCCTCCCAAGTAGCTGGGGTCACAGGTGCCTGCCACCATGCCCAGCTAATTTTGTATTTTCAGTAGAGATGGGGTTTCACCATGTTGGCAAGGCTGGTCTTGAATTCCTGGCCTCATGTGATCTGCTTGCCTCAATTTCCCAAAGTGCTGGGATTACAGGCGTGAGCCACCATACCCAGAAACTTTCCCCTCTTTGAAGACACATTAATTATTTCTTAAAGAAAAGCAAACTATACAACTCAGAGTTATAAAAGAACACTTAAAACAGACATGTCATTTTGCTGGATGCTGAGTTATGACTTAATCAACTTTTCTGAATTCAGGTAATATAAAAGTCTCAATTTTTTTAGATGAGGCAAGATTTTATAAAATTCTAGTTTGGAGGAATATACATTTAAGAGAGGCTAAGAAATATAAAAATTAAAGTAATGAGGGGAAATTGGCCTTATTAGATATACCATGAGTATTAAAGCTACAATAAGATAAAGGCAATAGGATTATAATAGGATAAACCTAGAGCAAAGGCAGAACCGAAGAACAGCCACATATGTAAAAGAAAGGTCAAAAGGAGTCATCCAAAATTAATGAGAAGATATGTAGCGTTAAGTTGGTTGGCTAGCTATTTGGGACTGGGGCATGGAGATCAGTTTGGCTCAGGCCACATAAACTTGGCATTCATTATGGTAGAGGAGAGTGAAATGTATAAAAAGACAAAAGTAGACTACGCGATCTCAGCTCACTGCAACCTCCACCTCCTAGGTTCAAGCGATTCTCCTGCCTCAGCCTCCTGAGTAGCTGGGATTACAGGCGCTTGCCACTATGCCCAGCTAATTTTTTTTTTGTATTTTTAGTAGAGACAGGGTTTCACCATGTTGGCCAGGCTCATCTTGAACTCCTGACCTCATAATTCGCCTGCCTCGGCCTCCCGAAGTGCTAGGATTACAGGCGTGAGCCACCGCGCCCGGTCATAAAATAGCAACTTTCTGTAGGTGGGGCACAGTGGCTCACACCTGTAGTCCCAGCACTTTGAGAGGCCAAGGCAGGTAGATCACTTGAGGCCAGAGGTTCGAGACCAGCCTAGCCAATTTGGCAAAACCCCATCTCTTCGAAAAATACAAAACATTAGCTGGGCATGGTGGCATGTGCCTGTAGTCTCAGCTACTCAGGAGGCCGAGGCAGGAGAATCACTTGAACGCTGGAGGTGGAGGTTGCAGTGAGCTGAGATCGCGCCGCCATAGTCCAGCCTGGGCAACAGAGTGAGACTCTGTCTCAAAAACAAAAACAAACAAACAAACAACAATATATATAGCAACCTTCTGTAGAATGACATAGAAAAGAGTCTGAACCATTCCCTCAAGTAGTTTTAAAAAGTGCTATTTATGCAAAAATTATTTAAAAAAAAGCCAACAGGAAAAAATAACAAATATAGCAAAGAATAATTTGTCTTTAATAGTATTATAGTAAACTCAAATCCCGAGAAAATACAAGCTAAGTAGACAAAAGGATAAGTTATGTCATGTACATATTATTTACAAGAGACAAAATGCTATTTATTGGATGTGTTGAAAAATGGTCGATTTCTGTCTCTGATTACCGGTGGGGTTAAAGTAGTGAGATAATTTTTACATATACAGTTAAAGTTTTCTTTGGTACCATTTTGTTTGGAATGCTGCCAAGCATTTGGTAAAAGATATTTAGATACATTGCATTTAAGACCATGTGATACAGAACTATGTCATATATCCCTTTAAAACAATTGGGCGATTTGTTCTAAGAACAAAATGGACATAGCCTTAAACGAAAGTCCCATTTCTGAGTGTCCACACTAATATCATAATTGTCTACAGGTAAAAGCAGCCAAATGTCTGCCCTTCATAAGTAGCAAACAAAGAAGGAACATTTACCTATCTAGCAATGGGACAATACGTTTGATTCAATAACATGTTAGAATGGGTTCAGCAAAGGTAGGTCTGCTGGCTAAAGCCATCCTGCTGCCTGATTTTGTTAGCCTATGAGCTAAGAATGGTTTTTATCTTTTTCAGCAGTTGGGGAAAAAATATTACATAACACACATAAATTATGTCACGATATGAAATTCACATTTCAGAGCCCATTCCTTTATATAATGTAACATTCAGAGCTGCTTTCACACTACGATGGCAGTGCTCAGTAATTGTGACAGACCCTGTGGCTCACAAAGCTTAAAATATTTAGTATTTGGCCCTTTCCAGAAAAGAGTTTGTTAACCCCTGTGTTAGGACCTTGTGTGGCCATTAAAAGCCTTTATGAAGAGTTTGTAACAGTAAGTTTAAGCCATATATGTTATCATGGATAATTCTGTAAAAAAATCAGGATGTAAAGATGAAATACTTAATAAAATGACATAAAAACATGAAAAAAATGTTGTTTTAGGTACTGGGACCTATGGGTGATGTTATTCCTTTCTTATTTTTCATTCCAGGTATTCTGTATAACAAGAATTACTTTACCATGGTGAACAAAGGTATTTAAAAGAATAAGCAAAGCACATGCATAGCAATTACATTTTATGAGTCAGAAAATAATCTTAGCACTTACCTGTCAACACAACTTTTCCAGATACAAAGATAAGCAACACAATTCGTGGTTTTACCATTCTATAAATAAGACCAGGAAACAGTTCAGGCTCGTAACTGTTAAGATGTAAAAGGAAAATGTTAAAAATAGCACTATTCAGCTCCTTTCCCATAACATGTAAGGCCCAGTATATTAAAGTGCATATTAAAGCAGTTGTAAATAAGTTAGCTATTTTATCAAAAACTTTTTAACTATCTTGATGAAGAGTCTTGAGTGTCCTAGGTAATATCTTATGGAAGTTAGGAACATAATTAATTTTGGGTCATAACACAAGTGCAAGCTATCCTGGATGGTTATTAGAAATCAAGGTAACTTAGGGCATCTGATTTAGTGTATTGAGAGCTTGTTGGTTAAACATCCTCTATCTTTTCAAAAAAGTCTGTTAATAAGAATACATAATCATGTTTTTCTGGGTTTCCAAATTCTCCAATAATAAACATATTTTGTATGCTTTTACGAACTGCTGAAGTTAACATTTTTAGCAGATAGAACCTAAAAATATTTCTAGGCCACTGCTATTTGTATTTGAACAGGTGCTATATAAATAAAGAAAATCCAATTATCCCGAGTTTTTACAATTCAGGATTTGTTGCTATAAATAGTAACTCATATTTACTACTAAATATAAGCTGGCCACTCCATGGAGCGAAAGATGATAGCACTTAAGAGCTTCTTCTCCACACTCCAGCCTGGAGAGGAGGGCAGATTCTTAGAAAGGCTTGAGGAACCTACCAAAAAGAAGTCAGGAAGTGAGAGGAGGTGAATAAAACTATTCTCAAAGCAGTGGCTAATGGACAAGAAATATAAGAAAAAAAGACATCCAAGCAATGGAACACTAGCATCTTTGCACTTAAAGGGTGAATCCAGACTGCATGGAAAAGCTCCATTCAGTTCAGCAATGAACAAGACCCAAAAACAACAGCAGATGTGGAACCTTTTACTGGCTCCAGAAAGGCGCATCTTGAAGTGAGTCTTGCCCATCTCAAGTATAGGAGGTCATTGTGGGTGGAACTGTCTTCTGGAACATCACTCTGTCTTACTGCAGGGAGCCTGTCAAGACTTTCTCCCACTAACCACTTCCCAACACTGGGGAGACCATGACACTAGGGGGAGCCCTGAAAAACCCTCCAGGGCTATGAGATCCAGGCCAAGAAAATGAAGGCTGGAGACACAAAAAGAAGATTTCCATTTGATCTTCCAGCTAAATTTTAAGACTTAGAAAAGAGAAAACAAAAACTTTGGTATGTAAATGATATTGAACTGCATTTAGCTTTTAGAACCATGGTTTTAAGATTACCAGTATAATGTGCTCCCAATTAGGAATATACTTCATTTTATTTATTCTCTGCCTCATTCCAAAAGAAGGCTGAGGCAGAGAAAGAGAGTGGTTTTGGTTAGGGATGGAGAACATTTCACAAAGATTGAGAATATCGAACACCTGCCAATTTCTTGGCCAACCCAACTTTGACCCATCCTTCAAGTCTCATTTTAAATGTTACTTCCCCAAGAAAATCTTCCTTGATCTCTACCCACCCCCAATTACATTAAAGACCCTGCTTTATGGTCTCATAGCCCCTGAAGGGCCTTACCTTCACAGTCACCATGTTTCATTACTGTCATTGACTTGTCCATCTTTTCTTTTAGACAGTGATCTCTATGTGGGCAAGGGACTATAGCTATATTGCTTGCCATTATCATCCTAGCATCTGCTACATGGTAGTCACCTAGATCTTATTCATATAGCAAGTATTTATATCAGGATACCTTTGAATTAAAAATTAAAGAGGGGGCCGGGTGCGGTGGCTCACACCTGTAATCCTAGTACTTGGGAAGTCGAGGTGGGTGGATCGCCTGAGGTCAGGAGTTCAAGACCAGCCTGGCCAATATGGTAAAACCTCGTCTCTACTAAAAATACAAAAATTAGCCGGGTGTGGTGGTGGGTGCCTATAATACCAGCTACTCAGGAGGCTGAGGCAGGAGAATCACTTGAACCCTGGGGGGTGGAGGTTGCAGTGAGCTGAAATCATGCCACTTCACTCCAGCCTGGGCAAAAGAGCAAAACTCCATCTCAAAAAAAAAAAATAAATAAATAAAATAAAGAGGGAAAAATTCTCATTGACAACTGTGGAAATGATTATGTCATAGAAAGATTACCAGAGAAAGTGCCTGGTAACAAAAGGAGATACTTGTATTATTAAATGTTGACATACAAATTTGCAGAACCTGGGAAACTGAATGACCTTAGGGGTTTAACACAAGGCAAATTTGGCCTGATAATTATAACTGATTATGTAGCATGGTTCCCCACAGAGCTACAGACAATTAGAGAGGCCTCATGTTAAAAATTCAAATCTTCTAAGAGGTGTTTTTAATGTTCCCAGTGTCAAGAATACACACTCTGGAGTTGTAATCCATAACCTGAGGCTGACAGCCGAATGGAGAGGATGAGGGGGAGGCAAGAATGAGACTAGAAATAGAAAGTTGTGGGAATACAAAGCAAGCTTCCTGGCCAGATTAAAAAAAAAAAAAGAAAAGAAAAGAAAAGATGACTGAGATCATAAAACTGTCCCAGGAGGAAGATAGAACAGGGATGGGCCCACTCCGTCTGATGTATTCTCACTGCGCCTTACTGGCAACCCTTCCAGAAGCTGGTAGTAATAACAAGGGGCACCTATTCTAGACTTAGATCTGCTCTGCAAGGAAGATGCTGGTGAAAAAGAAATGAATGGACACTTGGGAAGAACCACACACATCATTTTCGAGCCCTGAATGGCCAGAAGGGAATGCTAAGTCTAATGTAGACACAACCTTAGAGTTCGGGCAGAGCTCTTGCAGATGTACACTAAGCCGATTCAGAGAAAGATAGGCTGGAGGCTCGTGACTTGAGAGTCTGGAAGATAAGACAACTTAAGCACTGGGAGACTCTTAGAAACAGGCTTTATTAGGAAATCTGCAAATTATGCCAAGATTGAAGGAAGAAAGATACCTAAAGAGGCAACATGTCTTACATGGGGGAATGGGAGGACTTTATAGGGAGCTCAGATTTTTAAAAAATGGGGTATATTTAGGCATTCAATAGCATACAGTGAAAAAACTGAAGAAAAAAGAAAACATAATCAAGAGAAAAATAAACATGTCAAAAGAAAAATAAGCATATCATAAAAGCTGAATCTCAGAATGAATGAAAATATTTTAGAAGAAAAAGGAATTTTTAACTTCCATTCAGATCATATCTGAAAGGAAAGCTAACAAATGTTAGGGAAAGCACAGCAATATGATCCCTATCTACTCTATTGACGGGATAATCATTCGATGGCCAAGAGAAGATAAGGCGTTGGAATGAAAGAACTTCAGTTCCAGCTTGGCCAAGAGAATTTAAGAGCATCTGTGATTAACCCAGGCCAAGTGCCCTAGCCCAGGTGTATATCTTGGTGAGTCAAGGGGTTTGGTGTCCATGAGTCACCCTCCATCCCTGCTCTCTGAGGGCCTGGGATGGGAGAGCCACCAAAACGGCTGGGGGCGGGGGAGGAGCACTAGCTGTTGAGACGGGAAGTCTGAAGTCAGGAAGGCTAGAGATATTCCCTAGGAAAAGGAATATACTACAGGCAACATTGTGTTGCGGGCTGCAGCTATATACACACACACACACACACACAGATAGGGGACAAACTAGTTAGGATTGCTTTTTTTTTTTTTTTTTTGAGACGGAGTCTGGCTGTGGCCCGGGCTGGAGTGCAGTGGCGCGATCTCTCACTGCAAGCTCCGTCTCCCGGGTTCACGCCATTCTCCTGCCTCAGCCTCCCAGGATTGCTTTCATAGAACGTGCTACAGCATTCTTTTTTCATCTTCTCCCCAATCCATTCTCCCCTCACCAGCTGTCAAGCCCCTTCCTACCGGCCTAGTCCATTTCACATGCCTTATCTTTTTTTTTTTTTTTTTTTTTTTTTTTTGAGACGGAGTCTCGCTCTGTCGCCCAGGCTGGAGTCCAGTGGCGCGAGGTCGGCTCACTGCAAGCTCCACCTCCTGGGTTCTGGCCATTCTTCTGCCTCAGCCTCCCGAGTAGCTGGGACTACAGGCGCCCGCTGCCACGCCCGGCTAATTTTTTGTATTTTTAGTAGAGACAGGGTTTCACCGTGTTAGCCAGGATGGTCTCGATCTCCTGACCTCGTGATCCGCCTGCCTCGGCCTCCCAACACATGCCTTATCTTGCCAGTGTCATTGCCAAGCTACGTTTGTATGCTTACAAATCTGTAGATTACTGGATCTCAATGTGTGGGCCTCTGACCAGTAGCACTGTCATCACCTTTGAGCTTTTTAGAAACACAAATTCTAGCAAAATCTCTGGTGAAGAAACCCAGCCAGAGATGTGTGCTTTAATAAGCTAAGTGATTGCTAAGCAATGTAAGTTTAAGAACCATGGTTTCAAAAGACTGGGCACATGTGGTAACCTATGAGAACTCAGGCATAGCATCTTAATCTTTTCACTATTGTGTCCCCCGCCTTTTTTTTTTTAATCACAATTTCTCTGAAAGATACTTTACGTAAGCAACCCATAATGTAACTTAAATATCTTGGTAAATTCAAAGTTCAAGCTATATAACCGTCATACCTACTGAACTGCTGATGGGTTAGCACCAAACCTTCCAGCCTGATGGGAAATCTCACATCACAGCTTCCAACCATGTTCTGAATTTTAAAATCGAGGAATCTGGCAGGGAACCCAAGCTTCTGCACCACACGAGCATATTTTCTTGCTGCAAGTCGAGACTGCTCTTCACTGGGGAGGGGCAAATATGTTTAAAGATGTCTTAATCGCTACATCCTCTCAACTACTGGTGTTGTATTGGATTGTTACCATTTGTACCACGTTTATCTTTCAATGTATACTATGAAGCTGTAGGCTTTGTGAGGAGGACTTACTTCCCATACTTTCGTCCCTAGCACCTTATAAAAGGTCTTGTAAAATTGTACAGCTGTTGAACAGAATCATAAATTTTTGTCTTCATTTGTCACCTTTCATATATGAAGTACTTTTACTTTTACTTGGGTGTTATTTGCTAAAACGATTCCAAGGATTCGCAAAGTGTGTCCCCAGACCAGCAGCTTCACCTGGGAACTTGTTAGAAATGCAAAGTCCCAGGTTCCACCTCAGACATGCAGAAACTCTGGGGGTGGGGCCGAGCAATCTGTCTTTTAACAAGCCCTCTAGGTAACTGTGCTGCTCACTGCAGTTTGGGAACCATTCATCCAGTCTCAAAGTATGTCCCATTTAGAAGAGAACAATGGCTGGGCACAGTGGCTCACGCCTGTAATCCCAGCACTTTGGGAGGCTGAGGCAGGCAGCTCACCTGAGGACAGTAGCTCGAGACCGGCCTGGCCAACATGATGAAACGCTGTCTCTACTAAAAATACAAAAAAATTAGCTGGACATGGTGGCGGGCACCTGTAATCCCAGCTACTCAGGAGGCTGAGGCAGGAGAATCACTTGAACCTGGGAGGCAGAGGTTGCAGTGAGCTGAGATCGCGCCATTGCACTCCAGCCTAGGCAACAAGAGTGAAACTCCGTCTCAAAAAAAAAAAAAAAAAAAAAAAGAAAACAACAAGAAAAAATAAGGACACATGCATACAAAAAAAAATCGCATATAAGGAGGTAAGATATGTGCTGATTGAGTGGCACAGACAAGGTATCAGTTCTTGAGTCTTTATTGGACACACTGTCCAAAACAACCACATGAAAATACCTCAAAACCCCCCTTGTTTTGCTCGGCTTTCTCACCCAATCTTCAATTCAATTCAAACTCAACACAAGAAGGACAGGAATTTGTCCTACTCTGTGGCTATGTCCTTTAAGTGTCTGTCCTGCTGCACCCCTAAATTCATAGCAGAGCCTGTGGAGTCCTGAGAGGTGAGGCTTCATTTCTCCTTAGGTATTTTTCAACTGTTAGTGACAAAACAAAACAGTAGGTAGCAACACCTGCAGGGTGAATCAGGTGAATTCCACCCCCCTCATGGGTTTGGCCCTATTTTTAGGCTGTAAATCAGAAACACCTGAAAGAAAAGCCAGTTTGAACTTGTTTGCCTGGACTAAAGCAAGTGTTTGATTCTCTTATCCAGATCCTTCACCAACACTGCCCCCTCTTGGGTATTCGTTACTACATACATGTGTCACCTCATTTAATGTTGATTCTCCTCACCCACTTTAAAAAAAAAAAAAAAAAAAAAAAAAGAGATTGGGTTTTTGCTCTGTTACCCAGGCTGGAGTGCAGTGGCATGATCATAGCTCACTGCAGCCTTGAACTTCTGGCCTTAAGTGATCCTCCTGCCTCAGCCTCCTAAGTAGCCTGCAGGGGCATGCACCACCACACCTGCCTAAATTTTTATAGAGACAGGGTCTTGCTGTCTTGCCCAGGCTGGGCTCAAACTCCAGGACTCAAGTGACCCTCCCAACCTCAGCCTCCCCAAGTACTGAGGTTACAGGTGTGAGCCACTGCACATGGCCATCTGTTGATCTGGTATCTACTCACTAGATTGACTACAGCTGCACAGCACTGCCCTTGGCTCTCTTCACCCACTTCTCACTCTTGAAATGTCCTTAGCAAGGCCATGTCCCCAGGTTAGCAGTAAAATAAACTGTTTCCATTTTGAACTACATTTTGCCTAACTAATCTATTACATTTCCCGTAATGTAAATAAGTTCAAATTTGTTCAAGTTTGCATAGTCCTGTAGTTTCTTGGGATATCAGCTGTGATATTCTAAGGACACAGAAGTTTCTATTGAAACAACTAATAGTTGAAAGTCTATATACATGTTCATTGTACAAACATTAGAAAGTAGTTTAAAAATCTTAAAATCTCACCCATACTGGTGTTAACTACCTAAATTTGATCTTCTGCACTTTTCCTACGCAAACACAGGTATCCCTCATACTCTTGCTGTTACAACAAAAGAGAATAGGTTTGGATAAAATGTGGAGATAATACTGGCACCTCTTATTAACTAAATTCTCACAACTCACTATCCAAAACTTCAAAACCAAATATATTTGGATAAAAAGTATCTCTTATTATCTGAACTCATTATCCAAACTTTCACTATCAGATTTTAGGAATAAATTCAGATAAGAAAAGACACTCATGAATGTGTGTAATATGTGTAACATGAGCATATTTTACAATGAAAGTTGGATAACAAACACCATTTAGCTGCTTACTTCTCCCTCTGCAATCCAACTTAATACAATGTGACCATCCTTTCAGCTCAGTATGTGTACTATATGGCTAATACAATTTTACTTTATGACTTCAAATTGAAACCCTATTATTAATTAGGTTTTCCCTGTTCTATTGCTGAAATGAACATTATTACAGACATCTTGCACAACTGTCCAATAATCACTTTAAAATGGAGATTCCTGGGATCAACATAAGAGAAAGTCCAGCAATGTACTCAGACACATGTGAAGAACTTAATATGTAAAAACAGATTGGGGGAAATGTAGTAACAATGGATCCTTCAATAAATGTATCTGAGTACCGACTGATCATTTGGGAAAAATAATTATCTTACATTGAAACAAAATTCTAGATCTGCTCTGTCCAATTAATATAAATTCAGTCCCTCAGTTGTATTAGCTGTATTTCAAGTGCTCAGTAGCCACATCTGACTAGTGGCTATATCATTGCATTAAACAGTGCAGATATAGAACATTTCCATCTAGAGAAAGCTCTAAGTGAATCAAAATACCAGCTATCCTTTTCCTATCACAAAGCAGGACCTGAAAAAGACCAAAAAATATATGAAAGTCAATATTTGTATAATACTGTGCACAAATGCCTTAAGGGCAAAGCCAAATGTAGAAAACAAAGAAAAAAATGGGATAAAATGAGTATACCCTTCAAAATTTGTGTTTTTTAAAAAACCCACCATAGGCCAGATGTAGTAGCTCACGCCTGTAATCCCAGCACTTTGGGAGACCAAGGTGGGAGGACTACTTGAGCCCAGGAGTTCGAGACCAGCCTGGGCAATATGGGGAAACCCCCGTCTCTACAAAAAAAAAAAAAAAAAATTAGCCAGGCCTGGTGGTGCATACCTGTGGTCCCAGCTACTTAAGAGGCCGAGCTGGAAGGATGGCTCCAGCCCGGGAGGTGGAGGTTGCAGTGAGCCCAGATCACACCACTGCACTCCATCCTGGATAACACAGTGAGACCGTGTCTCAGAAAAAAAAAAACAACAAATAAACAAACAACAAAAAAAACACCATAAAATACCATAAACAGTAATCTGAGAAAAAATATTTACAGTATAAAATGGTGAAAATAGTTAACAAAACAAAAACAAAAGATAAATCTCTCCATAGATAACTGAGCAAATGACATAGCAATTTCTGCACTTCTAAAAAGTTATTTAATCTCACTAGTAAATCAAAGAAATGTAAAACAATGTAACTTTTTGTCAATCAATTTAGCAAATATAAAAAGAATATCGACACCCAGTGTCCACAGGATAAAATGAACACTTAGTACATTTATAGAGCGAGAAATTGGCACAACTTTTCAGGAGGAGAATTTGCTTCTTATCTTTTAACACCTACAGGAGAAAACAGGCTCTGCCACTACAGAGTTATGGTGAAAGAATACCCATCAACACAGGGCTTCCTCTGCGTGAGATCCAGGAGAGATGAGATTTTTAAGGGATGCCTCCTGAGCTAATGCAAGCTAATGCTCAAGGAATGTCTAATTGAGCTCCTTTAGAAAGTTCTATCCATTTATCTGCAATGAGGAAAATCCACAATAACTACTTCCCCAGACTTATAACACACTTCATCATTACTGTAACTTAAAAAAAATTCACCTTAGAAACAAGTTGTAGCAGCGCAGTTAAGTCCCCTCGGTTTAATAGGGGAAACTGTAAAATGGGGATATGTCAGTATTTTATTATTTTTTTTAATAGAGACAGGGTCTTGCTCTGTAACTCAGACTGGACTGCAGTGGTATGATCATAGCTCATTGCAGCCTCAAACTCATGGGCTCAGGTGATCCTCCCACCTCAGCTTCCCAAGTAGCTAGGACTAGAGGCATGCACCACCACATCCAGCTACTTTTTAGATTTCTCTTTTTTTTTTTTTTTTTTTTTTTAACAGAGATGGAGTCTCACTGTGTTGCCCAGGCTGGTCTCAAACTCCTGGGCTCAAGCGATCCTCCTGCTTAGGCCTCCCAAAGTGCTGGGATTACAGATGTGAGCCACCATGCCTGGCCCAAGTCAGTATTTATAGGAGTGTTTTTAACCCAAAATGTGGCATTTCATTGAATAAAGTCTTCAGCAAAGAAAGGCATTTTGCTTCTACTATGTGCTTTAGCACATTAATTCTATGCTTCCTTGTTTTACATACTAAATTGTTTCTCTGGTAGGGGTGGAGGGATGATTCCTCATACCTTTTGGCTCCCGTGCAGACCATCTTCCCAGAGCTAAATATAAGGGCTGTTGTCCTGGGCTCTCGGATCCTCATTATGACAGCAGCAAACCTCTATACCCAGAAACCAAAAGAGAATTAGCCTCTGCTAGGAGTTAACATTATCCCAGTTGAAAAAGCCGAGCTGAATATGAAAATCTCAAACAGATTGGATGGGAAAACTAAATGTCTGGGTCTTTTCTCCCTACATTAAGGTTAACAAAAATAATGATGATTCTAAAATGTACTTATTAACAGGTAAAAATAATATCAGTAACTCTTAAATTTGAATGCCTGTTATGTTTCAGTTCCTATTTATTCTCATGATAGGATGAACTTGTGTTTATTATCCTCATTTAGTGCTCAGGGAAAACAAGTAGCAATATAACCTCCAATATTACACAGGAAGTGGTAAAGTTAAGATTCAAAACCCACACTAATCAGATTCTCTGCTTTTTACTTTGACACACTTCCTTTTTCTTTTGAAGAATCTTTTGGGAAAAAAATAAGTATGTTAAAGGCTCACCAAGACTTCAGAATGTACTGAAAAATGACCAAAATGCAGAAGAGTCTGTATGATAGGCATGCTAAAGATGAATGACAGAAAGTTGATGTCAAGGTTCTTGCCTCTTATAGTTCTCAAAGTGTCATTCAAGACCAGCAGCATCAGCAAGCCCTGCAGGTGAGGCTGACACTCGTGAGGGTAGGGAACCTCTGGCCTGCCACATGGACGTGTCATCAAATGGCCTGCTCCTACACAGATAGTCTCTTCACCCCAACTCCTCTCCCCGGTTAAGCTAGGAAGGAAACTGGGGTGGGTGCTAGCTTAAGGGCCAAGCCAGAATTTCTCTGGGTGTCAAGCACAAGTTCAGAGAGATCCTATACACTCATCCCCAGCCCTGCCCACCCCTACCCCTCGTCCAAAATGAGAGGTGTGCTGAGGATGGTGGACAATAAAAGTTGCCTAAAATGCTGATTGTTCAATAATGTGATCACAGCTGCAGCTGTGAGGATCTTAGCTCATCTTTGTGTCTGTCCTCACCATTGTCAGCTGTATGAAATATCAAAAGGAAAGCTTTATTGTATTCGGGTAACATCGAGGTAACATTTAAATTCAGATGTCAGCAACAATACTAGGGCAACAGCAAAAACAAATAATAGTTGATGCCTGCAAGGTCTCTGGGTTCCTACGAATGTGACCTTTTTTCATCTAATTCCATAAATCCTCCACCACCTAAGCCAGTGAACTTTTTCCCAGTAGGAAGCAGGTCTTACTCATCTTTGTACTCCTAAGTACAGAGCCTGGCAAATCGTTAAAAGTTGATAGGATTGACAAACCCAATTACCCTAGGTAAACAAGCCATTGAAAACAGGATGCCTGGCCTTGGCAGGATACAAGAAAGAATAGATTTTATTAAACTTTGAGGAGGACGAAAAAAAAAATCCCTGAATCTTACATTAGTAAATAGGAGCTTGAACTTTATACTTTAAGCAGTTTAGCCTTCTCAGATAAGAGGAATTGTAATGGAAAGATACATAAGTGTCAGGTAGCTGAGACAACATTTGGCAAAAATTATTTCCAGAAATTTGATGGCATTTTAAGATAGTTAGCATCCCAATAGTCAGGTGAAATTTTTTTTTTTTTTTTGGAGACGGAGTCTCGCTGTTACCCAGGCTGGAATGTAATGGCATGATCTTGGCTCACTGCAACCTCTGCCTCCTGGGTTCAAGTGATTCTCCTGCCTCAACCTCCTGAGTAGCTGGGATTACAGGCACCCGCCACAACATCCAGCTAATTTTTGTATTTTTAGTAGAGACGGGATTTCACCATGTTGGTCAGGCTGGTCTCAAACTCCTGACCTCGTGATCCACCTGCCTCAGCCTCCCAAAGTGCTGGGATTACAGGAGTGAGCCACCGTGCCCAGCCTAAGTGAAAAATTATAATCATACTAAAAAATATTTTTGAATGACAAGGGAGAGAGCTTATCTTTAAGGAACTGCTCAATTACTGCTTTATTCAGCATAAAGAATGAGATTATTTTTTATAACTCAAAACAGATATTAACCCTGAGTTGCCAAAAGCTTTTTCAGTAACAATTTTTTAAGAAAAAACAGAGGAATTAGTCAATATCATGATCATATTAAGAAAAGTAAATCTAAAGAGAAGCTAATTATTGGAAGGAATACTGAGAAATGTTACCTTTGGGTTATATTCTGCATTTTTTGCATGCAAAGCTATTTTCTTCAGATCCAACTTACAGGCCAGGTTTACAGTGGAAACTATATTCCTGAAGAAATAAGTCAGTTTAGAAACTTATATCAGATATAAAGAGTAAAAAAAAAAAAAGACAACTTATTTTCTCATTTCTTAGGTTATACCTTAGCAATTTCCTAGGGGGAGAATTATTCCAAATGTGAAATACATGACATGATTCCTAGTTAAGTGTAAAATCCCAAAGTGAAGTGCTAAAGAGCCTTTCCTAAAATTTCATGACTAGCTGCTAAAATTAAGTTTTAGATCTTTTTTCAAAACAATGCCTCAAAATAGAAATTACAATTCTGAATCAATTTGCAAATCAAACTCAATTTTACATCTTTATATCCTTGGTGTTTATCCAACCCTACCCACAATTTTCAGCAACTACAGTGCTGTAGTATAAACAATACAATCCTTCAAGAATGCATCTATTAATCTTTAAGTCCCCTCCGCCCACCTTAGAGGTCAAGAATTAGTGCTTTGCCTTACAGATAATCAAACTGTCTAAAGCCACAATCCATTTAGAACTGATAAAACAAAGAATTATGAAATCTGAAATTCTCTTCCCTACTATTATCCTGAAATTAGTTGTCATCGCATTCAGGAATATAAAATGTGTACCCAATGTGCTCAATTAAAACAAAAATAAAAACTTACTGTAGTTGAGGTACAATTCCACAACATTCTGAAATAGGGGTCATTGGTGTCATGGGAGTTATGGATGCCAGAGACAAGGAGTCGGAGTTTGGTTTCTCAGGAGAGGGCTGGACTGAGTCAGTATCACCAGGGTGCAGCTGTGAATGGGAATTTGACAAACTGCTGCTGTTTAAGCCCAGCCCAACGTCCTGTTCGCTGGGTGATGGCAACCTACTTTGTGGACTTTGGCTTTCAGAATTTTCTTCAGTTTCGTGTTTGCTAATGACAGGCTGGTCTTTATTTTCCTGGGTAACTTCATCTGGTAGGAAGCTAAGATCCACAGATGAGAAATCACCAGATGTTTCTTTGACTTCAGGGTTCGAATTAAATGCAGTATCCGGATTGGATGCATTCAGTATGTACATATCATAAGGTACAACTGGGCTGAACAGGGGAGACCTGGGTGGGGCAAGGCCATCCTAGGCAGTTCCCAAAACAGACAGACAAAAACACAACAGACAGAACAGCATGTTACACAAAAGGGATGTCACTATGGCAGGCAGGCAGGCAATGTATTCAGTGTAAGAGGCAGTTCAAGATTGCTTGTATTCATGCACTGCTTTTTTCTAGAAAATGCCATTAAGATTCTACTACAGGCCAGATGTGGTAGCTCACGCCTGTAATCCCAGCACTTTGGAAGGCTGAGGCAGGCGGATGGCTGGAGGCTAGGAGTTTTGAGACTAGCCTGGCCAATGTGGTGAAACCACGTCTCTACTAAAAATGCAAAAATTAGCAGAGCATGGTAGTGCCTGCCTGTAATCCCAGCTACTGGGGAGGCTGAGGCATGAGAATCTCTTGAACCTGGGAGGCAGAGGTTGCAGTGAGTCGAGATCATGCTACTGCACTCCAGCCTGGGTATCAGAGCGAGACTCCATCTAAAAAATGATTCTATTACAGTTACAGCACACTTAATGGAAACAGAAAAGAATATTTTAAAATGCAGAAAAAGCATTCTTCATAAACTATCTTAGCTACTTTGGTTAGATCTCTAGTAAGTTGCCACTCTCTAAGTCCAATTTTGCAATAGAGGCAATTGAGCAACCATGCTCTAAATTGTTGTATACTTTGAAGAGAACAGATATACTGTATTATTTAAGTTAATTATAAACTTTAGTTGACTTTACTTTGAAATAATTTTGAGTTTTAAATGTAAATAGAATAAATGAAGGAAGTTTAAGATATAGTTGAATGCTAATCAAGACTCACTAAAGACCCATGGTTATTCCTTCTAGGCAAAGGCGTAATAAGAATTCTTGTAATGTTCTAGTTAGAAGAATTTACACTAGGAAAAAAGTTATTGAAACTTAAATGGTAAGAATAGTGTAAATCAATTTATTTTCAGTCCAGGGAAGGCTGCTCAACTACCATTATCCAGCAACGGAGAGAATGATGTGTGCACCTGAGGAAAGCAACTAATGTAAAATTCATGGACTTTATTATGGGAAAAAATCGATTAGCTTGATAAATGCATTACCACCTGCTTCACTCAAGTTACGGGCCTGGACTCCAGATTTTGAGCACTGCTTGCAGGAGAAACTCAAAAAGATCTTATTTCTTTTCTGACCACTGAAGGGTCAGGAATGCACCGTGTTGCATCTTCTCAGTGACAATGCTACCTCCGCTAATGTACGTCTGACTGGAGCCTATTGGAGTGTTCTGTTACTACAAGTCCAGCAGGTGGCAGGGGTGACTAATTGTTTAAAGAAAGCACTTAGAATTAAAAACAAAATCAAGCTATTCTCTTGAAATAAGATTTTTGACCTCTATTTCATTATGAATACATGATACGCTCCCATCTTTCCCCACCCTCAACCCACAGAGTGGCCTAAGAAAAGTGAGATGGGGACAATGGGCCCCAATTCCACTGCAGGGTTTCCTTGGTCTCACCTGTCCCAGATGTAAAGGGTCTCCTCCCGCAATTTACGCTAAAGCACCAAAGCTGCAACAGTCAGTGTCTCCCTTCCCCTTCCCCTTCCCCATCATGGCATTTTATCAGGGAACAAAGCTACACGTACACAAGAATGTAAGGCAATGGCGAGGATTTGAAGGAGGATGTTTTATGGTAATGGAAACTTGACCGGCTCCCTGCAGGGTCTGCCTGTAGTGACTCTCCTCAGAACATGTCTGTGTAGCACGTTCACTGCATCCTTGGCTTCAGAATCTTTAGTCATTTTTGTTAAACTGTATCCACTTACCTTTCTCAGAACCTTTCCTGTCTGGGCTCTTCTTTGCTGTGTTAAATGCTAGGGAAAGTCACCATTTCTACCTCAGTGCTGATCATTGTCTTTATAAAAAAATTCTCCCACCAAAAAAAAAAAAAAAAAAGTAAGTTGCTCTCTTGCCTTTTTTTTTTTTTGAGACGGAGTCTCACTCTGTCGCCCAGGCTGGAGTGCAGTGGCACCATCTCGGCTCACTGCAACCTCTTCCTCCTGGATGCAAGCAATTCTCCTGCCTCAGCCTCCCGAGTAGCTGGGACTACAGGCTCCTGCCACCACGCCCAGCTAATTTTTGTATTTTTTAGCAGAGGCGAAGTTTCGCCATGTTGGCCAGGCTGGTCTTGAACTCCTGACCTCAAATGAGCCACGTGCCTCGGCCTCCCAAAGTGCTGGGATTACAGGCGTGAGCCACCTCACCCTGCCCAATGCTAAGGATTTTTAAGTCTTAAGAGTAATTAACTTTAAAAAAAAAAAAAAAAGCCACAGGTGTTTCTAGTTGACATTTGGCAAACCCTGCAACCACCAGCTCCACCAGAGACTTGACTTCTAGAGGGAGGCCTAGTACTGGCATCCATGCTGCAGGGGACAGGGGCTCTCTGTTTCCCCTGTCAAAGCAGAAACCCGTGGGAACCTGAAGTCACTACAGCTAGCACAATGCACTCTCTGTGCATGTCCTTTAGAACCAGGCGGGGGGCCAGGAGTGGTGGCTCACGCCTGAAATCCCAGCACTTCGGGAGGCCAAGGTGGGTGGGATGACTTGAGGTCAAGAGTTCAACACCAGCCTGGGGAGAAAAGCAAACCCCCCCCCGTCTCTACTAAAAAATACAAAAATTAGCCGGGCATGGTGGCTCACGCCTGTAATCCCAGCACTTTGGGAGGCCAAGGCGGGTGGATCACGAGGTCAGGAGATCGAGACCATCCTGGCTAACACGGTGAAACACTGTCTCTACTAAAAATACAAAAAAATTAGCCGGGCGTAGTGGCGGGCTCCTGTAGTCCCAGCTACTCGGGAGGCTGAGGTAGGAGAATGGCGTGAACCTGGGAGGCAGAGCTTGCAGTGAGCCGAGATCGCGCCACTGCACTCCAGCCTGGGTGACAGAGCGAGACTCTGTCTCAAAAAAAAAAAAAAAAAAAAATTAGCCAGGTGTGGTGCGTGTGCCTGAAATCCCAGCTACACGGGAGGCTGAGGCACGAGAATCGCTTGAACCCAGGAGGCGGAGGTTGCAGTGAGCTGAGATCGCGCCACTGCACTCCAGCCTGGGCGAGACTCCATCTCAGAGAAAAATCAATCAATCAATCAATCAATCAATCAAAAACCAGAACAACCTGGGAAGGGCCATGTAATCTGGTAACTGAGTGAACGGTTCTGGATTCGTGCTAGATGAAGTTCGAGCTCTGTTTGGCAACCTTGGTCAAATTATTTCACTTTTCGAAGCTTCTAACCTTCAACTTAATGACTTGGGAAACCAAGCCCGCCTCTTATGGTCGCTATGAGTTTTAAGAGGAACGAAGGCAAAGCCCTTGGCACAGGACCGGGCGGGACTTGGGTCCTGACTCTGGGACAGTGGCGGCAGCCTCACCTGAGCGGCGCACTGGTCCAGGTAGAGCTCCAGGTAGGTCTCCTCCTGCTCCATGGACCGTAATCCCACTGTTGGGGGTGGGGGCGGGTAAGAGGGTAAGCGCGGAGCGAGCAGCCTCGGAACCCGCTCCGGCCAGGGCGCAGAGGCCATTTATGAGCCTGGGGGCAGCGAGGCGGGGCGGCCCTCGGCCCAGGTTCCTGCAGAGGGCGCGAGAGAAGCGTTGGGCGATGGGCTTGGAGCGGGATGCGGAACCCAGCTACCGGCCCATGGGCGCTGGGAAGCGGAGATGGGCTAGGGGTGGGCCGGAGAGGGGCGTCTCGCCTGGGGGCAGTCACCCCACTCTGCCCGCAGCTGGGAAGGGCCTGGGCCTGCAGATTTGATTTCCTTCGATACTCGCAATGTGGTCTTTGCTCCCAGGAGAGAAATTCTCGGTGCAAGTGCATGGAAAGTGAGAAAAAAAAAGGGATTTTTTGTTGTTGTTGTTGAGATGGAATCCCACTCTTTCGCCCAGTGCCATCTTGGCTCACTGCAACCTCCGCCTCCCGGGTTCAAGCTATTCTCCTGCCTCAGCCTCCCAAGTAGCTGTGATTACAGGTACGCACCACCATGACCTGCTAATTTTTGTATTTTTAGTAGAGACTGGTTTCACCTTGTTGGTCAGGCTGGTCTGAAACTCCTGACCTCAGGTGATCCACCCGCCTCGGCCTCCCAAAGTGCTGGGATTACAGGCGTGAGCCACTGCACCCAGCCGTTTTTCTAAGAAACTTAAATACTAGGTTTCCACCCTGTCGCCAAGGCTGGAGTGCGGTGACAGGCGACCATAGCTCACTGCAGCCTCGACCTCCTGGACTCAAGCTCCTGCCTCAGCCTCCCTAGCAGTTGGAATTACAGGCGGGTGCCACCACGCCTGGCTAATTTTATTTTTATAATTTTTATTTTTAGTAGTGACAAGGTCTCGGTATGTTACCTAGGCTGGTCCTGGACTCTTGGTCTCAAGCCATCCTCCTGCCTCAGACTCCCAAAATGCTGGGATTACAGGCATGAGCCACTGCATTCCGCCAGGGATGTTTTTTTTCTCTTGAGCAGAGTGAGTGGAATGAGTCACCTTACCTAGTCAGGTGTAGTATTTTTACATTATCATTACTTCTCACCATCAAATCCCACGTGGTTTTTCTCCAGTCACTGAGCGTTCCGTCTAAAGCCACATACAAAACAGTGTGTTGCTGCACAGTTAGGGTTGAGGAAATCTCACGAAAATAACGCAAAACATTCAGAGAGGGTTTCTCTTTCCTGAAATCATTATTTTAATTTTCAGTGCCTGCATAAGAGCTTAACTGTGTAGAACAACTTTATAAACATAATTGATACCTTTTTTCTTTTCTTTTCTTTTTTTGAGACAGAGTCTGCTCTGTCACCCAGGCTGGAGTGCAGATCTTGGCTCACTGCAACCTCCGCCTCCCAGGTTCCAGCAATTCTTGTGCCTCAGTCTCCCGAGTAGCTGGGATTACAGGTGCCTGCCACCATGCCCAGCTAATTTTTGTATTTTTAGTAGAGACGAGTTTTCACCTTGTTGGCCAGGCTGGTCTCAATCTCCTGGCCTCAGGTGATCCACCTGCCTTGGCCTCCCAAAGTGCTGGAATGACAGGCACGAGCCACCGTGTCTGGCCTATAATTGACACTTTTTATGTAAGATACGTAAAAATGTACAGATTCCCGGGTGTGGTGGGTCATGTCTGTAATCCCAGAACTTTGGGAGGCTGAGGCAGGTGGATCACCTGAGGTCAGGAGTTCAAGACCAGCCTGGCCAACATGGTGAAACCCCATCTATACCTAAAATACAAAAATTAGCTGGGCATGGTAGTGTGCGCCTGTAATCCCAGCTACTCAGGAGGCCGAGGCAGGAGAATTTCTTGAACCTGGGAGGCCGAGGTTGCAATGAGCCCAGATCATGTCACTGCACTCCACCCTGGGCAACAGAATGAGACTCTGTCTCAAAAAAAAAAAAAAAATGTACAGAGGCAGACATAAAATACATCTTTTTTACTAGATTTTGCTCTCTGAGAGCAAGAATTTTGATAACTAATTTTAATGTCTCTGTACCAAGCTTATCTGCTCAGTAAAACTGGATGGATGAAGGAAACTGACCTTAGAACGTAGCATAGGAAGCACATTATAGTAGAGACAGCTCATTCTAAGAATCAAATCACAACAAGTCTTACAGAATTTCTAATTAAGAATAAAGGAAACATTTTGATGAGATTGGAATTTCATATAATTGCTTACGATGGTATTTAATTTAAAGGTTTGTGTTGAGATAACCTACACATTTTTTTAGCACAGTACCTGCCTAGTAGCTCAAATATTAGCTCTTAATTTTGTTATTAGACTGTTATAGACTGAATTGTTTCCCCCCAAAATTTATATGTTGAAGCCCTGATTTGATCTGACTGTTGTCCTCACAAGAAGATGAAATCTGGACACACAGAGACACCAGGGATGTTCACACAGAGAAGGCCAGGTGAGGATGCAGTGAGAAGGCAGCCATCTGCGAATGAAAGAGAGCGGCCTCAAGAGAAACCAGCCCTGCTGACACCTTGATCTTGGACTTCCAGCCTCCAGAACTGTAAGAAAATAAATTTCTGTTGTTTAAGCCACCACAGACTGTAGTATTTTGTTGTGGCAGCCCTACCAGTCTTACACATAGACTTATAAAGTCTCTCATCATATGTGGTAGGCAGAACGGTGAGATGCCCCCTAAATTCCTATCCCTAGTATATACACACCTTCTCCCAGTTATTCAAATACCAATCTAAGTGCTGCTATGCCGCACTTTACAGATGTAATTAAGGTCCCAAATCATTTGACTTTGAGAAAGAGTATCCAGGCTTTTCTTCGGTAAGCCTAACCTAATCAGGTGAGCCTTTAGAAGGAACTGGCTCTTCTTTGGGAGAGAGAGTCAAAATCTGAGAAGGATTTGCCATGAGGGAGATTTTTCATTGCTGGCTTTGAAGATAAATGGGGCCAAATATTGGAAAGAATGTGGGCAGAGCATGGTGGCTCACTCCTGTAATCCCAGCACTTTGGGAGGCCAAGGCAGTAGGATTGCTTGAGTCCAGGAGTTTGAGACCAGCATGGGCAACATAGTGAGACCTCATCTCTACAAAAAATTTTTAAAAAATTAGCCAGATGTGGTGGCATGCACCTGTAGTCCTAGCTACCTGGGAGGCTGAGGCAGGAGGATCACTTGAGCCCAGGAGGTTAAGGTTGCAGTGAAACATGATTGCGCCACTGTACTCTAGCCTGGGCAACAGAGTGAGACTTTGTCTCAAAAAATAATAATAATATTTAAAGTAATAATTAAAAAAATAAAAATCATATTGGAAGGAATGTGGGTACCTCAAGGAGCTTAGAGTGGCCCACATTTGACAGCCAGCAAGGAAATGGGGACCTCAGTCCTATGACTGCCATCAATCATGAATTGGCTTGAAAGTGGATTCTTCCCAGAGCTTCCAGAAAGGAGTTTAGCATGGCCAATACGTTGGTTTTAGCTTTGTAAAGATCCTGAACAAAGAAGCTGGCTATGCTATACTCAGATGTCTTAGAACTGCGAGCTTGTAAGTTGGCGTTTAATTGCTAAATTTGTGGTAATTTGTTACTTTACAAGAGAAAACAAATACATCAAAATTATAATAAGTAGAGACACAAATTTGCAGTGATGTGCCATGCAAATAATAGAGGAATAAAATGGTAATAAGCTCATTTGGGTAAAAGGTGTACCAACGTTCCTTATTTTTATTCCTGTAACTTTTTGTAAGTTTGAGATTGTTTCCAGGTAAAATGTTTCAAAATATAATATTAGTGATTGTTTTGTGAGTGTTTTAGTTGTTTGAGATTTATACAAGATCTTGTTTTTTTTTAAATTATTTTTTGAGATAGGGTCTTGCACTGTCACTCAGGCGGGGAGTGCAGTGGTGCGATCTCAGCTCACTGCAGTCTCTGCCTCCCGGGTCCAAGCAATTTTCCCGTCTTAGCCTCTGGAGTAGCTGGGATTACAGGCTCGTGCTACCTCGCCCAGCTAACTTTTGCACTTTTTTTTTTAAGTATAGATGGGGTTTCACCATGTTGGCCAGGCTGGTCTCAAACTCCTGACCTCAGGTGATCTGTCTGCCTCGGCCTCCCAAAGTGTTGAGATTACAGGTGTGAGCCACTGCGCCCAGCCCAAAATCTTAAGCTATTCTTTTCTGGGAATCAAAGATTGCTATGGTTTGATTGACTAACAGTTAATTGCTAGCATTTATTCAGCTCTTACTATGTACCACACGCTATTCTAAGTGTTTCACATATATGAACTCATTTAAATGTCTCGAAGACCTGGTGAGATAAATACTCTTTTTGTCCCCACGTTACAGTTGAGGATACTGAGGCACAGAGAGGTTGAGTAACTCGTCCCAGAGTGTCTGACTATGGAGTCATTTGCTATGTATTGTCCCTTACCAAAGGCTTACATAGACCATTTCAAATTAGTTTGTTTTCTTTTGAACTGTGGTGGTTATCTGTTTTGATTCTGACTTTTTTTTTTTTTTGGCTTCAGAATTTATAATATTTTATACTTTGGCAAAAAAAGAAGAAAACCGAAAAACTACTATATCCAATTCATTCTTTTCTTTCTCAATTTACTGTTGTAAAGATTAAATGCCTTAAATAGAAGCATATGTTAACTTTTTTTTTTTTTTTGATATAAGGTCTCACTCTGTTGCTCATGCTGGAGTGCAGTGGCACAATCACAGTTCACTGCAGCTTTGACATCCCAGGCTCAGGTGATCCTCCCCGCTCAGCCTCCCAAGTAGTTGGGCCTCTAGGCTTGCGCCACCACACCCAGCTAATTTTTTGTATTTTTTTGTAGAGATGGGGTTTTGCCTTGTTGCTCAGGCTGGTCTTGAATTTCTGGGCTCAAGCAATCCACCTGCCTTGGCCTCCCAAAGTGCTGGGATTATAGACGTGAGTCACTGTGCTGTGGCCATACGTAAACTTTTACTAAGCACTTTGCAAGTATGAAGTATTGTTATTAGAATCTTTAAAAGAATAATGTTAAGACAGGAGTGCATATTCATGGTCATGAAGAGTCTTGAACAGAGGTCAATTCTATGGAAAATATGGCTTTTACTCGTATTTTAAGAGGACCTGTCCCTCCTCACAGAAAAAAAAAAAAAAATATATATATATATATATATATATATATATATATATATACACACACATATATACATATAATATATATTTGAGACACTCCAGGCTGGAGTGCAGTGGTGTGGTCATGGCTCACTGCAGCCTCAACCTCCCAGGCTCAAGTAATCCTCCCACCTCAGCCTCCTAAGTATTAGTTATGACTGCAGGTGTGTACCACACACCTGTCTACAGGTGAAAACTCCCATCTCTACACAAAATTTTAAAAAATTAGCTGGAAATTAAAACAAAAATTTTTGTAGAGCTGAGGGTCTTGCTATGTTGCCCTGGCTAGTCTTGAACTTCTGGGCTCAAGCAATCCCCCCCCAACCTTGGCCTCCCAAAGTGCTGGGATTATAGGCGTGAGCCACAATGCCTGGCCTCTTCATAGACAATTTAAAAATGAACCTACATTCTACATTAAATATAATTTATATGTAACAATTTAAGAGTTGAATTGCTTATGATTAGTTGATATTTTATAGACATTTAATCAAATTCACTAATTTCAGTTTTGGAATAGAAAAAAATGTTTGGAGTCAACAGACTTTCTTAGCTCTCAAACAATTTTACTGTCCCTTGAAA
The DNA here is from genome assembly GCF_000001405.40 of Homo sapiens. Lineage (NCBI taxonomy): Eukaryota > Metazoa > Chordata > Mammalia > Primates > Hominidae > Homo > Homo sapiens. The sequence continues at coordinate 55,446,204 of NC_000014.9, forward strand.
AGCTCCTAAGCCCTGGGCACTGAACCTCAACCTCTCAAATGCAGTCACGTCACCACTGGGGCCTGGGATTCTCTGGCAAGAATAATGAAGATGGAAATTCAGTGTTGGAGGGATGTTGAGAAACATTGTTCACTAGGGGGCGCACTTTCATCTCCATGAGGGGAATACCTTCTGGTTTGGGGAGAAAACAAACAGCTTTGAGGGGAGAGAGGAAAAAAAAAAGGGGGGGGAGCATGCATTCCCTAAATGTTAAAGAAAAAAAGGGTAGCTACTTCTCCATGGCAGAAGACCAGAGGGTACTTCCAAAAATAAATAAGATTAGTTACTGTATCAGTCAATGTGAATATATGTGCTATTTTATACAAGGAGGTCCTATTTATAGGAGCTAAACGGAAAGTGCTTGTAGAGTAATCCACATTCACACTATCTTGATGGTTGTTAAATGTGAGGGGCAATTTCGCTGCCCAGGAAAAAACGGAAAAGAATTTGCATAAATGAGATTAGGTTTCTAGAAGCCATGTTGGGAGAGAACTTTTTTTTAATGGTGGCAATATTTGCTAAATGCAGCCTTCTCTTTCTTTTAGAAGCCATGGACATTGGGTGTGATTGATCTCTACATGGAGCTGTCAGTTTCCAGACAGTGATTTTATACACAAGAATAGGGAGGTGGATTTGAGCACTGCACAGAGGCCTTTTCTAGATCAAAATTCAATGAATTCTTGTCCTTTCAGTAATCGTTTGAAATAAAAACCCACAGTAATTCTTCCTCCCCCTTTTTGGTGGAGGTGGAGCATGAACTTCAGCATCTGGGAAGGAGCCTGTGTAATGGCTTAGTCAGGAGCTGCTGAAGCACAACACAGATAACCTTGATCTCCATAGTCTTTGCTCACCAACCCCAGTCCACTGAAAATCTTGAATCATAATGGTGCAGCTTTCCTTCTCAGGCAGTGCTATACACTGGCCATAAAGAAGACTTGCTGTGTTTAAAGTTTCTCAGGAAAATGGCTTAATTTCACGTAATATTAAAGACAAGAATTAAAATTTCACAAGTTTCTTTTTCTCCCTTGACTGATCCCTATTATTTTCTTTCTGTGTGAACATATTCCATCACAGCGTTTCTACAATAAATAATGCATTCTTTTAGAAAGCATATTATAACTGGGAAGTGTTATTTATAAGCATCGTTTTGGCAGTTGTTTCATGGAAACAGAACCAATCAATCAGCACTGATTCTGGGCAGGAGAGAGTTGCTTTACCATTTTCCACGCTGAGCACATCAGGGATGTCTGATCCCAGACAGTAGCTACCTGTCTCCTGCCACGCACAGCAAAACAGGGAGATTAGGTTTTACCGTATTTGCTTGGGAAAATATGGATGAAGATTTCAGCTTCTGTCTGCTCTGAACTCCACTTTTTTTTTTTTTTTTTTGAGACAGGGCCTCACTCTGTCGCCCAGGCTGGAGTGGAGTGGCACGATCTTGGCTCACTGCAACCTTTGCCTGCTGGGTTCAAGCAATTCTCCTGCCTCAGCCTCCTGAGTAGCTGGGATTATAGGTGCACACCACCACACCCAGCTAATTTGTTTGTATTTTTAGTAGAGACGGGGTTTCACCACTTTGGTCAGGCTGGTCTCGAACGCCTGAACTCAGGTGATCCGCCTGCCTCGGCCTCCCAAAGTGCCATGCCTGGCCTGAACTCCACTTTGTGTGCACCTGACTAGGAATGGATTTTTGTATGTGTTTGTACTTGTACTAACAATGAAAATCTTCTATATACATCTACTAGGTACCCATAAAAATTAAAAATCTTCTAGAAGACTTCGGTCTGAACCACGTATCTAGAGCACTGGCCTTCTAGAAGGCAGCTTTATAAAATAGCTCATGGGATTATGTAGGGGAAGATTATGGTGTGTGTAGAGAATTACCAGAGCCACCACTAAAGGCTTCCACAGCTCCTGTGAGGTCCTGGAGAAGCAGCAACCTTTGGGAGGAGGCCGGAGGCAGAAGTGAGTCAGCACACCTACCCAGTTCCTGAGAAGAGGCTCCCTAGGGCCACTGAGTCACTCTTCCCTTAAGCCTGGGAGTCAGCCCCTCCCCTATCCCCTTTTTTTCACTTCTATTTCAGAACCACATCAGTGCTAAGAGGTACAGTGTACAGTGGGAATAATAAAATATAATTACCATGATGACAAATCAGCAAATGATGCTGTTTATGAAAGGAATTCTTTGGATATGCTGTACTTGGAAACACCAGACTGGCAACTCTCCAAGTTGTCCTGCTTGTAAATCAAAGGGAAAACTGTTGGCAGGGAGTTTTGACCAAGACTTTTCACTTCGGGGAAGACCTGAGTACTTTCCTGCTGGTTGAATGTTGCATAGAGGAGTCACTCTTCACGACATTTCCAAACATGTCCCTGTATTGACTATCTCAAGATGACTTAGCTGTCATTCCCTCCTTCTCCCTGATATGTTCGCTCGTCCATGATTCTGTGCGAGATACTTTTTAGAATCCATGAAGGCTGCAAAGATGACTATCTTTAAGGAACTTACAATATAGTAGGGACAATATATGATAATAAAGATAAGGATAATAATAGCACATATGGATGATTTGCTATGTCTGGCTAGTGTTCTAAGTCCGTTAAAACTTCTTTTTATCAAAATAATGCTATAGGCTGGGCACAGTGGCTCACGCCTGTAATCCCAGAACATTGAGAGGCCGAGGTGGGCCGATCACCTGAGGTCAGGAGTTCAAGACCAGCTTGGCCAACATAGTGAAACCCTGTGTCTACTAAAAATACAAAAATTAGCCTGGCATGGTAGTACATGCCTGTAATCCCAGCTACTTGGGAGGCTGAGGCAGGAGAATTGCCTGTACTCAGGAGGTGGAGGTTGCAGTGAGCTGAGATCACACCACTGCACTCCCAGCCTGGGCAACAGAGAGAGAGACCCCATCTCAAAAAACAAAAACAAAAAAAACCAAAACCCAAAATAATGCTAAAAATAAATGTAATAATCATCTCTGTTTCAAAGATGAGGAATTGAGGCCTACAGAAGTTAGGCAACTCACTCAAAGATAAGCTGTTCATACAAACACAATATCACAAAGTCAAATTCAGTTGAGTTTCTTGGCAGTTCATAGGAGGGAGAAATTCCTTCCTGGGGCTAGACATCAAGGCATATTTCATAAAGGAGGCAGCAAGAGACCAAGGTCTTAAAGGGTATACGGGTTAAATTGTGGCCTCCCGAAAGACATATCCACTCGGAACCTGTGGTTGTGACCTTAGAAAAGGGACTTTGTAGATGTAATTAAGGCTCTCAAGATAAGACCACCCAGGATTTAGGATGGGCCCTAAATCCAATGACAGGTGTCCTTATATGACAAAGGCAGAGGGAGATTTGAGACACTGAGACACAGAGAGAAGAAGGCCACACATGTGAAGACAGGCAGAGATTGGCAGCCCCAAGCCAAGGAATGACAAGGGCTGCCAGCAGCCAGCAGCAGCTAAGAGAGAGGTATGGAGCGGATTGCCCCTCAGAGCTGCCAGATGGAACTAGCCCTGCTGACATCTGGATCTTGGACTTGTAAGAATACATTTCTGTTGTTTTAAGCCACCCGGGATGTGGTAATTTGTTACAGCAGCCCTAGGTAACTAACACAAAGAATACGTGAGAATGGCTGTGAAACAACAGCTCAAGCAAAGACACTGAGGTGGAAAAATACAAAGGCTTAGGTTTGTTGGCTTTGGTTTGTCTGAAGCATAAGGATCCTGAAATGGAATGTGTTGTTTAAGATGTGGATCATATTATGGAGGGTTTTGAATGTCAGGTTAGGAAATGTAGATTTTATTTGATGATCAGTGAAGAACTTGTTGAGTTGTGTATTCAGAAAATGAAGGTGTCCCTGAGCTAACAGGAGGTAATATGGGCCTGAACTAGGGCAGGGACAGTGGAATGAAGTGTTAAAAGAAAAACTTCAGCTGAATTGAATTTCAAGGAGTTTAATTGAGCAATGAACGATTCGTGAATTGGGCAGCCCCCAGAATCAGCAGATTCAGAGAGACTCCAGGGATGTCTGGTGGTCAGAACAAATTTATAGACACAAAAAAGGGAAGTGACATGCAGAAATCTGAAGTGAGGTACAGAAACAGTTGGATTGGTTACAGGTTGGCATTTGCCTTCTTTGAACACAGTTTGAACACTCAGCAGTCTATGAGTGGTTGAAGCATGGCTGCTGGGATTGGCCAAGACTCAGCTATTGTTACAGGCACATACTACTAAATTAGGTTCTCAATCTTGTCTGCCTATTAAGCTAGGTTACAGTTCGTCCACAGGGACTGAAATATAGAAGTATGGGGTCCTTCTTGGGCCATATTTAGTTTGCTTTAACAGAAGGGACAGAGAGGAAGTGTGTTGCAGGACTCAAAGAGACTTGGCAATCAATAGATTCTTGATCTAACTTGCTAAGTAGGTTGGTTCATGTTTTACCTGCTGTTGTTTACACGTGTTTGTCTTCTGGGCTGCATAACACCCACACTCTAAATGAGCTACCCCAAGTCATTTGGCTGCCTGTCAACTAGGATTATTAGCTTTTTCTGGCTCCCTGGTAATTAATCTGTGTTCTAGGTTGAGGACTTTCCCTTCTCTGTCTCTATTCCGCTTATGTGAGCTAAACCTTTGGAAATTGTTTCAATACCCCATGTCGCCTTCCTTTGGTACCTGAGCTGGGGGCAGGAGGCAGGGTTTCAGGGCAACTATGCTGGCCTCACTCCAGCATCCTATTATAGATCCTGTCTCAAAACACTTTATGCTGAATATGGTATAGAGGAGGCCTTGATCAAGCTGTGACATCTCAGACAGATGTGAACCTTAGAGCCATGTAAAGAAGTTGGACATTACCAATGCCCTGGAGACCTTGAATGTGGTCTGAGGCTTCAAGCCTTATTAGCATCATATTCTGTTTTTTAGTTTCCCCAAATCACACTGACCCTTTTGATCTGGCTTTCTAATATTAGACTAGTGGGAAGAAAAGAAGAGGAACCAGTGTTTACCCAGGGCTTACTCAATGGCCAGATGTGGTGTAAGGTGCTTTGTATACATTACTTCATTTAATCTTTACATCAGAAGTATGAGGCAGGTGCTATTATCCTCATTTTACAGATGAGGAAATTGAAGGGCAAAGCAATTAAGTCACTGCACAAGGTCACACCGGGAATAGAGCTGCCAAGATACAACCTTGGGATTTTCTCAGATATCACACCACCTCTTACCCAGGATATATTTTTTTTCAGTGTTACTAAGGTGGCAGAATTCAGTTTTTGGCATATGTGCAGGATTTGGCTGGTGCATGCTGGGTTTTGACTTTGTGCCATGATTTTGTACGATCATTTCCCCTGTGGTCCCTCCTATAGCACATGCCCTGACCTAGCACTTCCTGGACATCAGCTTTGAGAATGTTTGAGAACTTTCCAGGCTGATGAACTTGTGCTGTTTTCTGAAGGAACAAGAGCATGTTTTAGCCTCACGTGGAAGTTTTCTGGTTGCATGCCTAGGTTTGGTTGAATTGGAAAGAGTGAATAAAATGGATCCTCGTATATAGCCTTGATCTCTGCATTGGTCTTGGAAAAGAAATGACTTTGGTACAGTAACTGTGGGTAGCACTGCCTGTAAAACCTGTGATGTTAGGGCCTCTGTTCACACCCTCTAATCTCTAAACCCAGGCCAATATCCTTAGGAACCAAGCCAACTGTCCTTGGTCCATGCTGTTTTTGTCCCATCTTCCACCTGCTCAACCCCAGAGTGCATTTCTCCTTCTTTCTGCAATCCTGAGTCTAAACGTTGTTCATACCTCCGCTCCAGATCATTTCCTCCATTAAGCCTCTCCCAGCCAGCTTTCCTTTTCTGAATTCCTGCAGCCAGTTTGCTCATATGATGCTCTTGCCAGCTCCCTGATTCTGGGTCTGTGTATTATCTCTTTAACTGACTGTAGCCTCTTAGAGTGAGGAGTGCAGTCTTCCTTCTGACCCCATGGTGCCTGGCATAGTGCTGGGCATGCAGTGGGGGCATCAATTATTGATTGAGATCTACCTTTCAGATTCCTGCTCTCAGAAAATGGAGTAGAATGGAAGGGCTGTCTGTCTCTAAATGATAACAGCACATAAACTCCTGGATGGAAATATACCAACATTCACAGGGGATATTTCTGGGTACCGAGCTTATTGGTGGGTTTCATTTCTTCTTTGAACTTTTGGTATTGTCCAAATTTTCTACAATGAACATTTATATTTTACTTCTTACAAAAAGAGTATTTTATAAAAGTGCATATTACTTTTAAGAGAAAGGACAGTGCCTTTTTTCCATCCCCATTTCTATCTCCTTGATGCCCATGGAGATATGATTTTTCGATTTAACCATGTGCTTCAAGATCAGGAATCTAGATTTCTCTTTAGCCCTGCTATTGACTTTTTAATTTTTAATTTTTTAATTTTTTGTAGAGATAGAGTCTCATTTTGCTGCCCAGGTTGGTTTCAAACTCTGGGCTCAATGATCTCCCACCTCAGCCTCCTAAAGTGCTGAGATTACTGACTTTCTGAGCGCCTCTTAAAACTCTCATTGCTTTGGTGTCTCCATCTGTAAACCTGACCAAGTGATAAAGGAATTCTTATATCTGCCCTTTTCCAGAACTGTAAGGCATTTGATGAGGAAATGTTGCAAAATCACTTTAAAATAATCTGATAAATGTTTACAGACCCAAGTTATTTGGCTGTGCATGCCCCAGATTTCTATGCACCCCATTCTCTGTGCAACTCAGTTTTCTAAAGCACTTTTTGTTGGAAACTCAGCTCTTTGTTTAGAATATTTTAGCCTCAAGAGTACTGTCTTAAAGAATATTGGAAGACATATGGGATTTCTGCTGAAAAGTACCATACTAGGACTGTATACTGGGAGGCAGAATAGTGCTGTGGCTAAAAGTATAGGCTTTGGACTCAGTGTCCCTTGTCCTGAGAATGTTTGAGAACTTTCTGGGCTGATGAACTTGTGCTGTTTTCTGAAGGAGCAAGAGCATATTTTAGCCTCACGTGGCAGTTTTCTGGTTGTATCCCTAGGTTTGCTTGTATTGGAAGGAGCGAATAAAATGGGGCCAGGTGCGGCGGCTCATGCCTGTAATCCCAGCACTTTGGGAAGCTGAGGTGGGAGGATCACCTGAGGTCAGGAATTCGAGACTAGCCTGGCCAAGATGGTGAAACTCTATCTCTACTAAAAATGCAAAATTAACTGGGTGTGGTGGTGGGCACCCATAATCCCAGCTACTCAGGAGGCCGAGGCTGGAGAATCACTTGAACCCAGGAGGTGGAGGCTGCAGTGAGCCGAGATTGCACCACTGCATTCCAGCCTGGATGACGGAGGGGGACTCTGTCTCAAGAAAAGAAAAAAAAGCGTCCTCTTATATAGCCTTGATCTTTACATTGGTCTTGGGGAAAAAAAAAGACTTCGATACAGTAACTGTAAGTGGTACTGGCTGCAAAACCTGTGATGTTAGGACCTGCTAACGGAAGTTAACTTTGGCCATGATGTTTAATCTCACTCAGCCTCAGTCTTCCCATCTGCAAAATAAGGACATTAAAAGCAATTGCCTAAAGAGACAATGTCTAAAAGTTTTAGTATAGTGCCTAGCCATGCTCAGGGGCTTAGTAAATTTCAGGTACATTTCTAGAACCCAGATCACCTTGCTAAAATGTAAAGTTTACCTCACTCCATGCTTCCGCAAATCTGCATTGTTTTCCACACTGAGTTTAGAATAAAACACAAATTCCTGAGCCTGGGCAAACAAACATAAACCTTCCCATCTTCAGTTCCCAAATGACACTTCCAGGCTCTGAAAAAGCTCTGAGTATCATTGTTCCTATAGTTCCCTCAGCTGAGAATGTTATTTTTCGATTCTCTGTCTTCGGAAATCCTTCCTAGCCTTCAGATGCCACCTTCTGTGTGGAGCCCTCCTTGATCTCCCAAGACAAAGCTAAGACACAGTGTTTCTTCTGAATGCCCATAACAATTTGGCCTGTGTTTCATTTAACCTTGTCCTACATTTCATTGTTTACACTCCCTTCTGGATTGCACACTCCTTAAGGAGTGGAAGGTTGTTGATTCGCTTTTGCATCCAGATAATGCCTAACAAAAGATAGGCAGCCTTTCATAAATGCTAGGCGTGCTTAGTATAATTCCTTCCTGATAGGAATCAGCAGCAGCTCTAATGCTTTTTAGCGGCAGCATGTTTGTAGAGCAGCTAAAGGGGAGGTTTGAGGAAGGACTGTGCCTGCTCTTTCCTTCTTTCTACCCCCAGTCCCCAGAAGCAGAGATAGAGTTCCTAGGTCTCCAGCTCTGCATGCTTGACTAGCCTCCCCTCGCAGCGTTTTTGCTGGAGAGGAAATAGAAATTGTTCCTGATTTAAGTGCATGCATCCCATCAGAGGCAGGCCAGGGCCCCTGCGTCTTATGAGTCAGCAGGCATTAAGCCAAGCTCATCTCTTCCCCTTACCTAAAAGCCCACAAAGCAGTAAACTCATTATCACTGCGCAGAGAATAATGAATAGGCCAAGGACAGATCAGTCTGGATTGTTGCCAGGGCTGCTTTTGTACGGAAACAGGCAGCGAGCCATTTTGCCTTCAATCGCTCGTTACTTACACTACTCACTGCCTGAACCAGAGACACCCACTTGACATTATGCAGTAGGTACCCCGAATACTGTTATCAAACAACTAGGTCTACTTGCCTGGCACAAAAATCCAAACACTGACATCGGGATTGCAGCGAGAGAAAGTGAGGCATTTATTGCCTGGCACCAAGCAAGGAGAATCAGGCAGCTCAGGCTGAAGACCCAAACTCCCCAAGAGCTTACAGGTAAGGATTTTTAAAGGCAGGAAGGCAGAGCTTACAGGCAAAATCATAAACCAATACAGGAAGGCTGGCCGGGCACAGTGGCTCATGCCTGTAATCCCAGTACTTTGGGAGGCCGAGAAGGGCGGATCACTTGAGGCCAGGAGTTCGAGACCAGCCTGGCCAATGTGTTGAAACCCCGTCTCCACTAAAAATACAAAATCAGCCGGGCATGGTGGCATGCATCTGTAATCCCAGCTATTTGGGAAGCTGAGGCAGGAGAATTGCTTGAACCTGGGAGGCGGAGGTTGCAGTGAGCCAAGATTGCAACACTGTACTCCAGCTTGGGTGAGAGTGAGACTCCATCTCAAAAACAAAAACAAAAAACTTGCAGGATATACATTGGTTTGACCTGTATAAAAGGTGAGACATCTTGAAGCAGGCACCCACAGGTCGTAGGTGGAGTCAAAGATTTGCTGATTTGTGATTGGTTAAGGAGGTGGAGCTTTGTCTAAACATTTGGGATCGGCAGAAAATAATGTTAGTTTTGGCTCTTGGGTGTGATCTCCTCCAGGCCCCTCAGAAAGAAATTTATCTTTTTTTTTTTTTAACTTCTTTTTTTTTTTAATTAATTAATTTATTTATTTTTATTGATCATTCTTGGGTGTTTCTCGCAGAGGGGGATTTGGCAGGGTCATAGGACAATAGTGGAGGGAAGGTCAGCAGATAAACAAGTGAACAAAGGTCTCTGGTTTTCCTAGGCAGAGGACCCTGCGGCCTTCCGCAGTGTTTGCGTCCCTGGGTACTTGAGATTAGGGAGTGGTAATGACTCTTAACGAGCATGCTGCCTTCAAGCATCTGTTTAACAAAGCACATCTTGCACCGCCCTTAATCCATTTAACCCTGAGTGGACTCAGCACATGTTTCAGAGAGCACAGGGTTGGGGGTAAGGTCACAGATCAACAGGATAAGAATTTTTCTTAGTACAGAACAAAATGAAAAGTCTCCCATGTCTACCTCTTTCTACACAGACACGGCAACCATCCGATTTCTCAATCTTTTCCCCACCTTTCCCCCCTTTCTATTCCACAAAACCGCCATTGTCATCATGGCCTGTTCTCAATGAGCTGTTGGGTAAACCTCCCAGACGGGGTGGTGGCCGGGCAGAGGGGCTCCTCACTTCCCAGTAGGGGCGACCGGGCAGAGGCGCCCCTCACCTCCCGGACGGGGCGGCTGGCCGGGCGGGGGGCTGACCCCCCCACCTCCCTCCCGGACGGGGCGGCTGGCCTGGCGGGGGCTGACCCCCACCTCCCTCCAGGACGGGGTGGCTGCTGGGCGGAGACGCTCCTCACTTCCCAGATGGGGCGGCTGCCGGGCGGAGGGGCTCCTCACTTCTCAGACGGGGCGGCTGCCGGGCGGAGGGGCTCCTCACTTCTCAGACGGGGCGGCTGCCGGGCGGAGGGTCTCCTCACTTCTCAGACGGGGCGGCCGGGCAGAGACGCTCCTCACCTCCTGGATGGGGTCGCGGCCGCGTAGAGGCGCTCCTCACATCCCAGACGGGCGGCGGGGCAGAGGCGCTCCCCACATCTCAGACGATGGGCGGCCGGGCAGAGACACTCCTCACTTCCTAGATGGGATGGCGGCCGGGAAGAGGCGCTCCTCACTTCCTAGATGGGATGGCGGCCGGGCAGAGATGCTCCTCACTTTCCAGACTGGGCAGCCAGGCAGAGGGGCTCCTCACGTCCCAGACGATGGGCGGCCAGGCAGAGACGCTCCTCACTTCCCAGACGGGGTGGCGGCCATGCAGAGGCTGCAATCTCAGCACTTTGGGAGGCCAAGGCAGGCGGCTGGGAGGTGGAGGTTGTAGCGAGCCGAGATCATGCCACTGCACTCCAGCCTGGGCACCATTGAGCACTGAGTGAACCAGACTCCGTCTGCAATCCCGGCACCTCCGGAGCCTCAGAAAGAAGTTTAGAACAGCGGTCGGAGTTCAGTCCTCAGTTCCCCCTTATCAGAGGTCTCTGTACCAGTGTACCCATTTAGTGGAGGTCCAAATTCTGAAAAACAACTCAAGAATATATGCTAAGGTGTTATCTTTAGTTTCTCTTGGGAACCAAATATTCGTGTGACTCTAACTTCCTTGGCTATTGTTTTAAGCTACTGTTACCGTCTTGCTTATCAAATTGCTCATTTACTTGTCAAGGCTAGCTAGGTGACTGTAAATTCCCTTGAAGGAACTCAAGATTTTATTTCCCTGCTTGGGGTTGGGGGTGGAGGAGGGTGCTGCAAGCCCTTAAGAGGGGTCCCTGCTCCGTCTCAATACTTGCCCAATAGCTCTGAGAATTCTTGCTAGTGGGGCATGTGAAAGGAACCTGTGCTCCCTCTGCCACGAGTCTCTGCTTCCACTGCCTTTCTGGCATCTACTCTGGGCTCTGCCTCTGCATATCTCGTTCCTTTTGCATAGCCTATGTACTTACTCAACTCCCATACAAACCCCTCAGTCTCCAGACTGCCACTGGTCATGGCTGTGCGTGTGGTGCAAGCTTTAATGAAGATTTGGGCACCGGTGTGTGTATGTGCACGCATGTGTGTGCATGAGTGTGTGTGCATGTGTGCATGTGTCTGTGCATGAGTGTGTGTGCGTATGAGTGTGTGCATGTGTGTGTGCGTGCATATGTGTGCATAAGTGTGTGTGCATTCATGTTTGTGCATGTGCATATGTGTTAATTTCCTAGGGCTGCCATAAAAAGTAACACAAACTGAGAGGCTTAAACAATAGAAATTTCTTGTCTCATTGTCTCACAGTTCTGGAAGCTAGACACCTGAGATGAAGGTGTCTGCAGGGCTATGCTGTTTCTAACAGGTGCTAGGGAAGGATCTGTTCCAGGTCTCCCCTCCAGCTTCTGGTAGTTTCTTGGCTTGTGGCAGCATCACTCCTGTCTTCATATGGCTGTCACCGTGTGAGTGTCTGTGTTCAGATTTCCTCCTTGTATAACCACAGTAACATTGGATTAGGGGTCTACCCTACTTCACTATGACCTCATCTTAATTAACTATATCTGCAATGACCCTATTTCCAAATAAGATCATATTCTCAGGCACTGCGGGTTAGGACTTTAGCATATGAATTTTCAGCGGACACAATTCAACCCATAATTGTGTGTTTGTATGTGTGCGCATGTGTGGTCATGGTTAGGGATGTTAGATTACAGAATAGAAGGGTAAAACACTTTGAACTGCATACTCAACCATCCCAGTTCTCAAAAGTCCTCAGCCTTTCTGTCCTCTGAGGGCGCATCCTGTGTCCTGCCTTCCCCACAGCCTCCTGCCATGCAGTGGGACACCTTCTGGCCCTCTTCTTGGGATTTTCCCTGCTTCTTCATGGCTCATTCAGCTCCAACTCCAAAAATCACTGTGCATTTCTGATATAAAAGTTTCACTATTTTCCTCCCCAGGCCAACCATCCAGGCCTGGTCTAGAGGGCCATCTTAATAACTAAAAAGTCCACTAGAGATGTTTCTAACAAAGACAGTTCTCTTGCTGAGGAGGAATTCTGTGGTCAGCTCTGATAGTAACACTTTTTTTCTCTTCCTTTCATCAGTTAAATGAAATTATTTATTAGCCTAAATGTTTTATGCACTAGTTTCTGTTATTTCTGGGTATATTTAAAAAACAATGCCTCCTGTACAAAATCAGAAAAAAACAGAAATGATAGTGAGGACAGGTTGTGCCTCATGGGCCAGGGATGGACAGCTTATTACCCCTCCTTCTACTGGAAACATACTAATAAATACGATAACTCTTTCCTGCCAGGCAAGGTCATGGTTTCAGAACCGTTCTCTATAGAGTTGACTCAGGCCATCGTTATGAGTTCATTAGAGCTGATATGAGAGATTAAGTCAATTTGCCATCACTGTTCTAGACATTCTGTGGAGGGAATTTTATGCTTCTGGTGATGACTTCTATTTGTGTTCATTAACAGTTGCTAGTGTTTGGAAATGAATATAGGGTGGACAATGTGATTTCTGTATTAGTCAGAATAGGCTGAGTCATGCAATGGTAAAAAATGACACCCAAATCTTGGTAGCTAACATGAATAAAGGTTGATTTCTTGCTCATAACACGTGTCCTTTCAGGATCACCTGAAGTTCTGCTCCATATCCCCTTCATTCAGGGACTCAGGCTGACGGAGCAGCCTCTACCTGGAATATTGCTGCTCTCGTAGCAGAGGGAGAGAGGACATGGGCGAACAATAAGCTGGCTCTTTAAAGCTTCTGCTTTTAAGTGAGCCAAGTCAATTCCACTCACATTTCATTGGCTAAGCAAAATGTCAATGCGGAGAGGAAGTATTAATTCTTCCTCAGAGAGGGGCAGCAACAGCATTAAAACAGTTTACATCAGGTACCTAATTTTTGTTATTGATCTTAAATGTCCGAGAAATGAAGTGAAAGAAAATGGAGACCTTTTATATTAATTTTAATGGCTCTTCTTTACTCTTCTTACTATATGTGGTAGAATTCTTATGAGGCTTAAAGAATAGAAATACATATTTGATGGGATTGACATCAGAACCTTTATTATTTAATGCCTTTTCTGTAGCAGGAATGTAACTAGTTTTAAGAGAAGGCTACTTAATGGTCAAAATAGTTGTATTAATGAAGGACTAAGATAATCATGGTTAAATCCCAACTCTAATGATCTAATACAACACTGTTGTTATTTATCTTCATAGCAAATTATGGTAAACCTAACATTATTATCCTAATGAAACATATGTTGTACTTTTTTACATGCTTTTGCTAGGCAAATCATATTTTCATATCAAAATACATTAAGGCAGATATTAAAGGGTAGGTGCAGTGGCTCATGCCTGCAATCCCAGCACTCTGGGAGGCCTAGGCGGGCAGATCACTTGATGTCAGGAGTTCGAGACCAGCCTGACCAACATGGTGAAACCCCATCCCTACTAAAAATACAAAAAAAATTAGCTGGGTGTGGTAACACATGCCTGTAATCCCAGCTACTGGGCTGAGACAGGAGAATCGCTTGAACTCGGGAGGCGGAGGTTGCAGTGAACCAAGATTGCACCACTGCACTCCAGCCTGGGTGAAAGAGCAAGACTCTGTCTCAAACAAAACAAAAACAAACCAAAAAAAAAAAAAACCCAGATATTAAAAAATGATCACTTGCTGTGATAATTATTCACTTCATTCCATTAATGTTAGAGTTTCAGCAGGTTACATGCAAAGCAGAAAGTTGCTAAAGTGTGTTTGGAAGAACATTAGTTTAGAAGACTGCTGATAAATATTGAACCAAAAAAAATTTAGTAATTCAAAGGTTCAGGGAATATTTGGTTAAACACAGTAAATAGGATTCTTTGATTCAAGATATATCAGAACTTTAATAATGTGTCATTAGTGCATAAGCCCTTTGTCAAGCAATGTTCTGTAGAAAACACTTTGGGAACTGCTGGCTCAGATTTTAATCTGTGTGTGGTGGGGATCTCCATCTCACTTCATTTTTATTTCTTTTTATTTTAGTTTTTTGTTTCTTTTTTTTTTTTTTTTTTTTGAGATGGGACCTGGGTCTGTTGCCCAGGCTTGGAGGCAGTGATGCAATCACAGCTTACTGCAGCCTTGACCTCCTGGGCTCAAGCTATCCTCCCACCTTGGTCTCCCAAGCAGCTGGGACTATAGGCATGTACCACTACACCTGGCTAACATTTTATTTTTTAGTAGAGACAGGGCCTCGTTATGTTGCCGAGGCTGGTCTGGAACTTCTTGGACTCAAACGAACCTCCTGCCTCATCTTCCCAAAGTGCTTGGATTACAGGCATGAACCTCCACGCCCAGCCTCCATTTCACATGAGCCTTCCAAACCCATGGCCATTTTGGGGTCTACCATCACCCAACATGCCCGGAATCACCAGTTCAAGCTTTCCCTTTCTGGCCACAGCATCTTTTCCTGCCAGCCTGCTTTCAACCAGTCCCAGTACAACCACTTGTCAACCTCACTGGAACTCCAATCCTTGCGGACTTCTGTTTACTTCTAATCATTCTGTCTCCTGCTGTCTTGATTTCCTGCTTATCACCTTAGACTGCATGATACATTGTTTTAGTAACATACCTGGTCAATGATCTAAAGGCCCTTTCTATCCTATCTCTTAGTTGGGTTTGGTGAAACCCAACTAATAGCTGATGATCCTTCTATATTTCCCTGTTCAGCTTACTTTTTACTCTCCTACTCACTGTAATGACTATTCCAAGGCTTTTCTGCTTCCTGGATTCCACAACCACCTCCCTCCACTCCCTCTGCATGCCCTATCTCCTTTAGGGCCTGGTGTTCCTAATTCTGAAAACTCCCTATAGCGATCCCCATTCTAGCCTCCTTCTCCCCTGTTGGGACAGTAAAAATGTTTCTCCCCATCTAAGAACAATACCTTTCTGGGGAATTTTGACTCTCATACCCTCCCAACTTTCCAAACACCTTGTAGTATTGATTATACCTTCTCTCTTTTTCTCTTTTTTTTTTTTTTTTTGAGACCAAATCTTGCTCTGTCGCCCAGGCTGGAGTGCAGTGGCATGATCTTGGCTCACTGCAACCTCCTCCTTGCAGGTTCAAGTGATTCTTCTGCCTCAGCCTTCCGAGTAGCTGGGATTAAAGGCACGCACCACCACGCCTGACTAATGTTTGTATTCTTAGTAGAGATGGGGTTTCACTATGTTGGCAAGGCTGGTCTTGAACTCTTGACCTTGTGATCCGCCCACCCCGGACTCCCAAAGTGCTGGGATTATAGGCGTGAGCCACTGTGCCTGGCCCACCTTCTCTTTCTTATATAGACTCAATCTTACTTTTCAATTGCTCTTTCTCATCAGCCATCAGCTTTGAGATATGCTTAAGTCCCATTTTAAAAAGGAAGAAAGAAGAAAGGGAGAAAAGGAAGGAAAGAAAAACCTTCCTCTGACATTACATTCTCTCTAGCTAGTCCTGCCTTTGCATAGACAAAATTCTCATTGTCTCCATTTCTTCTTCCATGCATTCCTCAATTTGCTCCTATCTAGTTTAAAAAAATGTTTTATTAGGATGTTATATATGGTAAAGTGTGCTCATCTTAAATGTACAGCTCAGTGAAGTTTTACACATTTATACACCTCGTGTAGCTATCACCCAGATCAAGATATAGAGAATTTCCAGGAACAAAAGGTAGAATATTCTCAATGTTTGAGAACTTGTTATCTTCACTTAACGATACATCTTGATCATTCCATAGCAGTATATAGAGACTTTTCTCACTTCTTTCCAACTGTGCACTGCTTCATTACATAGCTGTACCATCATTTATCAATATTCTGCTGACGTACGTTTATATTGATTCCAGTCTTTTGTTATTACAACTAGTGCTTCAATGAACAGTTTTGTGCAAATGTCATTTTGTATTTCTGCTCATGTATTTTTGGTACAGATTCTTAGAAACAGAATTACTGAGCCAAAGAAAACACATTTGTAATTTGGCTAGATATTGTCAAATTTCTCCCCTAGAGGCTGTAACATTTTACATTCCCACCAGCATTGTATGAGAGTACCTGTTTCCCCATAGACTTACAAATAACATAAGTTGATAAACTATTGAGGTGTGTTTTTTTTTTGTTTTGTTTTTGAAACAGTCTTGCTCTGTTGTCAGACTGGAGTGCAGTGGCGCGATCTTGGCTCACTGCAACCTCTGACTCCCTGGTTCAAGCGACTCTCTTGCCTTAGCCTCCTGCGTAGCTGGGATTACAGGCATGTGCCACCATGCCCAGCTAATTTTTGTATTTTTAGTAGAGACGGGGTTTCATCATGTCGGCCAGGATGGTCTCGATCTCCTGACCTCGTGATCCACCCACCTCAGCCTCCCAAAGTGCTGGGATTACAGGCATGAGCCCCCACGCCCAGCCCAGCTTCTGAGTTTTATATGCATACCTTTTTATTTATCTTTTATTGCAGCTTAATTGAGATACGATTGACATACAATATAATGTCACAATTTGATAAGATTTGCTATATGTATATAACCATGAAACCATCACTACCGTCAAGGTAATGAGTATATCCATCTCACCTGGAAGTGTCCTTATACTCCTTCGTCATCTATCCATCCTTCCTTCATCCCATCTCCAAATATAAGACTTCCCTCAAATTTTGGATTTCCTGTACCCTTTCTCAGGGTATCAGGGGATATGCCTCCCAACATGAGAGTGTAAATTGAAGAAGAAGAAAACAGCATAGTGAACCCAGGAGGGAGGAGAGGTAATCCTCAGCATGAAAGTGAAGGGAGATCACAGTCTGATGACCTGCTGCAGTTGAAGCTGACAGCGCCAGCCTGCAGGACAAGGATGACATCAACACAAGGCTTGATGTGTCAAGAGTTTTGAGTGGAAATTCAGAAACTTTAGAGAATTTGTGGCTGAAAACCAAGCAAATGAAAATAAAAGATAATTTAAAAAGTGAGAAAGGAGAAATAATCATATGCCAGGTGACTCATATTGTCACTGTAATGTAAATATTGAAGTTGATTTAACCAAGATTGTGATATGATTCAGAAGAGTGGCTGAACGGGAGGGCTGGTGCATGTGGCAGAAGCAAGAGGAGGCCAAATCCTTATCTCCCCACAGGAGAAGCTGAAGGACAGCACTTACAACTGAAAGATAAAAAAGAAGCAATAGGCCAGGCGCGGTGGCTCACGCCTGTAATCCCAGCACTTTGGGAGGCTGAGGTAGGTGGATCACTTGAGGCAAGGAGTTCAAGACTAGCCTGGCTATCATGGTGAAACCCCATCTCTACTAACAATACAAAAATTAGCCGGGTGTGGTGGCAGGCACCTGTAATCCCAGCTGCTCTGGAGGCTGAGGCACGAGAATTGCTTGAAACCAGGAAGCGGAGGTTGCAGTGAGCTGAAATCACACCACTGCACTGCACTCTGGGTGACAGAGTAAAAAAAAAAAAAAACAAAGCAATAGAAGCGCATTCTCAGCTACTTCCTCCATAGCCTTACATCTTGGCTTGAGTGGCATGTCCTTGCGTCATTTTTCCTGAATGCTCATAACAGAGCATGGTGGCCTTCTTTCTGGCAATCTTGGGCATACCTCTATAAGGGAACCACTATAATTTTTTTTTTTTTTTTTGAGACAGAGTCTCACTCTGTTGCTAGGCTGGAGTGTAGTGGTGTGATCTCGGCTCACTGCAACCTCTGCCCCCCCGGGTTCAAGTGATTCTCCTGCCTCAGCCTCCTGAGTAGCTGGGACTACAGGCATGCCCCACCATGCCCAGCTAATTTTTGTATTTTTAGTAGAGATGGGGTTTCATCATGTTGGCCAGGATGGTCTCGATCTCTTGACTTCGTGATCCGTCCACCTGGGCCTCCCAAAGTGCTGGGATTACAGGCGTGAGCCACCATACCTGGCTGGGAACCACTACAATTTTTAAATTTACTTTTCTGTATGCCCATCAGATCGTAAGTTCCTTTGGAGAAGGACAATGTTTTATAACCCCTTGGTCTGACACAGAAAGTACTGAATTTTTATTTGCTGAATTAATGAACAGTACTACAGAACACTGCACAAGCAAAACTTGCAAAGTCTAGGTAAAATTAGGAGGCATATAAAAAGTCTATTAAGAAGCATGGTATATTACAATTAAAATAAACTCAGAATAACTTAAGAACATTTTACTGACATTAATCCTAGAAGCCTTGAAACATTACATCTTCCATGGTACTGAACTGTAGTCACACATGTATCTCCACTTAACTCTTCAGGCTGTGAATGTTTCTTAATGAGAATAAGTGCTTGGAGCCCTGTCATGGGGACATTTATTTAACTTTTTTCATTCCTTAATGGAAAGATTTTTATATTCATATTTCTATTACCTCCTGTTGAGATAATTTCATAAACCCTAGTTATATCATTAAGAATAAGAAACCACTATTTCCAGGAAGTATTATGGGATATTAAATTGTGGTTAACAGTGCAAATGTGTTCTACTTTAAAAGCTCAAACAGGTTAATTGATAAAATATATTAATTTTGCTGGAGGTAGAGAGTAGGCTGAGAAAAGGAAGTGGGAGAGTGAAAAAGGGACTACTTGATTAATAAAAATAATTTTCTTCTTGCAGAACAACTTCCTTTATATTACGAGCTCCCCAGATGCATTTAAAATACAGTTCAATTTGCCATGGTTTGACTTACATACAGATTTGTTTTCTAGGAGTACATCTATGAAATAAACACGTCAGTATTTGTTTTCCTAAAAGTACAGTGTTTGAGCTGCTGTTTTGCTCCAGATTTAATAAACATGGTAGACAAGGCAGTGGCACTTCTGACTGCTATACACAATGACCCACTTGCAAAATTTTCTTTGCCCATTTTCAAGATTTTGAAGCTTTGTTTGATGCCCATGGGAAGAATGATTGCTTCCACTAGTGGATACAACTATGTTTCCACCAAGTTGGAAGCTGAGGTTTCCATATGCCATTGGCTGAACAAACAAACAAAAAAACAGGGGGTTTACAATGTTGATGAGGTGATTGTGCCTGGCTCCGAAGGGGGAAATGGGATTGCTGCCTGTAGGAAATATGATGAACACCCAGATACCTTTCAGGCAAGGATTTGCCACCCAGCTGCGGGGAGTGCAGTCAGCAGGCAGCTTCCAGCTCTCTTCTTCAGGGTCTGCCACCTCACCAGGTCACACTCTTCCTAGTATGACAGCCACACGAGGAGCAGGTATTGCCACCTGGTGCAGGACATGGCGATGGCCACACTGGCCCTGGAGCTCCCACCAGGTTGGCCAAGGCTTTGTTGGGCTTGCCTGGCAGTTTAACATCTCCCTCAGCCCCATTCCTCTCCCTTAACTTCCCATTGGCGATCCCAACAAACACCTCCCACCCCAAGCCCCATGGCAGCATCCATTTCCAGAGAACCCAATCTGCAACATGGATCACATGAGGGAAGAAGGGATATGCATGTGACTCAATGAAGCCACTGGTGCCTCTCCACTACCGCTGCCAACAATCAAAGTAGGCAGGACACTCAGTGGAAACTGGACCGCGATAGGCTCAGATCCCTCATGAGTGAGGTGTAGTTCACTTCATCCGGTAGAATCCCAACAAGCTGAGATGCTGGTGGAAGGCAAGGGAACATGGAGTAGCTGGTAGAAGAATAAGTCATGAATACCAGCTATGCTATTTGTACAACATTGCTGATATAAGAATGATTTCAGCAACACATGTTTTCTACTCTGCTTTTCATGGATATGCTTATGTACCCTAACTTCCCTCTTCTTTCCTCTCCTTTTCCTCCTGCAGTTATATACAGGGCATATGGAAGGTGGTTAACCTTACAATTTAGTCTACATATTACAGGCTACCAACAAGGGCTGAGATAGAGCAAATGAGAAATGACATCTCCCAGAGCCTGGACTTAAAGCCAGATGTATAAACTCTTTGGGCTTTGAGACTTTAAAGAAGGGGCGAGTGTATTTTTGTTTGCATAAAGACACTTTAATTTTGTTAGATGAGAGCACTTCAGAGATTATAATTATGTGCAGAAAGGTTGATACTGGGCAGTGAAGGGGTGGAATATAAGAATAATAGTAATAATTACTTTCATATCTCCTAGTTAGTATTTACTGAGCACTTACTCTGTGCTTTACATGAATTTACTCATTTAAACCTCATTTAAAACTCAGTAAACCTCATTTAAACTTAATATTATCTCCATTTCCCAATGAAACTAAATCTTCTATGGCCATAGTTACAGAGCATTTCCCCAGAGGCAATGAGTGTATAGGGCCCATGCTCTTAATCTCTCTAAGCTATATTGCCTTCTTTTACTGTAGAAGAGATAAGTTATTCTTTTAGGTGTCCTAACATCTGAATCTTCTTGTTTGAAAACTCCTCCACATGATTTGGGTAGGAGACAAGGTCCACCTGCCACTATGAAAGCTGAAAGTGAAGATACTCACTTCCCAGGTTCCTTTGCACCTTGGGTGTGGGCCTGTAATTTAGGCCCACCAATCAGGTACACTCTCTGGCGGTCACTGCAGCAAGATCAAGCTTCAGGAGTACCAGCTGCAGCAGTGCCCATGGTGGCTTCCAGCATCCAGTGCCGGGAGTGTTGGGGTTATAGCTGCAGCTTCTGGCGATTGGCAGTGGCAATAGGCCTGAGCTTGCTAGACCAGTCTTGAAGCATTGTTTTGGGTGTTCTTGGCTTTGTAGCCTTTAAGGTTATTTACCTATCCTTCCCAGCTATTCTACAAGGTACCCAAATATTCTGATTTGTAGCAACAGCTCTCATCATTGTTTAGCTTTCTTTCTTTTTTTTTTTTTAACAGCTCTTTATTGAGGTAGAGTTGATATACAAATAACTGTACAACTCAATGTGTACAATATGATGAGTTTGCATTTATGAAAATGTCATAGGATCCTTCAGGTGTCGTTTCACCAGCTGGAAACCTCTGTGGCCGGTGGTGCCTCTTCTTGAGTTTTGCTTGTGCCTGCTGGGCTCGTTCTGCCCACTCAGCCTGGCAGACTGCACTCAGCTCGCACAACTGGCCCGGATTCCATGCCTGCCAAGGGTGAGCCAGGTGTGGCGCAGCGAGGGGTATGTAAGCAAGCGAGCATGGGGTCTGGCCACTGTGCACAGCCAGGCACATTGGCTGCTGTGGCGGGGTTGGTAGCTCCAGGTGCCAGCACAGGCACCAGCTCCATGCAAGGCTGCAGCTGGGCCAGGTGTACCATGAGTGGCTTCCACTGTAGGCACCAGCATCTGGATCTGGACAAAGGGAATGCAGTGGCACCTGAAAGTTTGGAGACTCCAGGAACCACAGAGCCCAAAGAGGGTGTTACGGTGTGTCACAGCCCTGGCTTGGGGAGCCCTGAGGTCTGGGCTTCTAGAAGGGCGACGGCTCTTTTCTCCCTCTTATTGCCCACAGCCTGGTGAGTAGGAGGTATGTTTTGTGGGGGTATGTTTCAGCCGTCTGTGTTACAACTCTGTCAGTCCTGCTGGCCTGCAGATCCTGGGCTGGCTCAGCCCTGCTGCTGCTTCCCATTATGTGGAGTGGCCACCTGGCACTCCAGAGGGCACAAGGGCTAGAGTGTTACAGCTCTGGCTTGGGGAATCCCTAGGTCTGGGTCCCCAGAAGGGTCACCACTCTTCACTGCCACAGTCTGGGAGCTTGTCATCACCCACAGCTCAGCGAGCCAGCTAGGAACATGTTATAGCCCCTTACCTCCCACCCACAGCTTGGTGAGCCAGCCAGGAAAGCGTTACACCTCCTTTCGCTCCCGCCATTTGGTGGATGCTGAGTTCTTGTCCCATGTCCAGGAAGAATGAGAATACACGGAAAACTGGAGGGTATGCAAGGTGGAGAAGAGCTTTACTGGGCTACTGAACAGCTCTCAGCAGAGAGGATACCCGAAGTGGGTAGCTCCTGTCCACCAGCAGGTAGTCAACATGAGTGTCTGAGTCTGGCTGAGTCTGGGGGTTTTTATGGGCCCAGAATGGAGGAAGTGTGTGTTGATTGGTCTAGGGTGGGCCTGGAAAAAGCACCACTTGATTGGCTGAAAGGCATCAAGGAAGTTCTCACTCCAGGTCAGGGACTTCATCTGGAACTGGCAGCCCGGCCCCCAAGCTTCAGGTTGTCCCTGGCTTGAAGGTGGGGTTTCACCAAGGACCCAACCCTTCCCTCCTGGGAACCTGTCTGCCTCCTGCCACCATCACAAACACCCACAAAACTATCACCACAATGAGGGTAATAGATATATCTGCCACCAACATTTCCCTGCGTCTCCTTTTTTGTATGTGTGTGGTAAGAACATTTAACGTGAGACCTACACTCTTAACAAATTTTGGAGTGCATGATACCATAGTATTAATGTTTAGACTGATTTATAAAATAAAATATTAGCTTACACACATATAGCTCATAGCTCTTTTCCAGTGCCAGTCACTGTAAGCATGTTATGTATATGAGCCAAATTAAGTCTTAGAAAACCTTAAGATTTAAATTATACTATGGTCTCCATTTTACAATGAGAAAACTTAGCTACAAAGAGCTCTGGTCCCAAGGTTGCACAGAGACATATGGCTCAGGCCCAGGTAGTCTGTCTCCAGTCTTCATACTCGCTGTGGTGATTTTTACCAGTGTACCTTAATTTATGAATCCTTTCCTGGAGTCCACTCTCCCTTGCATGGCTGGATTTTTATCATCAAAGAGGATTTGTGCTGTTTTTATTTTTTCAAGGAGAGCTCAGAGGTGCTGTTTTGTTTGAGTTTCCCCATGCTAGAGAGTCTTTCTTTTGCCTTTATACATGAAGAACAAATTTGTTGTTTACAAATCCTTAGATTATACTTTCCCATAGAACTTTCTGTGCTGTGCTCTATTGTCTTCCAGAATAGATGATTTTCATGGTGAAGTCTGAGGGCCACTTGATTTTTCTCTCTTGTATGTAAATTTTTCTTTTATGCTTTGTGTGTAACTTTTGCTTTTCTCTGTCTGGGTTGGTTCTTTTCCCTTCCTTAGGATACATCTTGGTTTTGTTTATTCTACCTCACTTTTTCCTGGGACATTGTGGTCTTTTGTCCAGAAAGTTGAAGTATTTGTTTTGGAATAGTTTTCTTCTATCATATTTTGGAAAGAATTTCTTAAAAATTCACTTGTTTTGTTCTAGTCTTCTCTGGTATTCTATAAAGGAATAGCAGCTGTGTGTACATTAGATTTCTCTTTACTTTCACATCTGTCATCTTCACTATTTTTTTTTCTCATTGCTCTTTCCATCTCTTTTGGCGGCTCTAAAAAAACCTGTCCTTTATGATGCTTTTAATTGTATTTTTCCATTTTTATTTATCACGTAGTGTTTTGGGGTAATGGTTTATATTCTGTTCTATCCCCCCCCGAGCTCTACTGGTTTTCCTTTATTCCCTATTGTGTTTGGAATTCTTGTTCTGATTCCTTGGATAATTCCTTTGTTTGCATATATTCTTTATCTGTATTTTGACTTATATTCCTTTACTCTTTTTCTTTTCTTTCTTCCTTTGGTGGATAGTGCCTGGGCTGGTGTATTTCTGATGTCAATAGGGGGGAGGTCCTAGTGGGAGGAGGTGAGGAGTGAAGTTGAGCAATCTTCAGCTTCCCAGAACTGTGACTTCCTCTTTCCTAAGCTTCATATAATCATCATATTTAGCATTCTGGAGGTAAATGTGGTGTCCAGTGAAATCCCTTAAACTACCTTTCTCAACTATGAGACCAGGTCATAGATAAACAGACTATTGCTATCACGATCTCTCTTTCAGTACCTTTCCCCTGCCACTGTCCAATGCAGAATCAATGTCTCCTTAGGTGCCTGTACTGCTTCTCCCATCATCTCCCATGTCCTTGGATCTTGGAGCTTTAATCAAAGACTCTTTGGAACTGTCGCCTCTTCTCAGAAACGTATATACCCTGCTTGAGGGCCAAGGCTGTCAGTGTTCACCATCATTTCTGTTCAAATTTGAAAGTATTTGGCAAGCATTTCTCATGGTCGATGTTTAGAATTGTAGCATTTCCTTGTTCACTGAAGATGGGATTAGAAATCTAGGAGTGACTTACCTGGGTGGTTTTAAATCAGGGTCTCTCATGAAGTTGCGTCCTCAAGGATTGAGTGGGCTTAGAGAATCCTCTGTCAATCTCACTCTCATGTTTGTTAACAGGTCTCAGTCCCTTGCTAGCTGTTGACCAGAGACTTCAGTTCCACACCACCTGGGCCTCTCCATAGGGCTGCTCACACATGGCAGCTTGCCCCCCAAGATGAGAGAGAGAGAGAGAGAAAGAGAACAAGAGAGCACCCAAAATGGAAACCACATTCTTTCATAGCCTGATTTGGACATGACAGCATTATCACTTCTGCTGTATTCTGTTGGACACACAGACCAATCTTGGTACAATGTCAGAGGGGACTCCTCAAGAGTGTGAATTCCAGGAGGTAGGGCTCACAGGGGGCCATGTTGAAGGCTGGCTACCACAGGGGTATATGTATGTATGTGCACGTGTTTATATATGTGTGGATATATATGTGTATGTGTGTAATATGTTACACAATACACAACCATTTGTGTTTATAATGTTATAACATTATAATGTTTATAAAAATTCTAAATTGGAATACACTTAGTAAGATAGCTTCAAAATATGAATCAAAAACTGATAGAATTACAAAAAGAAATAGAAAAGTATCTCATGATAGTGAATGATTTTAACTCACCTCATCCAATAAATCAAGTATATTTTAAAAATCAATAAAAATAAATAAATTTTGACTAAGTCATGTAATAAACCCAATTTAAGGGACATATAGGACCCCGCAAAACAATTGGAGAATGCACATTCTTTTCACTGTCACAGAATCATGTGAAATTTGACTAAATAGTCTATAATGCAAGGGTCAATATATTTTAAAGAATTGGAACCACAATTTCTGACCATGATGGAATTACAGTTGAAATCAATTTGTGAAAATTGACCATAACAATCCCATATACTAGGAAATTTAAAAACATTCATGCAATACTTTTAAATAATTCATAGGTCAAGAAGAAATCATAATGGAAATTTAAAAATATGTAGAACTGAAAAACAAAAACAAGTGCTACATATAAAAATATTTGAGGCCAGGTGTGGTGGCTCACACCTGTAATCCCAGCACTTTGGGAGGCTGAGGCAGGTGGATCACCTGAGTTCAGGAGTTCAAGACCAGCCTGACCAACATGGTGAAACCCCGTCTCTACTAAATACAAAAAATTAGCCGGGTGTGGTGGTGTGCACCTGTAATCCCAGCTACTCGGGAGGCTGAGGCAGGATAATTGCTTGAACCTGGGAGGCAGAGGTTGCAGTGAGCTGAGATTGCGCCATTGCACTCCAGCCTGGGCAACAAGAGTAAAATTCCATCTCAAAAAAAAAAAATTTGAGATTTGGCTTCAGCAATGCATAAAGGGAAACATATCATCTTTTCCTGGTTAATGAATTAATTTTTTATTTTTTATTTTATTTATTTTTTTGAGACAGAGTTTCACTCTTGTTGCTCAGGCTGGAGTGCAATGGCATAATCTTGGCTCACCGCAACCTCTGCCTCCCAGGTTCAAGCAATTCTCCTGCCTCAGCCTCCCAAGTAGCTGGGATTACAAATATATGCCACCACGCCCAGCTAATTTTGTATTTTTTTTTTTTAGTAGAGACGGCGTTTCTCCATGTTGGTCAGGCTGGTCTCGAACTCCCAACCTCAGGCGATCCGCCCACCTCAGCCTCCCAAAGTGTTGGGATTACAGGCACGAGCCACTGCGCCCAGCTATTTTTTATTGTTTTAAAGGCAGGGCCTCAGTCTGTTGCCCAGGCTGGAGTGCAGTGGTGCAATCACAACTCACTACAGTCTCGATCTCCTGGGCTCAGATGGTCCCCCCATCTCAGGCTCCCACCTGTAGCTGGGACCACAGGTGCAGGCCTACATGCCCATCTAATTTTTATATTTTTTGTAGAAACAGAGTTTCACCATATTGCTCATGCTGGTCTCAAACTGTTGAACTCAAGTGATCCACTTGCCTCGGCCTCCCAAAGTGCTGGGACTACAGGTGGGAGCCACTGCGCCCGGCCAATTAATTTATTTTAATTGAGAAACA
This sequence comes from Homo sapiens, assembly GCF_000001405.40. NCBI lineage: Eukaryota > Metazoa > Chordata > Mammalia > Primates > Hominidae > Homo > Homo sapiens. The sequence goes on from NC_000014.9 coordinate 55,472,756, forward strand.
AATATTGTATATATTTATTGTGTACAACATTATGTTTTGAAATATGTATACATTGTGGAATAGCTAAATCAAGGTAATTAACATATGCATTACCTCATAAACATATCTTTTTTTGTGATAAGAACACAAAATCTACTCTGAGCAATTTTAAAGAATATTATACATTGTTATTAACTATAGCCACATGTATACAAAAGGAAAAATCTTGTATGGCCTTGTGTGGTGGCTCACGCCTGTAATCCCAGTGCTTTGGGAGGCTGAGACGAGCGGATCACTTGAGGTCAGGAGTTCGAAACCCACCTGGCTAACATGGTGAAATCCCATGTCTACTGAAAATACAAAAATTAGCTGGCGTATTGGTGGGTGCCTGTAATCTCAGCTACTCAGGAGGCTGAGGCAGGAGAATTGGCTGAACCCAGGAGATGGTTGCAATGAGCCAAGATTGTGCCACCGCACTCCCGCCTGGGCAACAGAGCAAGACTCAGTCTCAAAAACAAAAAACAAAACAAAACAAAAAAAGAAAAAGAAAAAAGCTTATAGACTTGCATGGGTCACTAAGAAAAGCCAAAAGCCTGAAAATTTTATTTTTTTTAAGACAGGGTCTCACTGTCACCCAGGCTGGAGATAATCAGCTGGTTAAAAAATTTATAAATGTAGCAACAGAATATACCTAGGAGTATGAGAAATATGAAAATAATAAAGAATAGAGTAAAAGTGAATGAAATAGAAGACAAAGGTAAAAAAAGTTCAGTAGAGCAGAAAAATGGTTTTTGGAAATCACTAATAAAATTAACTTACCTCTGGTAGATTGGTTAAAAGAAGAGAGAAAGGGCACAAAAACACTGTATTATGAAACAAACGAAAACAAAAACAAAAATACTGTATTGGGAATGATAACTGGAACATAACCTAAGGAGCAGCAGAGATTGGAAAGAAATTAAGAGGAAAATTTTATGACAATAAATTTTAAAACAAATAAAAATGAACAAATGCCTAGAAAAATGTTACCAAAATTAACTAAAAAAACCCCCAAACCCCCGAGTATTCCCTTAAATGCACAGAATTGATAATTTCAAATGGAATTCTCATAAAGAAAATAATAGTTCCAGATAATTGTGAAGACAAATTCTAATAAACATTGAATGCAAACTCTTCTAGAGAATTGAATAAATAAGAATATTTATTTATTCTATGGATTTATTAAATTAATGACGTCAGAAGAGTGTAGTAACTATTAGAATTAATCAGCAAAATATTTGGTGAATTCATTTGTTAAATATTTAGCCATTACCTAATGTAGATGACGGGTTGATGGGTGCAGCAAACGACCATAGCACGTGTATACGTATGTAACAAACCTGCACGTTCTGCACATGTACCCCAGAACTTAAAGTATAATAATAATAAAATATTTAGCTACTTTAAGGTAATTTGGGGAGGCTGGGCCTGGTGGCTTATGCCTGCAATCTCAGTACTTTGGGAGGCCAAGGCAGATAGATCACTTACGTCTAGGAGTTCTAGGCCAGCTTGGGCAACATGACAAAACCCTGTCTCTACAAAAAATACAAAAATTAGCTGGGCATGGTGGTATGCACCTGTAATCCCAGGTACTCAGGAGGCTGAGGCAGGAGGATTGCGTGAGCCTGAGAGGCTGACGCTGTAGTGAGCTATGATCATGCCACTGCAGTCCAACATGGGTGACAGAACAGGACCCTGTCTCCAAAAAAAAAAAAAAAAAAGGAATTTGGGTTTTATTATATGCTCTATGATTTAGTTGACATAACTGAACTTACATCAGGTGATAAAAGTGCAACAGAATCCTGTTTTAAATTATCTTATTCATCTAGAGTACCAATACAACACAGCTGTTGTGCTGGGTTTTGAACTTTCTAGCAATCTGTGAGAGCATGGTGTTGCAGACATCCGTAAGCAGAGTTCAGTGTTAGCAGAGACCGTAAACTCTTCCCTAGGAATTACAGATAGGGAGGGCTTCTTCCCATATTACCCACATCCGTTCAAATTTGCTCAAACTTTTCCACTTAAATAATCTTATATAAATAACTGAGTTGGTGCAATCCCTTTTCTCCCAGCATTCCAAAGAGAATCTGAATCTGGAAATGCAGTCTTTACCATGCAGTTTAAGAGCAATATCTTTAATTAACATGAAATGTAAATTCAGCCCTTTTCTCTCCCTGCTCTGCATCCTGCCAAAGTTTGGGTCTTGTGAAAATCTTCCTATTAGTTGCTGATGCCTGAAAAATCTTCTCATCAGTTCTCCCTGTGCCCCCCTCATGCTCTTGCTGGAATCCCTGGGGTTCTCCTTTTCTTTTGTGATCAAAGAAATTATTTCTGCCCTAGATGTTTATGAATCACAGTTGCAGACTTCTGGCTGGTTTGTCTATTTTCTCCAAATTTATCTTTTTACTTCCAGTGGAAGCATCACTTCCAGCCTCTTCTGGAGGCCCTTTGTTTCCAACAGTCTGCCCTGTCTTTCCTGCATGACATTATGCTCAAGGTATGGCTCTGGGGTTAGGTGTACTCATTTTGGGCCTACAGAACTCCTGTGTATCCTGGGCAATTTATTCAACTTTTTTTTCTGCTCTTTTTTCCTACCTGTTAACTGGGAACAAGGATTCCTATATTGCAGGGCAGTAATAAGGTTAGAATGAAATTAAGAGCTCAGCATGATGCTTGGAACACAGCACTCAATGCATGTTGACCACCGTTTGTATCATAATCCCTATCCCCAAGGCCCATTTTCTTTGTATTATAGGGGTAAGTAAACCTTTACATTTTTTTATTATATCAATTATCTATTGACCTTATCCATTTGAAGGAAGGGCACATTTTTTTGTTTTCTTTTTTCAAATTTTTTAATATGTACTTTTTAGAGGCAGGGTCTCACTATGTTGCTCAGGCTGTCCTTCAGCTCGTGGGCTCAAGCGATCCACTTTCCTTGGCCTCCCAAAATGCTGGGATTACAGGCATGGGCCACTGCACCTGGCCTCATTTTTAGATTTTGATATATAAATACCTTTTTGAGACCTCGAGGAACATAAATTGCGAACACAATGATGATGGCTTGTTTCTTTCTTCCTTTTCTTTTTGAAATGGAGTCTCGCTCTTGTTGCCTAGGCTGGAGTGCAATGGCGCAATCTTGGCTCACTGCAACCTCTGCCTCCCGGGTTCAAGCAATTCTCCTGCCTCAGCCTCCCAAATAGCTGGGATTACAGGTGCCTGCCACCATACTGGCTAATTTTTTGTATTTTCAGTAGTGATGGGGTTTCACCATGTTGGTCAGGCTGGTCTCGAACTCCTACCCTCAGGTGATCTATCTGCCTTGGGCCTCCCAAAGTGCTGGGATTACAGGCGTGAGCACCGTGTGCAGTCGTGATGGGTTGTTTCTCTGATTGTCTTTAATGTACACATAACCTCCTTCTGAGCTGACATCAAGTCCTTGTGAAATATCTTAGCTATAGCATAGCAATGCCTCTTGCTTCAAGAACCCTTAAAAACTAGTTGATATTGGCCGGGTGTGGTGGCTCACGCCTGTAATCCCAGCACTTTGGGAGGCCGAGGGGGGCAGATCACAAGATCAAGAGATTGAGACCATCATGGCCAACATGGTGAAACCCCGTCTCTACTAAAAATACAAAAAAATTAGCTGGGCGTGGTGGTGCATGCCTGTAGTCTCAGCTACTCAGGAGGCTGAGGTAGGAGAATTGCTTGAACCCGGGAGGTGGAGGTTGCAGTGAGCCGAGATCATGCCACTGCACTCCAGCCTAGTGACAGAGCGAGACTCTGTCTCAAAAGAAAAAAAAAGAGTTTATATTTAAATATTGTAATGCCAGATGAGATCATTTTCTCTGATTATTTCACAGATGTGCACAAGACAGTTTTTCTCATGCTTTAGCCCTTATTGGACCTCTTATCAGTGTTTTGCACACTTGTAGGCCAAAAATTTTAGTCAGCAATTTCTAAAATGTTGCTTGCTAATGAAAAATAATAATGAAAAATTATGATAATCACTTCACATTTATAAGAGGGAAGATAATTATATGCAATTTTTGTCAAGGCAGCAATGACAATGGATAACTTCAGCTGTGGGTCACCTTAGTTTCTTATTTCTTATTGCTCCTTAATTAGAAAACCCAAACTCACAATCATAGGTTGCTGAGAATAGCAGTAGGTGTTGGTTTTTCTGTCATATAACTCTAGTTATTATTTGGATTGACATGGACTCCATATTCTCAAACAATATCCCCCAACCCACAGTCATTTGCAGTGAGCCTTTGCTACTCCTCTCTTCAAGAGGCAAAGTCTATTCCATGTTCTATCCCCTGTGTATAGGTTTTCTATTACCACAGAAATTAGCACAAACCTAGCTTAAAATAAATTTATTATTTCACAGTTTCCATATGACAACAGGCCAGCACATTTTATATGGGTCTTCCACTCAAGGTCTCACAAGGTTGAAATTCAAGTGCCTTCCAGCACCCTCATTTAGAGGTTCTCCTAGGGAAAGCTCCATTTCCAAGCTCCCTTAGGTTATTGGCAGAATTCATTTCTTTCTGGTTGTAGGGCTGAGGTCCCCATTGCTTTGCCAACTGTTGACCATGGAACACTCTTAGCTGCCAGAGGCCAGTCTCAGATCCTTGCCATGTGCCCCCTCCCCATCTCAGTGATGGAGAACCTCTGTCTCACTGAATCCCACCCACACTTCAAATCTCTCTGACTTGCCCTTCTGCTACCAGCCAGAGAAAACTATGCTTTTAAAGGATGCATGGAATTAAGTCAAGCCCACCCACTGTGTCTTCAGGTCATTGATTAGTGGTCTTAATTACATATACAAAATCTCTTTTGCCATGTTACATAATCACAGGAGTAATACGAGGTGCCAGAGATCATGGGAGCCATCTGAGAATTCTGCTTCTATGCTAAATCTGGACTGGCCTCTGACTTGCTTTGTAAGTCGTGTGAAAGTGGCCCTAGGCCTTAAGAAGTCTTGCAGCCTCTTGTTTTGCTTTTTTGAAATGCTCCTTCTTAGAACCCAGATGCTATGTTCTGAGAAAGTTCAAGCTGGTCATGTGGAAGAGACGCAGGGTTCCTGTGGACAGCCCCAGCTGTGCTCCCAGCCAACAGCCAGAATCAACTGCCAGTCATGTGAATAAGGCCACTCTCCCATAGTCCAGCCCCAGTTAAGCCATCCTACTCAACACGAAGAGACAAGCTGTTTCAGCTGAGCCCTGTCCAAATCGCAGGATTGCAAGCACACAAATGATTGTTGTTGTTTTAAGCCACTAAGTTTCAAGGTTGTTTGTTATGCAGAAATATATAAATATATAAGTAGTTTTAGGGCTCTATCAGGTGCTAAGACTGTAATAGATCACACTTAAATGCTGGGGTTTGAATGTGCTGGGTTAGGAGTGTGGGTAAATGGATTATTATTTCATTCTTTCTTCACAGTGGACTCTGGAAATGACTGATTCACTGTTGGAGTTTTTGAATGTGATTTAAAATATGCCAAGACCAGACACGGTGGCTCACACCTGTAATCCCAGCACTTTGGGAGGCCGAGGCTGGCAGGTTGCCTGAGCTCAGGAGTTTCAGACCAGCCTGGGCAACATGGTGAAACTCCGTATCTACAAAAAATACAAAAATTAGCCAGGTGTGGTGGCATGTGCCTGTTGTTCCAGCTGCCTGGGAGGGTAAGGCTGGAGAATGGCTTGAGCCCAGGAAGCAGAAGTTGCAGTGAGCCATGACTGTGTCATTGCACTCCAGCCTGGGTGACAGAGTGAGACTTTGTCTCCAAAAATAAAATAAATAAAATACACCAAATAATATATTATTGATTTATATCCTAGGTGTCTGAAGAATCACCAAGAGTTAGTGAAAATTTAAGGTCTTAGTGACTGAGCCAATTGTACACATTTCAGTCTTCTGAAGAAACCCTGATTTTTTTTTTTTTTTTTTTTTTTTTGAGACGGAGTCTTGTTTTGTTGCCAGGCTGGAGTGCAGTGGCGCGATCTTGGCTCACTGCAATGTCCACCTCCTCGGTTCAAGCGATTCTTGTGCCTCAGCCTCCCGAGTAGCTGGGACTACAGGCGCCCCGCCACCACGCCTGGCTAATTTTTTAAATTTTTAGTAGAGACGGGGTTTCACCATGTTGGCCAGGATGGTCTCCATCTGCTGAACTTGTGATCCGCCTGCCTCAGCCTCCCAAAGTGCTGGGATTACAGATGTGAGCCACCGCACCCAGCCAGAAATCCTGATATTTTATGCTCAACATTAAAAATCTAGATAGTTGGCACCTGAAGTTAGCTTCAGTTAGGCTTCAGACATACTTGTGTTCCTCCTGAGGTTTCCTTGCTTGCCACTCTGAACCTTCAGCCACTTATTGTACCTTAGCCACAACAAGGTCATCCAATGCCACTGTGGCCACATGGTTGTGCTACCTGGGTCTAACTGGCCTCTCACTGGGAGTGCTGGGTCACTCCCCTTGCTGCTATCCTGCATCCAGGCCAACTACTCATGTGCCTGGGAGTTCTGGCTCCTCCTGTCACTTCCTGACCTAAACAAGTGCCATATATACCACAGGGTGTGGGATCTCCCTTCCCAAGAGGTCAACTAAGGTGCTGGTACTAGTCAGGGTTCTCCAGAGAAACAGAACCAACAGGAGATATCTGTATCTATATCTATCAATATCTATCTATCTATCTGAAAGATTTATTTTAAGAAATTGGCTCATGCAATTTCATGCAATGGAGGCTTGCTGAGTCCAAAATCTGGTGGGGTAAGCCAGTAGGCTGAAGACTCAGGGAAAAGTTGCAGTTTGAGTCTAAAGGCCTGGACAGAATTCTTTCTTTCTTAGGAGGTCACTCATTTGTTCTATTCAAGCCTTCAACTGATTCAATGAGACCTGTTCACATTATGAAGGGCAATCTGCTTTACTCAAAGTCCAGCAATTTAAATGTTAATCTCATCCAAAAAATGAGAATCCTCGTAGAATTATGTTTGGCCAAATTCTGGGCACAGTGGTCCAGCCAAGTTGACACATAAAATTAACCATCACAGGGCTGAATAATGCAGCCTGCAAGTGCAGGAGACATAACCATTTATAGGACACACTTTGGCCAGCGGAAAGTTGGAAACTGGAGAGAGAGGCCAGAGAAGGTCCCTCTCCCCTCCCCTCCCATAGACTATCCCCTGAGGTCTGTCTGGAGACACCCCAAAAACTTGAGTGTAAGCACTTGAGGAGTGACTTGCTGGATTTCTTATGGCTCGTTATGAAGCAGTCACCAACACAGCCATGCATCTCCTTGCTCTGACCCTGTTCTTCCTTGATTCCTTTCCCAGAGATGTTCAGTTCTCAAAAAGCATTAGCTTTTTGTCTTAAGAAAAATACTTGTCTTTGGCTCTGTTTTGTAGGGAATCTGGGCTAAGAGAAGGGCTTTCAATATTCTTAAAAAATACCATCAAGATACGCTATTTGAGCAAGACACTTTCAATTTTGTTGTTGTTGTTGTTGTTTTTTAGACAGAGTTTTGCTCTGTCACCCAAGCTGGAGTGCAGTGGCCAGATTTCAGTTCACTGCAACCTCTGCCCTCTGGGTTCAAGGGATTCTCCTGCCTCAGCCTCCCGAGTAGCTGGGATTACAGGCACCCAACACCATGCCTGGCTAACTTTGTATTTTTAGTAGAGATGGGGTTTCACCATGTTGGCCAGACTGGTCTCGAACTCCTAACCTCAAGTGATCTGCCCACCTCGGCCTCCCAAAGTGCTGGGATTAGAGGAATGATCCACAGCGCCGGGCCAACACTTCCAATCTTAAAATTGGTCTTTCTTGGCATTACTAGTATAATTTTAAAAATTTATGTTATTCCGTATACTAGAAATAGTTGAAATATAATGTATGTGTGTATATATATATATTTTTTTTTGAGATGGAGCCTCACTCTGTTGCCCAGGCTGGAGTGCAGTGGCCCGATCTCGGCTCACTGCAAGCTCTGCCTCCCGGGTTCATGCCATTCTCCTGCCTCAGCCTCCAGAGTAGCTGGGACTACAGGTGCCCACCACCACACCCGGTTAATTTTTTTTTTAATTTTTATTTTTAGTAGAGACGGGATTTCACCGTGTTACCAAGGATGGTCTCGATCTCCTGACCTCATGATCCACCCGCCTCGGCCTCCCAAAGTGCTGGGATTACAGGCGTGAGCCACTGCGCCTGGCCTATATATATGTTTTGAGACAGAGTCTCACTCTGTTGCCAGGCTGGAATGCAGTGCCGCGATCTCGGCTCACTGCAACCTCTGCCTCCTGGGTTCAAGCAATTCTCCTGCCTCAGCCTCCTGAGTAGCTGGGACTACAGGCACGCACCACCACACCCAGCTAATTTTTGTATTTTTAGTAGAGGCGAGATTTCACCATGTTGGCCAGGCTGGTCTTGAACTCCTGACCTCAAATGATCCACTCACCTTGGCCTCCCAAAGTGCTGGGATTACAGGCCCAAGCCACTATGCATGACCTAGTTGAAATATTAAAACAAAACCCCACGTGAGCATTTTTCCCTTCAACAACTCATGTACTTCAGTATGGAAAAGTGGAGTTAGAGTTACTATACATTTCTTTACACAACATGCTAAAAAACATATGGTGATTAAACAAGTAATTAAATTGATGGCAACAGTGGGAGACAGATTTTTCACTGTTGGAGTGGGTGTTTATAGATAAGCAAAGGAAATAAGCTAGAATAATTTATGGAGTAATGGATTAGAGCTGGAGACAAACCTGTGAATTTATATTTAGCTTAATACATATATACAGATGATTATATATAGAAATACAGATGCATGTAAATACACAGGTTGGTATACACACATATATTTCCTTGCTCTGACAGTCGAGTAGGCCTAGAAGCAATGACATCCTGGTAGTAATGAGCACATCTAGCACCCAGATCTTGGTTTCGAATATCATTCTCCAATAAAGGGAATAGGGGCTCTTTGGAGAAATGACTGATTCTAGTAGTGTAAGAAAGTACAGTACAACAGTGCTAAACACACACACACACGATGATGTGGGTATGTGAAAATCATATAGGAGTCAACTGAAAGAGCTCCCAATGGCCAAAGATGGAACAATTTTAGCAACAAAATAAAGAAGCACTGCATTTTAACTCAAAGGATAAAATAAATATCATGAGTCTACACTGATTCATCAACAGTGGTAAGTCGTGATGGTAGTATGTACCCTGATATGGATATGACAAAAATGGCACTTCACCTCTGTGGTCTTCCTCTCCAGAACCAGAACCCCAGTCTAATCATGAGAAAAACATCACACAAATCCCAATTAAGAGGTAACCTTCGCAATATCCTACCCGTATATTTCAAAACCGTCAAGGTTACCAAAAACAAAGAAGGTCTGTGAAATTGTCACAGCCAAGACACACCTAAGGAGACATGACTATCAAATAGTTATTAATCAAATAGTCATTCTAGGATGGGATCCTGGAATAGAAAAGGGACATTAGATAAAAACTAAGGAAATCTGAATAAAGTATGGACTTTATTAATAATAATGTATCAATATTAGTTCATTAATTGTAACAGATGTACCACACTAATGTAAGATCTTAATAACAGGGGAAATGAGAACTCTGCTAGGAAATATGAGAACTCTCTGTACTACTTGTCACAATTTTTCTATAAATTGAATCTGTTCTAAAAGTAGTTTAATATAAAAAATGTATAGTGAAACTTGATCATAGTCATAATTTCCACAATTTCCTTTAACATGGAACTGTGGACTGCCTGCTGTTCTCTTTGAATATAGTAGAGCACGCATTGACATTCAGTTGGAGCCTCTTTTATTTGAATATCATTCTTGTAACATACCTATTTGATGCTTTGTCAGTGCTGATCTCAGCATACTTTTTCCTATTACTGTTAGGACTTACGGAACTTTGGGCAACCAAGAAAATGATTAGCATGGATTTTCAGGCATAAGGAGAACAAAGTCATCCAGCACTTCTCACTCACAAATTGTATCACAATCCACTAAGGACTGATTTATGCCTTTGTACTTCTCAGTGATTTCCTCCTGCAGTAAAGTACTAGCATGCATAATGGATAATAACTGCTCTTCCACCTTATATGCTGTTATTATCTTCTACAACAAAATCATCAATTAAAAGATTTTACCAATAGCTTTTCCTGTCTTGTCTCTGAATATTATTTCCTTTGCAACTATTGTTCAGCAATACCATGACATATACCTCCTTTTAATAAGACTCATATGAATAAGCAATAGTCATTATTTCAGACTAGCAAATGTTATCTCTTTCACATTGGAGAATATTAGTCTTTGTTTGTTTTGGAATAGGATAGATAATTGTTTCATGCCAGTGGTTGCTATGCAGTATTTAAATATCACACAAAGGATTCGGTGGCACCATACCACTATTTGACAACATTTGAAGCAGACAGCACACTGGAAACTAGAGAATCGATCGATAAATTAATAACATTCAATTTCAAAGATTCATTGTATTTCCTCTTCACTCTTTTCATCTTTGGTTGCTTGTGGGAAATCAGAATACCCACAGATTTACTTGTCCCAACATGAATAGACTCACATTCTTTGGATTCTTGTTCACTTTTTATGTTTGTGTTGTTCTCAATTATAGTGTGTCTATTACTACTTTCATTACTACATCTACACTTCAATGAACAACTTTTAAGCTACCCTTTCACTTTTGTGATTTGGACATAAATAGACAAATAGTAGTTTCAAAATATGCGTACTCAATACACACAAATACCATTTAAATGGTATGAAAACACACTCTCTGAGACAAAACATACTCTCTGATATATCACATTAACCAAAGGTAAGCTAAAGCAAACGGATTGAAGTAGTCCTTGTAACATATTTACAACTTCAAGGATGTAATGATTATTATGCATGGAATGGGATTCATAGGGACATCATATTTAATTACATGAATACCGGTCACATTTTAAAATGTTTAACAGTTTATTAGGTTTTGCTTGAAGCTTTAAAGTATGATAAGTTTCAGATGCCAAAAGTTCTGAGACCCTCATGTAGAAAGTTTAAAGTAGGTGTTCAAGAATCAATAGATTCTTGTTCTGCAGTGCTGTGAATGTTCTTTTTTTCTACACTGTCCAGTGCAGTAGCCACTAGTCACATGTGGCTATTGAGCACTTGAAATATGGCTAGTGTGAGTGAAGTTTTAATTTTATTTACTGTTTATTAATGTAAATTTAAATGGTGGAGGACAGCACAGGGTCGGATATGTCTGAAGCCCTTCACCCACACCAAGAATGTAGACGGGTCATGAAAGGAAGAATTGGAGAGAGCTGTAACATGGATTCTCCAACTCTTTGGATTTCCTTCAAAGAGTAGAGCTGGTGCATGGATGCACCTCATTGAAGCCTGGTGAAATGAGCTCTGTTCAGAAATGTAAAGGATGAGAGAGGGGCTGGCTATCTGCTGACACGCAAATCAAAGTTTACTGGGACTAAGGCAGCCTGAATGTTTCCCAAGGCCTAGGGTGTGTGTGTGTGTGTGTGTGTGTGTGTGTGTGTGTGTGTGTGTGTGTGTGTGTGTGGTATGGCGTGTGAGAGAGAGAGGGAAAGGGAGGTGTGAGTACCTATCCCAGATACTGTATGATAGGGCTTCCTGGACTGGTGATCAGGACCTAGCCGAGCAATTCTGAAGCTATCACCAGGTTTCCAGGAAGGCCATAGAAGGAATAAAGGGACCAGACAAATTTGAGGTGTGATTACTCAGGTCAAGGAAGCTGCAAGCAAAAGTTCTCCGATTGGGAAGTCTCTGAAGAAACCATGAAAGTTACCCACAAACGAGGGTCAGCTTTAAACATTTGCCAAGACCAAAGTTTTCAAGGCCATCTTAGGTCAATTAGGGGGACGTTCCCTGTCTTCCTTGTCTCTTCCTCCCACCCACTCCCCTCCTTGCCTAAGGGGTCAGACATGGTTAGTATGTAGGACAACAGGGAGTGTCTGAGCCCAGATATTCTACTTCTGACTAAAGTCTGTTTGGGTATTTCAAGTCAAAGTATGGATTTTTAGTTCCTAAAAGCAATCAGAAAAGTTGTAAGACTGCCTGGGTTTCATTCAGAGGAAGAAGAACTTGCCCCATCTAATGAATTTGAAGGGGTAGTGAAAGGCAAAATTAAATTGCTTCATGATTATGGCTCATGAGTCCAGCTTGTTCAGTATTCTAGGTATATATGTGAACAAAAGTTTCATCACTTTTTCCTCTGAAATAGACCACTAGAAAGCCACTCTGGTGATGTACCTGTGACCCTGAACTGGAATACTTGGGTAAATAATGATCTTACTTGTTTTTATTAATTTTTCTTAAATGTATGTATAGCTCATATTTATTCCAATGTCCAACATTAGAAGTGTTTTGGGTCTTCATTTAGAAGTTTGGTGATTTTTTTTTTTTTTTTTTTTTTAGACAGAGTCTTGCTCTGTTGCCCAGGCTAGAGTGCAGTGGTGCAATCTCGGCTCACTGCAACCTCTGCCTCCTGGGTTCAAGCGATTCTTGTGCCTCACCCTCCCAAGTAGCTGGGATTACAGGTGTCCGCCACCAAGCCTGGCTAATTTTTGTATTTTTAGTAGAGATAGGGTTTCATCTTGTTGGCCAGGCTGGTCTCGAACTCCTGACCTCAGGTGATCTGCCCGCTTAGGCCTCCCAAAGTTGGGATTATAGAAATGAGCCACCACACCAGCCTGCGGTGATGTTTTTGTTCCAGAAATATCAGTTAGCCTAGGAAAAATTAGTTTTGTTATACATCATTTTGCTTCAAGTCAGTTTCCAAGAACCTATCAATGACATTAAGTGAGGGCTTCTTGTACAATTTTGGAGCCCTCCCCTCTTTTTATTTATTTATTTTTTTTAATTTTTTTTTTTTTTGAGACGGAGTCTTGCTCTGTTTCCAGGCTGGAGTGCAGTGGCATGATCTCGGCTCACTGCAACCTCCGCCTCCCGGGTTCAAGTGATTCTCCTGCCTCAGCCTCCTGAGTTGCTAGGATTACAGGCACTTGCCACCATGCCCAGCTAATTTTTGTATTTTTAGTAGAGACAGGGTTTCACCATGTTGGCCAGGCTGGTATCGAACTCTTGGCCTCAGGTGATCCGCCCGCCTTGGCCTCCCAAAGTGCTGGGATTACAGGTGTGAGCCATCGCGCCTAGCCTTTTGGAGCCCTTTTTAAGAAAAATTGTTTAAAATTGTCCTGCTTTTTCACAGTTTACAAAAATATACGACCAGATGAATGTATTGGTAGGATCTGCCTTCTCCCCCCAGGCTAGGGTCTTGGAAGGAGCTTGTGTAAGTGAAGGGTTCTAAAGCTTAAGCTTCTTTAGTTTCATGGTAAATTAGTCTCTGGCAGCCTTTCTGTTTTTGGGTATTGTTGTATTTATGGGACAACTGGAACTGTGGCAGCCATCTTGGGACCATGAGGAAAGTCAGGTTAAGAGGACAAGCCAAGATGCTGAGGGCTGCACAGGGCAAAGAGAAAAAGAAACTTGTTAGAAACACTGAGCGCCTAAATTTCTCAACCTTGGAAGCCTTCTAAGTGCAGACTTCTTGGTGAAATGATAAATATATTAATGTTTAAGCCTCTCTCCAATAACTTGTAGGCAAAGACATCCAAACAAAAACTACCACCATGCACTCTCTCCATTGTTTCATACACATTCACACATACACACAAATAACCCTAAATATGTGGAAAGGAGGTAATCTCAGAATATACGATGATCCTTTACATCAAATTAATTTGCTTTGTGAAAAACTCAATTCATTGTCCTACCTTTTCTCATTGGCTGTATACCCAAGGAAAACTTTATCGTGGCATTTGGGAAGCACTGGTCTAGACCAGAGATACTCAACAGTGTGGTTCATGAGCTAGGGTCAGTCCCAACTGTTCCTTACCAGCCTATCATGAGACAAGCACAGAGATGGAGAGGAAGAATTTAGAAATTTTTTGTAGCATTTGGAGATGTGACAGAGTAATTTTACATCTATTGAATTATTAAAAATTGGGGGGCTTGTACTTTGTATATATTTTTTTCCTAATTTTATTTTTATTTTATTTTATTTATTTATTCTGAGATGGAGTCTTGCTCTGTCGCCCAGGCTGGAGTGCAATGGTGCAATCTCAGCTCACTGCAACCTCCGCCTTCCAGGTTCAAGCAATTCTCCTGCCTCAGCCTCTTGAGTAGCTATACAGGCATGTACTACTGCACCCATCTAATTTTTGTATTTTTAGTAGAGATGGGGTTTCACCATGTTGACCAAGCTGGTCTTGAACTCCTGACCTCAGGTGATCTGCCCATCTTGGCCTCCCAAAGTGTTGGGATTACAGGCATGAGCCATCGTGCCCAGCCTATTTTTCCTAATTTTAAATAAACTTTTAATTTTAGAACACTTTAAGACTTACAGAAAAACAATGAAGTAGTACAGAGGGTTTCTAAACACCCCACAGCCCGTTTCCCTTATTATTAACATCTGACTTTAGTGTGGTACATTTATTACACATAATGAACAAATATTGACACATTATTATTAATGAAGCCCATACTTTATTCGGATTTCCTTAGTTTTTATCTAACGTCGTATTTCTGTTCCAGAATCCCATCCAGGACACTATGTTACCTTTAGTTGTCGTGTTTCCTTAGGCCACTCTTGGCTGTGGCAGTTTTTCAGACTGTCTTTGTTTCTGATGGCCCTGACAGTTTTGAGGAGGACTGGTCAAATATTTTGTAGAATGTCCTTCAATTGAGATTTGTCTGGTATTTTTCTCATGATTAGTATGCTTTTTTTTTTTTTTTTTTGAGACGGATTCTTGCTCCGTCTCCCAGGCTGGAGTGCAGTGGCGTGATCTCAGCTCTCTGCAACCTCCGCCTCCTGGGTTCAAGTGCTTCTCCTGCCTCAGCCTCCCGAGTAGCTGGGATTGCAGGCGCTCACCACCACACCCAGCTATTTTTTGTATTTTTAGTAGAGGTGGAGTTTCACCATGTTGGCCAGGCTTGTCTTGAACTCCTGACTTCAGGTGATCTGCCCGCCTCAGCCTCCCAAAGTGCTGGGATTACAGGCGTGAGCCACTGCACCTGGCCTGCTTTGTTTTTTAATTTGATTTTTCTAGTATAGTAATCTATTTTCATTGTATCTACTAAAAGTGTCAGTCTGCAACAGATTAGGAAAAAATAAAACAAAATTCATTCCTTCCTACAGATAGTTTGAGAAGCACTGTTCTAAACCACTATTGTTCCAGCCTTAGTATTTCATATTCTCAATTTCTCCCAGCGAAATCATTGGTTTATTCTGAATACAATTCTGTCTTCTCAGTTAAAGTATTAGGCATAGGGCTTCTAAATTTGAATCTTTAAGAAAAGGTAAATTACCTTTTTAAAAGAGTCTCTTTTTTTGGCAGTAAATCCTGGACGTCTTACAAAGCATTCGAAAGAGCACACAAACCCCCAGCTATGAAGGAAACAGAAAATGTATTGTTTATAAGTCAAGATCTTTATCCAAGGGGCTTTAATAAAATTTAAGCCACAAGTTCTAGAAATATAGAAACCAGAGCATAGCCACAGTGACGACTTACTGCATTCTGATTTGTGTTGCCTAGTTGCCATGTGTTTTTATTTTTCTTTCTTTCTCTCTTAGTTCCACTATAGCAAGTACTTTGAGCATTGAGAGTCAAAGTTTTCTTATTATTTCATATTCCTCAGTAGGTCATCACTGTCATCTTCTTCTTTTAAAAAATGTCTTCCCTGATGTACTCATTTCGATTATATAAGGAGTCCCCAAAACCTTCTTTCTTTTGGGAGTCTCTCTTTGATCCTTGTATTCAGAAACCTTGCTATAAAGAGGCTGCTTTGGGCTTTGATGATAAAAGCTTCACATGGTGTGTGTTTCCTCTCTGGAACTTGATTCTTCCAGTTGCAAGGTTAGTGTTAAATAGTGTATACAAACCGTTGTATCCCACTTCCTTTGGTTTATTTTTGTAATTCATGAAAGTATAGCCATTTTATTCTTTGTTTACTGTCATAGCCTTTAATTTTTGGTTTACACTTCCTTTTTACTTTAGAAGCTTTTGACTTCATTTTGGAAAGTGAGTTCTAAATTCTTGCCTCACTTATTATGATAGACACAGCCATGAGCTTGATTTCATTTTCGTTGGTCAACCAAAAATGATGACCAACTATCGAGTAGCTGTGAGGGCTTTCCAACAATAGTTTGCCTTAAGGCTTTTACATCTCACTTATTTATTTATTTTTTTGAGACAGAGCCTTGCTCTGTTGCCCAGGCTGGAGTGCAGCGGAGCAATCACTGCAACCTCTGCCTCCTGGGTTCAAGTGATTCTTGTGCCTCAGCTCCCAAGTAGGTAGGATTACAGGCGTGTGCCACCATGCTCGGCTAATTTTTATACTTTTAGTAGAGATGGGATTTCACCGTAATGGCCAGGCTGGTCTTGAACTCCTGACCTCAAATAATCTGCCTGCCTCAGCCTCCCAAACTGCTGGGATTACAGGAGTGAGCCACTGTGCCCAGCCCTTAAATCTCATTTTTGAATTGTAGTAAGACTGTCCTCGACACCTTCTTGATCTCTAGATAACAGTTGCCAACACAGAAAAATGACAAAAAGTGCACTTAAGACTTTCTTATTGTTCATTCAGTGATGTTCATGTGCAAGATATAGCTACCTCTGCATTGTGCTTGCTCAAAAGGTACCCGCTCCTGTTTATTAATGGAAATGCAATTATACATATATATAAATATTTTTTGAGACTCCTCTATCTCAAATATATATATAAATATTGAGAATCCTGTCTCAAATATATAAATATAAATATATATAATATATACTATATATAATATAGTATATATACTATATATTATATATACTATATATAATATAGTATATATATTATATAGTATATATACTATATATAATATAGTATATATAATATATATACTATAGTATATATATACTATATTATATATAGTATATATACTATATTATATATATACTATAGTATATATAATATATATACTATATTATATATATAATGTATATATAATGTAATATATATAGTTTTTGGGTTTTTTTGTTTATTTGAGATGGAGTCTCGCTCTGTTGCCCAGGCTGGAGTGCAGTGGTGTGATCTCGGCTCACTGCAACCTCTGCCTCCTTGGTTCAAGTGGTTCTCCTGCCTCAGCCTCCTGAATAGCTGGGATTACATGTGCCCGCCATCATGCCCGGCTAATTTTTGTATTTTTAGTAGAGATAGTGTTTCACCATGTTGCCCAGGCCAGTCTTGAACTCCTTACTTCAAGTGATCCACCCGCCTTGCCCTCCCAAGGTGCTGGGATTACAGGTGCGAGCCACCATGCCTGGCCATCTCAGGTATATATATATATATTTTTATTTTTATTTACTTATTTTTTATGAGACGGAGTCTTGCTTTGTCGCCCAGGCTGGAGTGCAGTGGCGCGATCTCTGCTCACTGCAAGCTCCGTGCCCTGGGTTCATGCCATTCTTCTGCCTCAGCCTCCCAAGTAGCTGGGACTACAGGTGCCCGCCACCACGCCTGGCTAATTTTTTTGTATTTTTAGTACAGATGGGGTTTCACCATGTTAGCCAGGATGGTCTCAATCTCCTGACCTCGTGATTTGCCCGCCTCGGCCTCCCAAAGTGCAAATCTCGGGTATATTTTTAATGCCCTGCCAGAGATTTTTTTTTTTCTGAATATGTTGCTTTAGAACCATTTCCTTGCTAGTTTTAGTCTGTCATGATCAATTTCTTTATTTCTTTTTCTATTTCATTTTAAACACCTCAAGGAAAGACAACTCATATATTATCTTGCTGTGGGCCTAACCAAATGTGATTCTTTTTTTTGTTAATAGATGGGTTCTCACTCTGTCACCTAGGCTGGAGTGCAATGGTGTGGTGATGGCTCACTGCAGCCTCAAACTTCTGGGCTCCAGCAGTCCTCCCACCTCAGCCTCCCAAGTAGCTTTATCCAAGGACTACAGGTGCCTGCCACCATGGCCTGCTAATTTTTAAATTTCTTGTAGAGATTGGGGGGGGTCTCACTGTGTTGCCCAGGCTGGTCTTGAACGCCTGGCCCCAATCCTCCCATCTCAGCCTCTCAAGGCACTGGGATTACAGGCGTGAGCCACCATGCCTAGCTGCCAAATGTGATTTCGCCACAAGGTCGTTTGCTTGTTTATTTGCTCATTTACTTACTCATTTATTCACAAATTCAACAAATGCTTAGTGATAACCTATTATGGGGCAATGCCAGTGCTAGGTATTAAAGAAACAATAGTGAAGACAGACAGGATCCTTGAGCTTAAGAAACTTTTGGTTTAATGGGAAAGAGACACCTTAAATACATATACAGAAACATAATTACAAATGAAATTGTGACCCATGCTGTAAGGAATTAGTACAACTATAGTTACTTTAATTTTGGGATCAGGGATTGGGGAGAGGCAAAGGCTTCCTTAGGACATGATGTTTATTTATTACTATTTTATTTATTTATTTAGAGACAGGGTCTTGCTCCAGGCTGGAGTGCAGTAGCATGATTATGGCTCACTGCAACCTCAACCTCTCAGGCTCAAGTGAACCTCCCATCTCAGCTTCTTTAGTAGCTGGGACTACAGGTGCGCACCACCACACCTGGCAAATTTTTGTATTTTTTTTTTGTAGAGATGGGATTTTGCCACATTGCCCAGGCTAGACTTGAACTCCTGAGCTCAAGCCATCTGTCTGCTTTGCCCTCCCGAAGTGCTGGGATTTCAGGCGTGAGCCACAGCACCTGGCCGGGACATGGCTTTTATTTATTTGTTTATTTATTTTGAGATGGTCTTGCTCTGTCACCCAGGTTAGAGTGCAGTGGCGTGATCTAGGCTCACTGGAAGCTCTACCTCCTGAGTTTAACGGATTCTCTTGCCTCAGCCTCCTGAGTAGCTGGGATTACAGGTGCCTGCCACCATGCCCAGCTAATTTTTATATTTTTAGTAGAGACAGGATTTCACCATGTTGGCCAGGCTGGTCTCAAACTCCTGAACCCAGGTGATCCACCCGCCTTGGCCTCTCAAAGTACTAGGATTACAGGCATGAGCCACTGCCCCTGGCCTGGATGTGGCTTTTAGATTGAGACTTGAGGGAGAAGGAGAGTTGACTGGGGCAGGTGAAGAGAAGTGCTTTCTAAAATGAACCCATATGCTGGGTGGATTTGGCTCTGTTTGCTTTTCTCTTTAGCCTGGAAGAATTTACTCATTCAAATAATACTGAGAATCTACTATATGCAAGGCAGAGATAAAACCTTGTATGTGGAAATAATTTTGTATTAATCACTTTTTTATTTTTTTGAGACAGGGTCTCACTGTGTCACCCAGGCTGGAGTGCAGTGGTGTGATGATGGCTCATGGCAGCCTTGACCTCCCAGGCTCAAGCAGTCCTCCTGCCTCAGCCTCTTAGGTAGCTGGGACTACAGGCACATACCACCATGCCTGGCTAATTTTAATTTTTTTTGTAGAGATGGAGTCTCCTTTGTTGCCTAGGCTGATCTTGAACCCTTAGCCTCAAGGGATCCTACTGCCGTGGCCTCCCAAAGTGCTGGGATTACAGGCATGAATCATCACAGCAGGCCTGTACTAAATACTCTTTAATGATATAGGGAAGTGTTTTTTTTTAAAATTATACTTTAAATTCTAGGGTACATGTGCACAATGTGCAGTTTTGTTACATAGGTATACATGTGCCATGTTGATTTGCTGCACCCATCAACCCGTCATTTACATTAGGTATTTCTCCTAATGCTGTCCCTCCCCTAGTCCCCCGCCCACCGACAGGCCCCAGTGTGTGATGTTCCCCGCCCTGTGTCCATGTGTTCTCATTGTTCAACTCCCACCTATGAGTAAGAACATGCGGTGTTTGGTTTTCTGTCCTTGTGACAGTTTGCTTAGAATGATGGTTTCCAGCTTCATCCATGTCCCTGCAAAGGATATGAACTCATCCTTTTTTATGGCTGCATAGTATTCCATGGTGTATATGTGCCACATTTTCTTAATCTAGTCTATCATTGATGGACACTTGGGTTGGTTCCAAGTCTTTGCTATTGTGAATAGTGCCGTAATAAACATACGTGTGCATGTGTCTTTATAGTAGCATGATTTATAATCCTTTGGGTATATGCCCAGTAATGGGATGGCTGGGTCGAATGGTATTTCTAGTTCTAGATCCTTAAGGAATTGCCACACTGTCTTCTACAATGGTTGAACTAGTTTACACTCCCACCCCAACAGTGTAAAAGTGTTCCTATTTCTCCACATCCTCTCCAGCATCTTTTGTTTCCTGACTATTTAATGATTGCCATTCTAACTGGCGTGAGATGGTATCTCATTGTGGTTTTGATTTGCGTTTCTCTGATGACCAGTGATGACGAGCATTTTTTCATACGTCTGTTGACTGCATAAATGTCTTCTTTTGAGAAGTGTCTGTTCATATCCCTCACCCACCTTTTGATGGTTTTTTTTTCTTGTAAATTTGTTTAATTTCTTTGTAGATTCTGGATATTAACCCTTTGTCAGATGGGTAGATTGCAAAAATTTTCTCCCATTCTGTAGGTTGCCTGCTCACTCTGATGACAGTTTCTTTTGCTGTGCAGAAGCTCTTTAGTTTAATTAGATCTCGTTTGTCTATTTTGGCTCTTGTTGCCATTACTTTTGGTGTTTTAGTCATGAAGTCTTTCCCCATGCCTATGTCCTGAATGGTATTGCCTAGGTTTTCTTCTAGGGTTTTTATGGTGTTAGGTCTAACATTTAAGTCTTTAATCCATCTTGAGTTAATTTTTGTATACGGTGTAAGGAAAAGGATCCAGTTTCAGCTTTCTACATATGGCTAGCCAGTTTTCCCAGCACCATTTATTAATTAGGGAATCTTTTCCCCATTGCTTGTTTTTATCAGGTTTGTCAAAGATCAGATGGTTGTAGATGTGTGGTGTTATTTTTGAGGCCTCTGTTCTGTTGCATTGGTCTGTATATCTGTTTTGGTACCAGTACCATGCTGTTTTGGTTACTGTAGACTTGTAGTTTAGTTTGAAGTCAGGTAGCGTGATGCCTCCAGCTTTGTTCTTTTGGCTTTGGATTTTCTTGGTTATGTGGGCTCTTTTGTGGTTCCATATGAACTTTAAAGTAGTTTTTTCCAATTCTGTGAAGAAAGTCAGTGGTAGCTTGATGGGGATAGCATTGAATCTATAAATTACCTTGGGCAGTATTGCCATTTCACGATATTGATTCTTCCTATCCATGAGCATGGAATGTTCTTCCATTTGTGTTGTGGGAAGTCAGGGACCCCCAAACGGAGGGACCAGCTAAAGCCATGGCAGAAGAACGTGGATTATGAAGATTTCATGGACATTTATTAGTTCCCCAAATTAATACTTTTGTAATTTCTTATGCCTGTCTTTACTGCAATCTCTAAACATAAATTGTAAAGATTTCATGGACACTTATCACTTCTCCAATCAATACCCTTGTGATTTCCTATGCCTGTCTTTACTTTTATCTCTTAATCCTGTCAGCTGAGGAGGATGTATGTCGCCTCAGGACCATGTGATAATTGCATTAACTGCACAAATTGTACAGCATGTGTGTTTGAGCAGTATGAAATGTGGGCACCTTGAAAAAAGAACAGGATAACAGCAATTGTTCAGGGAATAAGGGAGATAACCTTAAACTCTGACTGCTGGTGAGCAGGGTGGAACAGAGCCATATTTCTCTTCTTTCAAAAGCAAGTGGGAGAAATATCACTGAATTCTTTTTCTCAGCATGGAACATCCCTGAGAAAGAGAATGTGCACCTGGGGGTGGGTCTCTGAACTGGCCCCACTGGATGTGGTCGTCTTTTATGGTTGAGGCTGCAGGGGTGAAATAGACTCCAGTCTCCCATAGCGCTCCCAGGCTTATTAGGAAGAGGAAATTCCCACCTAATAAATTTTGGTCAGACCGGTTGATCTCAAAACCCTGTCTCCTGATAAGATGTTATCAATGACAATGGTGCCTGAAACTTCATTGGCAATTTTAATTTCTCCTTGGTCCTATGGTCCTGTGATCTTGCCTTGCCTCCACTTGCCTTGTGATATTATATTACCTTGTGAAGTACTTGATGTCTGTGACCCACACCTATTCGCACACTCCCTCCCCTTTTGAAACTCCTTAATAAAAACTTGCTGGTTTTTGTGGCTTGTGGGGCATCACGGAACCTACCGACATGTGATGTCTCCCCCGGATGCCCAGCTTTAAAATTTCTCTCTTTTGTATTCTGTCCCTTTACTTCTCAAGCTGGCCGATGCTTAAGGAAAATAGAAAAGAACCTACGTGAATATCGGGGCAGTTTCCCCGATACATTTGTTTGTGTCCTCTTTTATTTCGTTGAGCAGTTGTTTATATTTCTCCTTGAAGAGGTCCTTGACATCCCTTGTAAGTTGGATTCCTAGGTATTTTATTCTCTTTGTAGTAATTGTGAATGGGAGTTCACTCATGATTTGGCTCTCTTTGTCTGTTGTTGGTGTATAGGAATGCTTGTGATTTTTGCACATTGATTTTGTATCCTGAGACTTTGCTGAAGTTGCTTATCAGCTTAAGGAGATTTTGGGTTGAGATGATGGGATTTTCTAAATATGCAATCATGTCATCTGCAAACATAGACAATTTGACTTCCTCTTTTCCTAGCTGAATACCCTTTGTTTCTTTCTCTTGCCTGATTGCCCTAGCCAGAACTTCCAACACTATGTTGAATAGCGGTGGTGAGAGAGGGCATCCTTGTTCTGTGCTGGTTTTCAAAGGGAATGCTTCCAGTTTTTGCCCATTCAGTATGATATTGGCTGTGGGTTTGTCATAAATAGCTCTTATTATTTTGAGATATGTTCCATCAATACCTAGTTTATTGACAGTTCTTAGCATGAAGGGCTGTTGAATTTTATCAAAGGCCTTTTCTGCATCTGTTGAGATAATCATGTGGTTTTCGTCGTTGGTTCTGTTTATGTGGTGGATTATGTTTATTGATTTGCGTATGTTGAACCAGCCTTGCATCCCAGGGATGAAGCCAACTTGATTGTGGTGGATAAGCTTTTTGATCTGCTGCTGGATTTGGTTTGCCAGTATTTTATTGAGGATTTTTGCATCGATGTTCATCAGGGATATTGGCCTAAAATTCTCTTTTTTTTGTTGTGTCCCTGCCAGGCTTTGGTATCAGGATGATGCTGGCCTCATAAAATGAGTTAGGGAGGATTCCCTCTTTTTCAATTGATTGGAATAGTTTCAGAAGGAATGGTACCAGCTCCTCCTTGTACCTCTGGTAGAATTTGGCTGTGAATCCGTCTGGTCTTGGACCTTTTTTTGGTTGGTAGGCTATTAATTATTGCCTCAATTTCAGAATCTGTTATTGGTCTATTCAGAGATTCAACTTCTTCCTGGTTTAGTCTTGGGAGGGAGTATGTGTCCAGGAATTTATCCATGTCTTCTAGATTTTCTAGTTTATTTGCATAGAGGTGTTTGTAGTATTCTCTGATGATAGTTTGTATTTTTGTGGGATTGGTGGTGATATCCCCTTTATCATATTTTATTGCATCTATTTGATTCTTCTCTCTTTTCTTCTTTATTAGTCTTGCTAGCGGTCTATCTATTTTGTTGATCTTTTCAAAAAACCAGCTCCTGGATTCATTGATTTTTTGAAGGGTTTTTTTGTGTCTTCAGTTCTGCTCTGATCTTAGTTATTTCTTGCCTTCTGCTAGCTTTTGAATTTGTTTGCTCTTGCTTCTCTAGTTCTTTTAATTGTGATGTTAGGTTGCCGATTTTAGATCTTTCCTGCTTTCTCTTGTGGGCATTTAGTGCTATAAAAGGGAAATGGTTTTATTTATGATGCTGAGATTATTTCTGCCTCTAGAGTTCATTTCTCCTCTTTATTTCAGTAATTGAGTAAGAAAATAAATAAAAGGACTAAAGATAGAGGGATCAATTATAAGGGTTGGCAAAAAATAATGATGATCTTGTACTTGTTAAAAGAAACTTCAGTTGAATTAAATTTAAAGGAGTTTGATTGAGCAACAAACAATTTGCGAATCGGGCAGCCCCCAGAATCACAGCAGATTTAGAGAGACACCAGGGATGCCTCGTGGTCGGAACAAATTTATAGATAAAAAAAAAGGAAACTGACAAAAATCGGAAATGAGGTACAGAAATAGCTGGATTGTTTACAGGTTGGCGTTTGCCTTATTTGAACACAGTTTGAACACTCAGCAGTGTATGAGTGGTTGAAGTACGGCTGCTGGGATTGGCCAAGACTCAGGTATCTTTACAAGCATATACTGCTAAATTGGGTTTTCAATCTCGTCTGCCTATTAAGCTAGGTTACTCTTTGTCTACAAGGACTCAAATATAAAAGTACGGAGTTCTTCTCAGGCCATATTTAGTTTGCTTTAACAGACTTATTAATAATTTTTCCTGGGTTTCAGTTTCTTTGTCATTAATATGATAAGATGGACTAGATACTGTGCAAGGCTTCACCCAGCTTCAAGTTTTTGTCAATACTAACTTCAGTATTTGCCTATGAGAAATAATTCTGGCAGCATTATTACTTGAAATATTTTGCATGAAATATACAAAAAAATTACTTCTGGGAATATATTTGAATTATATGAAGCTGTTTGCAAAATCGTATTTTAATTTAGCTGTCAATAAATTTCGTATCATTATTTATTTCTTTTTCAATTCGCCAAATGTATTATTATTTGGAAAATTATACTTGAAGAATACTAGACTAATCAAGTGTATACTCAGGTAAGTGTAATCAGTTATACAGTTAATTATATATATAAATTTCTTTTTTAATCTGTTGCTGTTTAGCTCTGAGATTTAAAACTGTTATTTGAAACTGGAAAGCAAAATGTAGTGCCAAGCATTAGATTTTTCCCCTTTCTGCTCAGTTGCAGAAAATTATGAAGTACTAAAATCTCAGCCAAGTAATACAGTTATAAAATGATATTTTTTAAATAGAATCATTTGTGTTTGTGTGTGAGTGTATATATATATATATTTTTTTGTTTGTTTGTTTGTTTAGACTGAGTCTCGCTCTGTTATCCAGGCTGCAGTGCAGTTGCAGGATCTCGGCTCACTGCAACCTCCGTCAGTGATTCTCCTGTCTCAGCCTCCTGTGTAGCTGGGATTACAGGCATGCGCCACCATACCCAGCTAATTTTTGTATTTTTAGTAGAGATGGGGTTTCACCATGTTGGCCAGGCTGGTCTCAAACTCCTGACCTCAGGTGATCTGCCCACCTCGGCCTCCCAAACTGCTGGGATTACAGGTGTGAGCCATTGCACCGAGCTTGCATATATATTTTTCAAAGGGATATGCAAATACTGTTAATTGTGTTACAATTTTGGCCAGAAATGAAGCCCCTGGGGCCAGTCCGAGAATGCTGCAGTGTTTTGCCAATTTTAAACCTGTTTTCATTCCTTCTTTGATTTCTGGATGAAGTATGAGCCACTTTTATCATTCTGCATAGATGGTTATCAGCCCGGCTGTTCCCTCATCAAATTAATTAATAAAGATTCCAAATGAGTCATAATTTCATCCAAGGAGTAATTTTGGCAAGAGGATGACTTGGCTGAAGTTTCTCACTTGTCTTTCTCCAAAGAGAACATTAGTCTTAAGAGTCTTGGCCACATTCTGTACTGCATCCCTGTGGACCATCACCTGCCATTGGATGGAGTGGGGTTTCCCTACTCTAAAGATGACAACACAGAGAATAAAATCTCTACTATACTCACATGTTTCAAGGGAAAAATAAACCTAATAACTATTTAGGTGGGAAATGGCTTTGGAGTCTGATAAGTCAGGATTGAAATACTGTTTTCATCAGTTATTTGCTATATAACTTCAGTTTCCTGTCTAAAAATGGAGTAATAATTCTGTAACCCACATGCAAGTAGACCTTGTTAAATTACCGTATGCTTATATAAGATTGAGCTCAGCCTATTGACATTTTTGGGAAAAATAAAAGCCAGAATCTGCAATGAGAAGTAATGAAGACTTATGACTAGAGGTTACTCAGGAAAAAATAAGACTATTGCATTATATATCACATAAGCAAGTTTCTCTAAAACTCCTCTTTAAGCATTTTTACTTCCACCCACCGCACCCCTCCATCACCATTGCAGTACCTACATCCATTTTCATATGCATTAGTTAGGGTAATGCCTAGCTAGTATAACAGAGTCCCAAAATCCAAAATGCAGTGGTTTAAAGGAAAAAGATGCTCTCTGTCTCTGTCTGTCTCTCTCTCTCTCTCCCCACCCCTTTCACAACAGCTAAGATATAAATAATCCTGGCCAGCAGGGCAGCTCTGTTCTCTTGTTATTCAACAACCCAGGTTATTTCTAAACCGTAGCTCTGCATTGTCATTATCTGCATAATATGATAAAAGTATATGGATTCTAGATGGAGGGAAGGGAAAAGAGAGTGTGAAGGAGGCACAGCTCTGTGTCTGAAGATCCAGGCTCATAAGTGCACATTTCACTTCTTCTTGTTACCGGAAAGGGGTCCCAATCCAGACCCCAAGAGACGGTTCGTGGATCTCGCCCAAGAAAGAATTCAGGGCACGCCTGTAAAGTGAAAGCAAGTTTATTAAGAAAGTAAAAGAATAAAAAGAATGGCTACTCCATAGGCAGAGCAGCCCTGAGGGCTGCTGGTTGCCCATTTTTATGGTTATTTCTTGATGATTTGCTAAACAAGGGGTCGATTATTCATTCCTCCCCTTTTTAGACTGTATGGGGTAGCTTCCTGACATTGCTGTAGCATTTGTAAACTGTCATGGTGCTGGTCGGAGTGTAGCAGTGAAAACAACCAAAGGTCACTCTCTTCACCATCTTGGTTTTGGTGGGTTTTGGCCAGCTTCTTTACTGCACCTGTATTATAGGCAAGGTCTTTATTATGCGTATCTTGTGCCAACCTCCTATTTCTTCCTGTGACTTAGAATGCCTAACTGTCTGGGAATGCAACCCTGTAGGTATCAGCCTTATTTTACCCAGCCCCTGTTCAAGATGGAGTTGCTCTAGTTTAAACACCTATAACATGCTGACATTTTGATATAGGAACTAAAAAGAAATTATCTAGGCAGTTAGTGAGGATAAGAGAGTCCTCAATAAGGCTTCCCTTTAAGCAAAAAGCAGCCTCCAAATCATTTCTTTTCTAGCAAAGAGTAGCCTGTAAAATCAAGCTGCAGACCTAAATAAGGAAGCTGGAAGCTCTCATGGGTGAATGTCGGCAACTGCCCTAATAGGAAAAGGCTACCTGGGGGCCAGGCATGGTCAATATGGAGGCTCCATTTTCCCTTTAGTCAACCACGTGTACAGTAAAGGAACAGGCAACAAAGCCCAGCCAGGTAGAGAACCCATCTGCATCATAAAAGATTAGGGTGGGGTGGCCAGCTTCTTCCCGTGCTATGTAAATGACACACCTGGTCCAACCAATCTTCGGGCCATATGTAAATCAGACACCGCCTCCTCAAGCTCATTTATAAAACCCCATGCATTTCACCATGAAACCGAAAGACCCACTCAGGAGTCCCTCTCTTGCCACAGGAGACACAGCCCTTCTCTTTCTGTCACGTATCAAACCTTCGCTCTTAAACTCATTCCTTGTGTGTCTTGTGTCCTTGATTTCCTTGGCGTGAGGCAACAAACCTTGGGTATTACCCCAGACGAATGACGCCGCTTCAGTTTCACTGTTGACAACTTAATCACATGACTGCCCATAAAGTGGTAGTTTGCAAATTGGCCACAATCCTTCACTTTACCCTGTATCCAAGCCCTTTTCAATGTGATTTTGCAGCTTCTCCTACTAAGGAGGTAGAGTCTATTTCTTCTTTAGAATCTGGCATAGATTTGTTTTTTGTAAGTAGAGTGTGGCAGAAGTAAGTGATGAGGCAGTTCAGAGCCTAGACTTTAAGAGCCATTCCACTTTCTCTTTTGGAATTCTCTTCAGGGGTCATGTGAACAAGAAAACAAGTCCAACTGGCCTGCTGGAGGATAAGGCACCATGTGGGGCAGAGATCAGCCATCCCAGCTGAGCCCAGCCCAAACCGATGACCCATAGAGTTGTGAACTAAATAAGTGGTTATCCGTTGCAAATTGGGTTACCTGGGAGGTATTGTAGATGCTGAGATGGAGTTAGGAATGCGAAATAGCTGTGAAAGGGGACAGGAAGGAAGCAAGGCTTGGCTGGAGGAGCCATCATGTTCCTGACAAGTGTCTGTCAGTCCAACAAAAGTTCCAAAATAAAAATTGCCCATTAGAGGATGTAAGGGAGAAAAGTAATCTCTCTCTTTTCCATTGCTAGGTTCATGGCTGAGACATCTGTGAAAAGAAAATAAATCTTGGGACCCCAAAATCACGAAGCCAAAGGGAAAAGCCAACCTGGGAACTGCTTAGGGCAAACCTGCCTTCCATTCTATTTTTTAAAAAGATAGCTACTAAGATTTAAAAGCTACATACCTCCCTCATAAAGAACTTCCTTGTGGGCAAAGGACAGACAGAACTCAGAGTCATTCCTTTACTGACATAAATGCCTATCTGACTGCCTCCTTTGGAAAGGCTATTCAGAAACTCAAAATAATGCAACCGTTTGTCTCTTACCTACCTATGACCTGGAAGTCCCATCCCCACTTCAAGTTGTTCTGCCTTTCCAGTTCGAACCACTGTACATCTTACGTATACTGGTTGATGTCTCATGTCTCCCTAAAATGTATAAAACCAAGTTGTGCCCCGACCACCTTGGGCACATGTCATCAGGGCCTCCTGAAGCTGTGTCATGGGCATGCCCTTAACCTTGGCAAAATAAACTTCCTAAATTGATTAAGGCTTGTCTCAGATACTCTTTGGTTTACAAACCTATAACAAAAGACAGATTAAAAAGAGAAAGGCATATAAATTTATTTAATATGAGTTTTATGTGGCACTCAAACTTTTGAAAATGAAGACCTAAAGAAACAGGGAAACGTATGTATTTTAATGCTAAGTTTGATGAAGTGGAGAGTTGTGGAGAAGTATGATTAGACAAAGGGTGTATGATGTAGAGGTAATAAACTGGGGGTAACTTAGCGAGAACTGTTTGTTCAGATTCTTCTGTGTTCCTGTGTCTTCAGAGATAATGATATTCCTTTCCTCTAGGTATAGGGAGGGTGTCTCTGTGGCTTTTTTTTTTTTTTTTTTTTTTTTTGAGACAGAGTCTCATTCTGTCGCCCAGGCTGGAGTGCAGTGGTGCAATCTCGGCTCACCACATCTTCTGCCTCCTGGGTTCAAGCAATTCTCCTGCCTCAGACTTGTGAGTAGCTGGGACCACAGGAGCGCACTGCCACGCCTGGCTAATTTTTGTATGTTTAGTAGAGATGGGGTTTTGCCATGTTGGCCAGGCTGGTCTTGAACTCCTGCCCTCCAGTAATCGGCCCACCTCGGCCTCCCGAAGTGCTGAGATTACAGGCATCAGCTGCGGCACCCAGCCTGGGAGAGTGTCTCTAGAATGAGGGTCTTGTGACCTGCATCAGAGGAAGGTCAGATAATTCTTTTATGGCCTGCTTCAGGCAAAAAGGTTGGGAGAAGATCAGAGAGTGCTTTCTGCTTCCACGATTTTCTCAAATGCCAAGGTGCCCTATTTTGTGACAGTATGTTCTGAACCCCATCAAGGAGTCCTGCATTGGACAGAAATGGCTAGGCCTTTGCACCACTGCCTTGCTCAGTCATGGGCTAGGGGTTACCCAGAGATGAGAATGACTTCAGTTTAAAAGCTGTCAGCTAATTATACTTCTCACTGTCCAGCAGTGAGTCCTCTCTTGAAGAAGGATCTGAGTGGGGCATCTTCATGTATGCCACATTATTGCTTTAGACCACCAAGTCTTTGGGTTATTTGTTATGTAGCAAAAGCTAACTGATTCACATAACTGCAAGGGAGGTTGGGAATTAAGCTAGGCACCCTTTAAAAAAAAGAGAGAGAAAGAAAGTGCGTGGGTATAGGTGTGTGTGCAGGTGATTCCAAGTCTCTCTTGCAGCCAGTGCAGAGGCACAATGCCTATCAATCAGAGCACATGCCCTCGATTTTGAGATGAAAATAATGATGCAAAGAAGGAGCCCAGCAGAATCCTGTCTGGTAGCTGTCTGGAGGCACAGAAGCAGCGTCTTCAGCAGCAATGTCCAAAGTCCAGTGTCAGTGGGTGGGGAGGCAAGCTGGCTGTGCCCAGTGACAGCACCAGTGGCATCTTCCTTGCACAAATCTGAAATTAGTTCCTGTAGTTCATGGCCTTCCAAAGATTCCATCAGATGCCCAATATATTTTCAATAGATTTCCTCTCCTGCTTAAATCAGCCTGAGTAGTTTTCTGCTGCTTGTGACTGAGAGCCTGACTGAAATAGAATACATGACTTTTTAATTTCAGCCCACACAAGTGGGGAGCAGGAAACATTCCCTTCCACTTTGGGCAAATTTTTACATCTGGAGAATGAGCTTACATGAGAATCTGATGAAAAACATTTTCCTCCTTCAAGTCAAATTACTTGAATTTGATGTCTTTTGCTATTCACTTGCTATATGACCTTGAGCAATTCTCAGTTTCTGAAAGTCTCTAAAATATCACTTATAATACATGCACCCGGGAGTTGTTGTGAGGCGTAAATGTGATAGCACATATGAAAGTAATCTTTAAATTGTTACATATTTAGCAAGTGTAACTTATTTTTAAATAGAAAAAAATCCTACCAAGCTCTTGCTCCAAACCTGATACACTAATTCCCCCCTTGGGACAGTTTGGATAGTAATTAAAGTCAGTTTATGAGCTTGTACACATTCTTCACATAATCTGAGCTTGTTCCAACTTCTTTGTATAATTAATTGGCGGCATTTTCTGTGCCAAATGTACCTTTGTAATCTTCTTGCTGTATAAGTAGTAGGAGTCACTCATCTCAATAACTCATAAGCATTTTTAAAAATTTGTGAAAAAATAAATTTTGTCATTTGGGGTCTAAAATAAAAGTAAATAAATGTAATGTGGGTGAAAAGTACGGCTTTCATGCTCATTTATGCAATCCATGGATTGGACTTTGCATTTTTCCATTCTTAGTTTGGAGTTTCAGAACTTGGTTAGAGAACTTGGATACGAAGTGGGGAAGCAGTTCAGGAGACAGTAGGCCTGAGAGTATTTCTGTAATTCTTCCTGATATTCTTTGCAAAACATTGTTTGGCCTGTTATGATATATATTTATTACAGAGAAATTAGAAAATATAAATAAAAATTTTTTGAATCCTATTATTACTACATTGGTATTTAGTTATCTGTTGTTTAGTTGTTCATTTTGTGTGTAATGACTCATTGTGTGATATGGTTTGGATCTGTGTCCCTGCCCAAATCTCATGTCAAATTGTAATCCCCAGTGTTGCAGGTGGGGCCTGGTAGGAAGTGTTTGGATCATGGGGGCGGATTTTTCCTTTAGTACTGTGTCGCCATAGTGAGTGATTTCTCGTGAGATCTGGTTGTTTAAAAATGTGTGGTACCTCTCCTCCTCTCTCTCTTCCTCCTGCTCCAGGCACGTAAGACCATCCTGCTTCCCCTTTGTTTTCAGCTATGATTGTAGGTTTCCTGAGGCCTTCCCAGAAGCAGAAGCAGGCTATGCTTCCTGTACAGCCTGCAGAATTATGAGCCAATTAAACCTCTTTTCTTTATAAATTACCCAGTCTCAGGTATTTCTTTTTTCTTTCTTTCTTTCTTTTTTTTTTTTGAAACAGAGTCTTGCTCTGTTGCCCAGGCTTGAGTGCAGTAGCACAATCTCGGCTCACTGCAACCTCCGCCTCCTGGGTTCAAGCAATTCTCATGCCTCAGCCTCCTGAGTAGCCGGGACTACAGGCGTGTGCCACCATGCCCAGCTAATTTTTGTATTTTTTTGTAGAGACAGGGCTTCACCATGTTGGCCAGGCTGGTCTGGAACTCCTGACCTCAAGTGATCCGCCTGCCTCTGGTATTTCTTTATAGCAGTGTGAGAACTGACCAATACACTGTGTAACATACCACCACAAACTTAGTGGTATAAAACATTTTGTGATGTGTGCAGATTCTGCGGGTCAGGAATTCAGATACAGAGTTGTGAAATGGTTTGTCTCTGCTTCAAGATATTGGGGGCCTCAGCTGGGAAAAGACTTGCTGGTGACTCACTAGCTGGGGACTGGGGTCACCTGGTAGCACCCTCACTCAAATGTCTGCTAACCGGTCTGGGATGACCTGAAGGCTGGTTTCAGCTGGGTTGGTTGACTGGAATCTGGACCATCTACATTTAGCCTCTCTATGTGATTTGAACTTCTCACAGTATGGTGGCTAGGTTCTGAGAATTGTCCCAAGAGGAAACTTTCAGAGAGTGAGTCTTCCAAGAGAATCAGGCAGAAGCTGCATGATTTTTTATGAATTAACTTTGAGATCTGCATAGTGTTACTTCTGTTTCACTCTATTGGTCAAAGTGGTTACAAGCTTGCTCAGATGCAAGGGGAAGGGGACAGACATAGGCCTCACCATTCAAGGGGAGAAATATCAAAGAATTTGGGGACCAACTTTAAAACACATATCTTGCAAGACTTTTTTGTATGGCCTACAAAATATACCCCCACACACATACATATGCATTTAAGTGCATTTTAAAAACAAAAATATCACGCATTCTGTGTTAAGCACAACCTTATGTAACAAGGAAAGAAAAGTTTTATTGAGATGACTGTTGACTTTCAAGAATATTTAAATTCCAAGAAGTTCTATACAATGATCTTAAGATGATCATCCATGGAAGCACATTTTAGAGTTTCTTAAAGATTAATTCAGTCAAAAAATAAAATTTTGGAAAGACAGTATCCATTGAGAGTTGCGGAATACAGGTCTAAACAGTGATAACTTTTCTAATTTCTAACTTATTGAGTTCAACATTTTATTTGAAGACTCTAAATGGAGCCCTAATGTTAAAAAAAAAAAAAGAGCTGAAAATGAGGTGTTATTTTGTCTCAAATACTTCTTAAGATAATGTGAGTTCCACAGAGCAAAAACATAGTTTGAGTTTTTTTGTGGTCACAGACAGGCTGTAGAGAGGGTCCTTCAAACACGGTCATGCACGAAATCACCTGGGCCTGTTCGCATGCAGCCTAGGCTTGGCCCCAGGCTCTGCAGTTCTAACAAGCTCCCAGGTGAAGCTGCTGTCTCCTCAGCAGAACATTTTCTGAGCAGCAAGGGTTAGAACAGACAGGAAAACAGCCTGCATAGGCCTTACGTTTCATTTCAACTTGTTTTAAATTATAAAAGAAACACATGTTCATGATACAAAATTTATATATTGCAAAAATATATAACTCCCTTAATGATTACTATCACAGAATGAAAAATTATACATATGCATACATATATATATTTTAGAGACAGGGTCTCAATCTGTCTCTCAGGCTGGAGTGCAGTGGTATAGTCATGGCTCACTACAGCCTCCACCTCCCCTGGACTCAAGCAATCCTCCCGCCTTAGCCTCCCAAAGTGCTGGGACCGCAGGCCAGCTATTTTGTTTTGTTTGGTTTTGTTTTATTCTTTGTAGAGATGGGGTCTCATGATGTTGCCCAGGCTTGTCTCAAACTCCTTGCCTAAGTGAATCTCCAGCCTTGGCCTCTCAAAGTGTTAGGATTACAGGCATGAGCCACTGCACCTGGCTGAAAAATAATATTAACTAATGTTTCTATATGTTTGTATTGAGCATTAAGTGATTTATATGCATTATCTGATTTAACCCCCAGACAATCTCAGGCAATGGGGAAAATATTATTATTTGTGTCATTTTATAGAAAAAGGAATGAAAGCTTGGAGGGATTAACTTGCCAAGTGCAGGTGGAAGATGGCAGAGCTAAGATGCAAACTGGCCTTCAGACTTCTGACTTCAGAGCTTTTATTCTGAACCACAGGGTGAGACGGCCTTGTCCATTAATTATTTCCTCTATATGCACTATCATTAATTAGAATAATAATTTTAAAACAGAATTATACCATGCAAACACTTTTATTTTTTAAATTTTATTTTCATTCTTTTTTTTTTTTTTTTTTTTTTGGTGCAAGTCAGTTATTTGGGGAAAAATTTCAGGAAACTGGAGTGGGGAAACTGCAATGAGTGAAATAGGAATGGAAGCAAAACCAGTTACCACTCTGGGCGACTGGGGCTCAATCCCACTGGAGACTCTCTAAGGAATTATGTAGAAAATGCTTCAGAAATGTCCACTTGAGACAGGGATTACCTACTGGATCCCATTACTTGTTGGTCAAGGAGATGCTATCTCCCTCCCATTTCCAATATTGTACCTATTCCTGCCTGCCTGAGAGGACTCCTGCAAGCAGCCGATAGAGTATGCACCAGAGAGGCCTGAGGACATCGGTTCGGAGATGCTCAGGGTTGTCAAGAGGAGATGCCATTAGGCTGCATCTGCATACAACTGTTGTGCACAGTAATGCATATACATAATTAAACATTTAAATAGAAATGAGTCTATGGATTGAGAAGTCTCTCTCTGACCACTGACCTCTAGTCCTCCAGTCCTCCCCGGCAGAGGGAATTTTTGCTTCTATCTTCATATATATCTTTTCAGAGATACCACATTGTATTAGTCAGGGTTCTCCAGAGGGACAGAACTAATGGAATATATATGGGAGTTTATTAAGTATTAACTCACACAATCACAAGGTCCCTCAATAGGCTGTCTGCAGGCCGAGGAGTGAGGAGAGCCCGTCCAAGTTCCAAAACTGAAGAACTTGGAGTCCAATGTTCGAGGGCAGGAAGCATCCAGCACGGGAGAAAGATGTAGGCTGGGAGGCTAGGCCAGTCTTTTCACATTTTTCTGCCTGCTTATATTCCAGCTGCTCTGGCAGCTGATTAGATGGTACCCACCTAGATTAAGGGTGGGTCTGCCTTTCCCAGCCCACTGACTCAAATATTAATCTCCTTTGGCAACACCCTCACAGACACACCCAGGATCAATACTTTGTATCCGTCAATCCAATCAAGTTGACACTCATCCACATCACCCACATGTATTTATATATATTCTTTTCTGAGATGGAGTCTCCCTCTGTTGCCCAGGCTGGAGTGCAGTCGTGCAATCTCGGCTCACTGCAACCTCTGCCTCCTGGGTTCAAGCGATTCTTGTGCCTCAGCCTCCCAAATAGCTGGGATTACAGGCACCTGCCACCAGGCCTGGCTAATTTTTGTATTTTTAGTAGAGGTGGGGTTTCACCATGTTGGTCAGGCTGGTCTCAAACTCCTGACCTCAAGAGATCTGCCTGCCTCAGTCTCCCAAAGTGCTGGGATTATAGGCGTGAGCCATCACACCCGGCACACATGTACATTCTTAGTATTAAGAATGTACCCTTTCTTTAAGCTGTTAATGATCCACCTGCTTAAGGCTCCCAAAGTACTGTGATTACAGGTGTGAGCCAGCGCACCCGGCCTGTATTCGAATTTATTTAACCAGTCATCTTATTGATGATATTGGTATTTCCAGTATTTTTTAAAGCCAAGTTTATTGAGGTATACATGTAGTAAGGTTCACCCTTCTAAGCGAACAGCTCCATGAATGAATTTTGGTACACGTGTATAGTCATGTAACCACAGTCAAGATGCAGAACATTTCCATCACTCCAGAAATCTCCCTAATGCACCTGTGTAGACACACCCCTTCACTCATCCCTAGCCCCTGGCAAACAGCATGGATCGCACTTCCTCCCCACTGCCCTGAGTATCCCACGCATCAGCTTTCTGTCCCTGTAATTTGCCTTTTTCAAAAGGTCATATCAATAGAGTCATACAGGATGTAGCCTTTTGAGTCCAGTTTCTTTCACTGAGCACAATGCATCTGAGATTTATCCATGTTGTTGTGTGTACCAGTGTTTGGCTGTTTCTTATTACTCTACTATTGCACAAATTCCATTGCACCACAGTTTATTTATCCATTTGCCAATTGTAAGACATTAGGTTGTTCCAAGTTATGAAGGATTATAAATAAATCTGTTATTATTGGGCACTGGCTTTTGGGTGGACATAAGTTTCATTTCTCTTGGGTAAACAAAGTTTTTATTTCTCAGAGTGGGATTGCTGGGTAGTATGGTAAGTGTATGTTCAATTTAATAAGCAGTTCCCAGACTGTTTTCCAAAGTGACTATACCACTTTGTTTCTCTACCAGCAATATATGCATGCCTGCCAGCATTTGGTATTATCAGTTGGTTTTATTTTAGCAATTCTGATTAAGTTTGTATAGTTTTTGTCTACTATAATCAGTGCTACAATGAATATCTTTATACATAAATCCTTTGTAATTAGGTGTTAGTATATCCATAAGATACTTAGAGCTAGGCCAGGCGAGGTGGCTCATGCCTGTAATCCCAGCACTTTGGGAGGCCGAGGTGGGCGGATCACGAGGTCAAGAGATCAAGACCATCCCGGCCAACTTGGTGAAACCCTGTCTCTACTAAAAATACAAAAAGTAGCTGGGTGTGGTGGCGGGCACCTGTAATCCCAGCTACTCAGGAGGCTGAGGCAGGAGAATCGCTTGAACCCGGGAGGTGGAGGTTGCAGTGAGCCGAGATCGCACCACTGCACTCCAGCCTGGCAACAGAGCGAGACACCATCTCAAAAAAAAAAAAAAAAAAAAAAAGATACTTAGAGCTAGAATTGATGGGTCAAAGGGTGTGAAAAATTTGATTAGATATTGCCAAACAGCCTTCTGAGAAGGTGGTGCTGTGAATTTACCCACTTACCAAGTAGGTATGGTACTGCTTGTTTCCCCACGTCCTCACCAATGCAGTGTGTTTGTTTTTTTTTTTTCTTGTTCTTTTTCTTTTTCGAGACAGAGTTTTGCTCTTGTTGCCCAGGCTGGAGTGCAATGGAGCAATCTCGGCTCACTGCAACTTCTGCCTCCCGGGTTCAAGCGATTCTCCTGTCTCAGCCTCGCAAGTAGCTGGGATTCCAGGCATGCGCCACCAATCCCAGCTAATTTTGTATTTTTAGTAGAGACGGGGGTTTCTCCATGTTGGCCAGGCTGGTCTCAAATTCCCAACCTCAGGTGATCCGCCCACCTCGGCCTCCAAAGTGCCGAGATTACAGGCGTGAGCCACTGCGCCCGGCCTGCAGTGTGTTTCTTAATTTCAGCACGTGTTTTAAAGTGAAGCTTTACTTTAGAGGATTGCTGTGTAAGTCTCTGGCTCTTTGGGTTGTTGGTGAGGACTCAGTGCAAAGCATTTAGGGCAGCGCCTGCTGCACAGTGAGTGGCGATGGACGTCAGTTACTGCGTGATCACCACTACTACCAGCTCCACCACACGGTCATTGCCTCTCTCTCTGAGTTCCTCATCAGTATATCCAGGAGTGATTTTCTTTGAAGGGCTAAAATGTTCTACCTGTGGAATTTAGTTAATCCCCATAATCTCTTTAAATGCTGGCCAGGAATTCAGGCACTGTGGCTTTATTTTGCTTTTGCTTTTTAATTAATACACTTTATTTTTTTTAGAGCAGCTTTACACTCACAGCAAAGTTGTGCAAGAGTACACGGAATTCCTAGGTACCCCCATCCCCTACACACACACACACACACACACACACACACACACACACATGCTCCTCTACTATCAATCCCATCACCAGAGTGGTACATTTGTTACAATTGATGAACTTACATCAACACACCCTTACAACCCAGAGTCCATAGTTTACCTTAGGGTTCACTCCTGGTGTTGCACATTCCTTGAGCTTTGAAAAATGTATAATGACATGTATCTACTATGATAGTATCATGCAGAATAGTTTCACTGCCCTAAAAATCCTTTGTGCTGTACCTATTCATTCCTTCCTTCCTCCTAACCCCAGAAAACCACTAATCTCTTCACTGTCTCCATAGTTTTGCCTTTTCCAGAAGGTCATGTTGTTGGAATCATACAGTATATTGCCTTTTCAAATTGGCTTCTTTCACTTAGTAGTATGCATTTAAGTTTCCTCCATGCTGTTTCATGGCTCGATAGCTCGTTTCTTTCTAGTGCTAGATAATATTCCATTGTCTGGATGTATCACGTTTATTTATCCACCCACTTACTGAAAAACATCTTGGTTGGGTCCAAGTTTCGGCAATCATGAATAAAGTTGCTATGAACATCCTTGTGCATGCTTTTGTGTGGATGTAAGTTTTCAATTCATTTGGGTTAATACTGAGGAGTGTATGGTAAGAGTATGTTTACTTTTGTAAGAAACTGCCAAACTGCTTTCCAAAGTGGCTGTACTCTTTTGCATTTTCATCAGCAATGAATGGGAGTTCCTGTTGCTCCACAACCTCGTCAGCACTTGGCGTTGTCAGTGTTTTGGATTTTGGCCACTCTAATAGGTACATAGTGTTATCTCATTGTTTTAATTTGCAATTCCCTAATGACATAGGATGTTGAGCATCTTTGCATATGTTTACTTGGCATCTATATATCTTCTTTGGTGGGGTATCTGTTTAGGGTTTTTGCTTATTTTTAAATCAGATTTTTTGTTTTCTTATTGTTGAGTTTTAAGAGTTCTGTATATTTTGGATAATAGTCCTTCACCCGGTGTACTTTTTGCAAACACTTTCTCCCAGTGTGTGGCTTGTCGTCTTGTTCTCTTGGCTTTTTTTTTTTCCTTCAACCTCTTCCTTTTTCATATGACGGTGCCTCTTCTATTTCACTATTTTTCACCTCAGGCTCCATTCTGGGAGGGCTGCTTGCTTGGTGCATAAACTCTGGGCATAGGCTGGTGCTCTCAGGTTCAGATAAGTACTTTTAATAATCCTTCTAGACATTTTTTTTTTTTTCTGGACAGAGTTTTGCTCTGTTGCCCAGGCTGGAGTGCAGTGGTGTGATCTTGGCTCACTACAGCCTCAGCCTCCCAAGTTCAAGCGATTCTCATGCCTCCCGAACAGCTGGGTTTACAGGTGTGTGTACCACCAGGCCTAGCTAATTTTTTGTATTTTTGTAAAGACAGGGTTTCACCATGTTGGCCAGGCTGGTCTCAAACTCCTGACCTCAGGTGATCCACCTGCCTCAGCCTCCCAAAGTGCTAGGATTACAGGCATGAGCCACTGTGCCTAGTCCTTGTGGACATTCTTAACTTAGGGCTTTGAAAGACAAGAGAAAGGTTAGTTAAAAGGATTGACTCTATACTATGGAGTGAATTATGTACAGGTATAGCTTAGGTATAACTATATACTGTGTATAGAGTTATAATAATTTTCAGGCATAATTAATTGCGACTCATTTCTCTTTACTTTTTGAAAAAAAATTATTCTTATTTATTTATTTTTGTAGAGATGGGGTCTGACCATGTGGCCCAGGCTGGTCTTGAAGTCCTAGGCTCAAGGGATCCTCCCATCTTGGTCTCTTGAAGTGCTGGGATTATAGGCATGAGCCACCAGCTCAAATAATCTCCAGCTTATCTCCAGCTCAAATAATATGTTTTTGATCATTTATTTTCTACTAACCAATAAAATATAAGTGCTAGGATAATAGGGACTTTGTTTTGTTCACCAATGTGAGCCCAAAATAGTGTCTGGCACATAGCAGGCTGTGTGTTCATATATGATGAATAACTTGAAGGCATTTATGAATAAATTACTCTGGGATCCTGTATCCTTCAGATATTGGTGAGACCCTAAGGCAGTTGTGGCTACGGGAAGTATGTGCCTTGGTTCTGGGCCATTCTCTTCTCTGCTTGTCTTCAAACTTGCCTGTGTATCCTGTGCCAAGTGATGACTGCATTACTTTCTGCTGTTGAAAATGGGAACCCTAATTGCAAGGAATCCTTGGTTCCCAAGTCTAAAATTGCTCAGAATGCAGATTTAAAGTACAGAGTATCCAAGAACTGTACTTTTATGGCTCTGGTTATAATACATGCCATTCTAATTCTGCAAAATCCTTGCCACAGCTGCCAGGAAATGCCCCTGAAAGCTGCCATCAAGTGCCTTCTGCAAGCACTGCGGCTGCTGGAAGTTTCAGGAGGAAGAGAACCACTTCAAATTTTGGGCTATCTGGAAGATTCTCCATCCTACTCCCTCTACATGGGAGACTTCGCCATTGTCACCTTGGCTACGATAACTAGTTGAGTAAAAAATAAAAGACATTGCCCTGCTGGGGTTGCTATATATCCAGGCCAGGTGTATACATGGGGTATTAGGCAGTCACATAGTAGAAGCCAGTACATTCTAATAGATTGATTAAGTCTCATTAATATTATTTTAGATTAACAATTAGGAAATGTGTATCTAAAAATTACATTATATCAAAGAAGATATGCAAGTGGTCAATAAGCACATGAAAAGATGCTCACCATCACTAATTATTAGGGAAATGCAAATCAAAACCACAGTAAGATACCACTTCACACCCATTAGAATGGCTATTACTAAAAAAAAAATAAACAAATAAAAAACAGTGTTCCCAAGAATGTGGAGAAATTGGAACCCTTGTGTGTTGCCGGTAGGAATGTAAAACAGTACAGTCACTGTGGAAAACAGTATGGCAG
Source organism: Homo sapiens (assembly GCF_000001405.40). Classification (NCBI taxonomy): domain Eukaryota; kingdom Metazoa; phylum Chordata; class Mammalia; order Primates; family Hominidae; genus Homo; species Homo sapiens. The sequence continues at coordinate 55,513,458 of NC_000014.9, forward strand.
TTCCTAAGAAAATTAAACATAGAATCATCATATGATCTAGGAATTCCATGTCTGGGTATATATCAAAAAAAGTTGAAAGCAAAGATGCAAACAGATATTTGTTTGTTTTATAACTTTTATTTATTTATGTATTTTGAGACAGGGTCTCACTCTGTTACCCAGGCTAGAGTGCAGTGGCGCAATCACAACTCACTGCAGGCTTGACCTCACGGCCTCAAGTGACCGTCCCACCTCAGTACCACCGCCGCCACCCCGCCCCACCACCCACTCGCAACGAGTAGTTGGGACTACAGGTCCATGCCTCTACGCACAGCTAATTTTTGTATTTTGTGTAGAGATAGGGTTTCGCCATGTTGCCCAGGCTTGTCTTGAACTCCTGGGCTCAAGTGATCCAGCCACCTTGGCCTCCAAAAGTGCTGGGATTACAGGCATGAGCTACTGCGCCCAGCTTAACTTTTATTTTAGGTTCAGGGGTTTACATGTGCAGATTTGTTACATGGGTAAATTGCCTATCCCTGAGGTTTGGCGTATGAATGATTCTGTCACCCAAGTAGTGTGCATAATAGCCAACAGGTAGTTTTTCAATCCCCCACCATGCCCTCCCCGTCAAGTAGTCCCCAGCGTCTATTGTTCCATGTTTGTGTTCATGTGTGCTCAATGTTTAGCTCTCACTTATAAGTGAGAACATATGGTATTTGGTTTTCTGTTCCGGCATGAGTTCACTTAGGATAATGGCCTCTAGCTGCAGCCATGTTGCTGCAAAGGACGTGACTTCATTCTTTTTTATGGCTGCATAGTGTTCTATGGTATATATGCACCACATTTGCCTCATCTGGTCCACCACAAACAGATACTTGTGTACCAATGTTCATAGTGGCATTATTCACAGTAGCAAAAATGTGTAATCAACCCTAATGCCCATGGAAAGATGAATGAATAAATGAAATGGGATGTAAACATACAAAGAAATAGTATTCAGCCTTAAGGAATAAAATTCTGAAACATGCTACAACATGGATGAACCTTAAAGATATTATGCTAAGTGAAAAGCCAGTTACAAAGGACAAATACTGTATGATTCCACTTATATAAGGTACCTAGAATAATCAGATGTCTTTCTTCATAGGGACAGAAAGTAGAGCAGTGATTACCAGGTGCTGGGCGCAGGGGACAATGAGGAGGAATACATGTGAACAGTTTCAGTTTGAGATAATGAAAAAAAAAAAAAGAGATAATGAAAAAGTTTCGGAGATGGATAGTGGTGGTGGCTGCAGAATGGTATGAATGCACTTAATGCCACTGAATAGTAGGCTTAAAATGTTAAATTTGATATATATTTCACCACAGTAAAAGACCTCTAAAATTACATTATATACATCTGGATCTGACTAATCTATCTCCTTTTAACAATGTACATGAAAAGAAGTAACAAGAGTAGTAAATGCTTAGACTTAATGTTTCCTAAGTGCTTTGTATATATTCCTGTAATCCTTCCAACACCAGTAATGAGTCAGCTTCTGTTATGTTCTCCAATTTACAGCTAAGGAAATGGAGACAGAGAAAGGTCAGGTGACTTGCCAAGGGTCACACAGCTAGTGAGTGGTGAAGCCAAATCAAACCCAGTCCGTGTAGCGAGACTGCCCCTGCACCCACTGTGGCATGCCGCCTCTCCGATCCTGTAATGCACAAATAAGAGTGCAAGTGGGGCAGCTCACCGAATGTGATCTGCTGTTCTGCTGCGCTGCAGCTCTTTCATGTCCTCAGTTGACAAGCTCTGACTTGGAGAAGGCCTGCAGCCTTTGAGCAGTGAGGAGTGGATTATTCTAAACTGTCTCCGAGATCGGGCTCGCAGATTGTTAAACACCGATGTGCGCTTTGCATGGGGCTCCTCTGGGATACGCGTAATTTAAATTACGACATGAGCATTTCATTTTGTATTGGCTGGTACACAGTAAATGGAGCAAGCGGGAGCCGGCTGATTTCCAGAGAGACAGAAAACTCGAAAACTGCAGCTGAGAGTCATTTATTCCCTCCATTCCACAGTGTTCTCTCACTGAAGTGCAGAAATCAGACTGACATACGATGGCCGGCCCTTCCATCTCTGGAGGATGCAGCACTCCAGAAAGGCAAGCAGGGTTGGAGAAGGGGCCCGGATCTGCCCTGGAAATTAGCCAGGAAGAGTCATGGACCCTGCTGTGCTTTGCCATGATTTCAGGATCCCTCATCCCAATCAACTAACAGGAGGGGAACTGAGTCCCATCATCACATGCGGTTACCTCACCCTATCAAGCCATTATCTGTGAAACTTTTCGTTATTTTTGTTGTTGTTGTTGTTGTTGTCGTTGTGATAATACTAAGAGCTGATATCGAGAGCTGACTACATGCCAGGCATTGTACTAAACACTTTATGCATCTCATGTCATTTCCACCCCACCACAACCATCTGAGGGAGGCATTGTTCTTACCTGCGTTTTACAGGCTGGGAGGCCCAGAAAGGTTAAGAAACTGCCCAAGTTCACACACAGAGACCGAGCCAGGATTCAAATCCTGGTCTTTTTGAACCTGTTGCCTATACTCCTAACTGCTAAGTTATGCTTTTTGTTATAAAAGAAGAACGTATTTACATTAATTCTCTGATAGATGGAGAAAAAAAGAGGTAAGATTCTGTTAGGTTGAAAAGGCTGTTCTGTAGGTCAAAACAGTAAACCATTGGCAATTTAAGAGTTCAATCTAATAATTTGCAGCGGAGCAACTGATGAATTTTCTCTTTCATACCCTGGACATGGTAATGGGACTAATATATGTAAAGTTATGAATTGCTGTTAAATTTTGTCATCATCCTGAAAACAAAAGTATCCCTTGATAGCTGGGTTGGAACCCTGGGGTCACCCTTCTCTGTATAGTCTTGATAGGAAAGGAAGTCCCCAGGGTAGGACAGGGCTACTGAGGAGACCTCTGCCCTCTGTCTAGCATATATGGACAAAGAAATCATGCTCTTTATACTGCTTTTTTGGGAAGGTGATGGGACCAGTGTATCCTGGAATGCTTCAGGTTTTTTAGTGTCTCTCCTCTCCAAACAGTAAGTCTTTGCATTATTCGATGCCTGAAAAGTTGCCTCTGAATCTCTTTACTCCATTATCCTATAGTGTCAATTATATTGTTAATACACACATTCTATGCGTGTATGCATGTGTGTACATATATAGTCATGTACCACATAATGACATCTTGGTCAATGACAGACATATAACAGTGGTCCCATAAGATTATAATACCATATTTCTACTGTATCTTTTCTATGTTTAGATACACAAATACTTACCATTGTGTTTCAGTTGCCTACAGTATTCAGTACAGTAACATGCTGTACAGGTTTGTAGCCTTGGCCATAGCAATAGGCCATACCACATAGCTTAGGTGTAGTAGGTTATACCCTCTAGGTTTGTGTAAGTACACCCTAATGTTTCCACAATGAAGAAATCATTAGCCAGGCATGATGGCATGTAATCCTAACTGCTCAAGAGGCTGGGGTGGAGGACTGCTTGAGCCCGCGAGGTTGAGTTTGCAGTGAGGTTGCACCACCGCACTCCAGCCTGGGTGACACAGTGAGACCTCATCTCAAAAACAAAAAAGAAGAAATCACCTAATGACACATTTCTCAGAACGTATCCTTATTGTTAAGTAATGCATGTATATAGTTACTGTTAACTAAGAAAGACTCTCTTGCTTTCAGAGCAGAGCATTTCTATCTTCCTTCTCATTTTTACAAAAACAGGTTAAAGTTAGTTTTTATAATAACACATTAAAAGATTAAAGTTTTTTCACAGGTGGAATGGAAGGTAAAAAATTTTTGAAAGATTAAAGTTTTTAAAAAGGAAGGAAAAATGTTTTATACCAATCCACCAAATGGAAAAAGGAAGGAAATTCTGACACATGCTACAACATGGTTGAAGCTTGAGGACTTTGTGCTAAGTGAAATAAGCCAGTCACAGAAGGACAAACACTGTATTATTTCCCTTATATGAGTAGTCAAACCTACAGAAAGTAGAGTGGTGATTGTCAGGGCCTAGGGGTTGTGAAAAGAGTGGGAAATGACGGGTTTTTGGTGGCCAGGCATGGTGGCTCATGCCTGTAATCCCAGCACTTTGGGAGGCTGAGGCAGCAGGATCACTTGAGCCCAGAGGTTCGAGAGCAGCCTGAGCAACGGAGTGAGAACCTGTCTCAAAAATAAATAAATAGGAAAAAATATGAGAAAGAGTTCTTGTTCAATGAGTATAGAGTTTCAGTTTTTACAAGATTCTGTTTTGCAAGATGAAAAGGTTCTGGAGATTGGTTGTACAACAATATAAATATAGTTAACACTACCAAGCAGTATCCTTAAAAGTGGTAAAGATGGTAAATTTTATGTTATATGTATTTTACCACAATTTTAAAAAATTTAAATGAAAAAAAAAATCCAGCTTTCCCAAGATTTTTTTTTCTTTTTTTGAGATGGAGTCTTGCTCTGTTGCCCAGGCTGGAGTGCAATGGCGCGATCTCAGCTCACTGCAACCTCCGCCTCCCAGGTTCAAGTGATTCTCCTGCCTCAGCCTCCCGAATAGCTGGGATTATAGGCATGTGCCACCACACAAGGCTAATTTTTGTATTTTTAGTAGAGGCAGGGTTTTACCATGTTGGCCAGGCTGGTCTTGAACTCCTGACCTCAGGTGATCCGCCCGCCTCGGCCTCCCAAAGTGCTGGGATTGCAGGTGTGAGCCACCACACTCAGCCCAAGATTTCTTATTATATGGGAAGACATATAGATGGTCTATGAAAATGATTTTAGAATTCAAAAGCGAAAGTGAAGACCTTCTAAGATAGAGATGTATTCCTCTTTTCAAACAGCTAGTCCTTGAGAATTAAGGGGCTCTTTAAATAGAAAAAGCTAATTGACACTTTTTCTTTATTTTGATGTCAGAAATATGACATTTTAACCATAAACATTTATAGGATTTTAATGCCTCAGTTGTAAGCTCCTTCCAGAACAAATAAACATGTAGCTTTAAAAATATACTGACAGCAATTCCTAGGCAAGTCTTGGTTCTGGGTTGGGCTTAGAGCCAGTGGACTAGGGCAGCATGTGACCTAGAGAGACACCAGCTGGGGTGGCTAAGGAAGTGCTTGTGCCACCCTCCCTTAACCCCAGGCAGCACAGCTTACAACAAAGAAAGTGACTCCTTCCTTCTGCTTGAGGAGAGGAGAGCAAAGAATAAAGAGAACTTTGTCCTGTCTCTTGGATATCAGCTCAGCCACAATAGAATAGGGCACTGGGCAGAGTTGTGAGACTCCCATTCCAGGCCTTAGCTCCCAGATAAATCTCTGTACATACCCAGGGCCAGAAGGGAACTCGCTGCCTTGAAGGGAAAGACCCAGTCCTGGCAGCATTCTGTACCTACTGACCAAAGAGCCCTTGGGCACTGAATAACCAACAGAAATACCCAGGAGGTACTCCATGGGCTTTGGGTGAGCCTCTGAGATGTACTGGCTTCAGGTGAGGCTCAGCACATTCCCTGCTGTCATAGCTATGATGAAAGACTCCTTCTGCTTGAGAAAAGCAGAGGGAAAGGTAAAGGGGACTTTGTCTCACACCTTAGGTATCAGCTTGCCCAAAGGCAGGTAGAGCAACCATTGGGTCCTTGGGGTCCCCAAGTCCTGGCCTAGGCTCTTGGATGGCATTTCTGGACCTGCCCTGGGCCAGAGGGGAGCCCATTGCTCTGCAGGATGAGTCCCTTTCCTGGCAGCATTCACCACAAGCTGACTGAAGAGTCCTCAGACTTTTAAGTGAACATTGGTGGTGGCTTGGCAGAACTCCCAAGGGCTGGTGGTGATGGTGGCCACTGGGAGAGGCTTCTTTGACTGTGGAAAGGGGAGGAAAGAGCAGGAAGAATTTGTCTTGCAGTTTGAGGGCCAGCTTAGCCACAGTAGAATGGAACACCGGTAGATTTCTAAGGTTTTTGACTCTAATCCATAGTAACATCTCTGGACCTGCCTGGAGCCAGGAGGAGGTCCTGCCCTAAAGGGAAAGACACAAACCTGTCTGTCTTCTCCACCTGCTGATTATAGATCCCTAGGGCCTTAAGCGAACATAGGCAATAGCCAGGTAGTAGTTACATTGAACCTTGGGTGAGATCCAGTGCTATGCAGGCTTCAGGTCTGATCCAGTGCAGTCCCAGTGGTGGCCACAGTGGTACTTGTGTCACCCCACTCTGAGCTCCAGGCAGCTCAGCACAGAAAAAGAGACTCCATTTGTTTGGGATAAAGTAAGGGCAGAGAACAAAAACCTCTGCCTAGTAATCCAGAGAATTCTTCCAGGTCTTATCCAAGATCATCAACAGAGTACCTTTATGAATCTGCAAGAACCACAGCATTATTGGGCTTGGGGCCTAAGTCCTTTGAATACCTGGAAAGCCTTTCCAAGAAAGACAGGCACAAACAAGCCCAGACTGTGAAGACTACAATAAATACCTAACTCTTCAATGCCCAGACACCAAAGAACATCCACAAGCATCAAGACCATCCAGGAAAACATGACCTCACCAAACAAACTAAGTAAGACACCAGGACCAGTCCTGGAGAAACAGACATATGTGACCTTTCAGACAGAGAATTCAAAATAGCTGTTTTGAGGAAATTCAAAGAAATTCAAGATAACACAGGGAAGGAATTCAGAATTCTATCAGATAAATTTAACAAAGAGATTGAAATAATAAAAAAGAAACAAGAAGAAATTCTGGAGTTGAAAAATGCAGCTGACACACTGAAGAATGCATCAGTCTCTTAATAGCAGAACTGATCAAGCAGAAGAATGAATTATGCCAGGTGTGGTGGCTCACGCCTGTAATCCTGGCACTTTGGGAAACTGAGGCAAGAGGATCGCTTGAGCCCAGGAGTTTGAGATCAGCCTGGGCAACACAGCAAGACTACACACACATACTCTCTCTCTCTCTCTCTCTCTCTCTCTCTCTCTCTCTCTCTCTCTATATATATATATATATATATATATATATACACACATACATCTATATATATACATCTATATATATATATAGATATATGAAATCTTGTAGGCATGCTTCATTATTTTTTATTCTTTTTTTCTTTTGTCTCTTCTGACTGCATTTTCAAATAGCCTATCTTCAAGCTCACTAATTCTAAAGGCCAATATCACTGATTAATATTGATGCAAAAATCCTCAACAAAATACTAGCAAACTGAATTCAACAACATATTAGAAAGATCATTCATCATGGTCAAGCTTTATCCCAGGGATGCAAAGATGTTTCAGCATATGCAAATCAATCAATGTGATACATCACATCAGTAGAATGAAGGACACAAACCATATGTTCATTTCAATTGATGCTGAAAAAGCATATGATAAAATTCAGCATTGCTTCATGATAAAAATCCTCCACAAACTAGGTATAGAAGGAACATACCTCAGCATAATAAAAGCCAATTACAACAGACCCACAGCTATTATCATAATGAATGGGGAAAATGGAAAGTCTTTCCTCCAAGATCTGGAACATGACAAAGAGGCTCACTTTCAGCACCATTATTCAGCAAAGTACTAGAAGTCCTAGCTAGAGCAATCAGGCAAGAGAAAAAAATAAAGGGCATCCAAATTGGAAAGGAAGAAATAAAATTATCCTGGTTTTCAGATGATATGATCTTATATTTGGAAAATTTAGATTCCACCAAAAAAACTATCAGAACTGACAAACTTAGTAAAGTTGCAGGATACAAAACCAGCATACAAAATTCAGTAGCATTTTTTTGAGATGGAGTCTTGCTCTGTCACACAGGCTGGAGTGCAGTGGTGTAATCTTGACTAACTGCGACCTTTGCCTCCCAGGTTTAAGCAATTCTCCTGCCTCAGCCTCCTGAGTAGCTGGAATTACAGGTGTGCACCACCATGCCCAGCTAATTTTTGTATTTTTAGTAGAGATGGGGTTTCACTATGTTGGCCAGGCTGGTCTTGAACTCCTGACCTCAGGTGACCCACCTGCTTTGGCCTCCCAAAGTGCTGGGATTATAGGCATGAGCCACTGCCCCTAGCCAAAATTCAGTAACATTTCTATATGCCAACAGTGAACAATCTGAAAAACAAATTAAAAAAAAAAAATCCCATTTACAATAGCCACAAATAAAATTAAATACATGAGAATTAACTTATCCAAAGAAGTGAAGGAGCTCTACAATGAAAACTGCAAACCTATAAAACACTGATGAAAAAATTGAAGAGGGCATTAAAAAAATGGAAAGATATTCCATGTTCATGGATTGGAAGAATTGAAATTGTTAAAAGGTCCATACTACCCAAAGCAATCTAAAGACTCAATGCAATCCCTATCAAAACACCAATGATGTTTTTCACAGAAATAGAAAAAAATTCTAAAATTTAAATGGAACCACAAAAGACCCAAAATAGCCAAAGCTATCCTAAGCAAAAAGAACAAAACTGGAGGAATCACATTACCTTACTTCAGATTATGCTACAGAGCTACAGTAACCAAAACTGCATAATACTTGCATAAAAGCAGACATGTAGGCCAATGGAACAGAACAGAGAACCCAGACACAAATCTATGCACCTACAGTGAACTAATTTTTGACAAAGGTGCCAAGAACATACATTGGGGAAAGGACAGTCTCTTTAATAAATAGTGCTGGGAAAATTGGATATCCATATGCAGAAGGATGAAACTAGACCCCTATCTCTTGCCACATACAAACATCAAATCAAAGTGGGTTAAAGACTCAAATGTAAGAGCTCAAACTATGAAACTATTACAAGAAAATATTGGGGAGGTTCTCCAGGACATTGATCTGGGCAAAAATTTTCTTGAGTAATACTCTATAGGTACAGACAACCAAAGCAAAAATGGACAAGTGGGATTACATTAAGTTAAAAAGGTTCTGCACAGCAAAGGAAACAATCAACCAAGTGAAGAGTCAATCCACTGAATGGGAGAAAATATTTGCAAACTACCCATCTGACAAGGGATTAATGACGAGAATATATAAGGAGCTCAAACAACTCTGTAGGAAAAAATCTGAATAGACATTTCTCAAAAGAAGACATGCAAATGGCAAACAGACATATGAAAAGGTGCTCAACATCACTGATCATCAGAGAAATACAAATCAAAACTACAATGAGATAACATTTCACTCCAGTTAAAATGGCATTTATGCTGCTGAGGATGTGGAGAAAAGGAAACCCTTGTATACTCTTGGTGGGAATGTAAGTTAGTAGAACCACTATAGAAAACAGTATGGAGGTTCCTCAAAAAACTAAAAATATAGCTACCATATGATCCAGCAATCCCACTGCTGGGTATATATCGAAAAGAAAGAAAATCAGTATATTGAGGAAATACCTGCACTCCCATGTTTTTTGCAGCACTGTTCATAATAGCCAAGATTTGGAAGCAACCTAAGTGTCCATTAACAGATGAATGGGCCAGGTGCGGTGGCTCCCACCTGTAATCCCAGCACTTTGGGAAGCCCAGGTGGGCGGATCACTGAGGTTAGGAGTTCAAGACCAGCCTGGCCAACATGGTGAAACCCTGTCTCTACTAAAAAGACAAAAATTAGCTAGGCATGGTGTCAGGCACCTGTAATCCCAGCTACTTGGGAGGCTGAGGCAGGAGAATCAGTTGAACCTAGGAGGTGGAGGTTGCAGTGAGCCAAGACTGTGCCACTGCACTCCAGCCTGGGCGACAGAGGGAGACTCTGTCTCAAAACAAAACAAAACAAACAAACCAAAAACCAAAAAAAAAAAAAAACCCAGATGAAAGGGTAGAGAAAATATGGTACATATAGACAATAAAGCACTACTCAGTCATTAAAAAAGAATGAGATCCTATTATTTGCAACAACCTGGATGAACTGGAGATCATTATCTAAGGGACATAAGCCAGGCACAGAAAGACAAACATCACATGTTCTCGTTTATTTATGGGAGTTAAAAATTAAAACAACTGGACTGATGGATAGTGAATAGAAGGATGGTTACCAGAGGGTGGGAAGGATAGTGGGACAGCTAGGGGGAAGTAGGAATAGTTAATGGGTACAAAAAGTACTCAGTGTCTACCAGGCTGGTGTCAAACTCCTGACCTCAAGTGATCCACTCATCTTGGCCTCCCAACGTGCTGGAAATACAGGCATGAGCCACTATACCTGGCCTTTTTTTTTTTTTTTAATTTGATATGAGGTCTCTCCCTATCACCCAGGCCCCAGTCAAAAAGAATAAGTAAGACCTACTATTTGATAGCGCAACAGGGTAACTATAATCAATAATAACTTAATTGTACATTTTAAAATAAAAGAGGCTGGGTGTGGTGGCTCTTGCCTGTAATCCCAGCACTTTGGGAGACCAAGACGGGTGGATCACTTGAGGTCAGGAGTTCAAGACCAGTCTGGCCAACATGGTGAAACGCCGTCTTCATTAAAAAAATACAAAAATTAGCTGGGTGTGGTGGTGCATGACTGTAATTCCAGCTACTCCGGAGGCTGAGGCAGGAAAATTGCCTGAACCCGGGAGGCAGAGGTTGCAGGGAGCTGAGATCGTGCCATTGAACTCCAACCTGGATGATAGAGCATGACTCTGTCTCAAAAAACAAAAAACTAAAAACTAAAAGAGGCTAGGTGTGGTGGCTTAGGCCTGTAATCTCAGCACTTTGGGAGTTTGAGGCAGAAGGATCGCTTGAGCCCAGGAGTTTGAGACCAGCCTGGCAATATAGTTAGACCTTGTTTCTTCAAAAAATAATTTTTAAAAAAATTAGCCAAGAGTGGTGGTGTATGCTTGTAGTCTCAGCAACTCAGGAGGCTGAGGCAGGGGGATCGCTTGAGTATAGTTGGATTGTTTGTAACACAAAGGATAAATGCTTCAGGGGATGGATAACCACCCCCCCACCGTCCCCGCTTTTTTTTTTTTTTGAGGTGGAGTTTCACTCTGTTGCCAGGCTGGAGTGCAGTGGGGAAATCTTGGCTCACTGCAACCTCCGCCTCCTTGGTTCAAGCAATTCTCCTGCCTCAGCCTCCCAAGTAGCTGGGACTACAGGCATGCACCACCACGCCCAGCTAATTTTTGTATTTTTAGTAGAGATGAGGTTTCACCATGTTGTCCAGGATAGTCTCAATCTCTTGACCTTGTGATCTGCCCGTCTCGGCCTCCCAAAGTGCTGGGATTACAGGCATGAGCCACTGCGCCCAGCCAGATACCCCATTTATCATGATGTGATTACTACACATTGCATGCTTCCATCAAAGTATCTCATGTACCCCATAAATAAATATATACACCTACCGTGTACCCGCAAAGAATTTTTTAAAAATGAAGTACTGATAAATACTATAACATGGATGAACCTTGAAAACATTATGCTAAGTGAAAGAAGAAAAACACAGGAGGTTACATATTGTTTGATCCATTTATGTGAAATATCCAGACTAGGCAAATCTATAGAGACAAAAAGTAGATCAGTGGCTACCAGAGGCTGGAGAGAAGGAGAAATGGGAAGTGCCTGCTAATGGGGTGTCTTTTGGGGATGATAAAATGTTCTAAAATTAGACTATAGTCATAGCTGCACAACTCTGTGAATATATTAAAGACAATTAAATTATATACTTTGGTGAAATTTATGGTATGTTCATTATATTTCACATCAGTGAAACTGTTAAAAGTAAAAATAAAAATATACTGACAGTGGGTTACTCTCATTAGTTAAATGGCCTAAGGCAGAATTTCTTTTTTCTTTCTTTTTTTTTTTTTTGTTTTTTCACTTCTTTTTTTTTTTTGAGATGGAGTCTCACTCTGTCACCCAGGCTAGAGTGCAGCGGCGTGATCTTGACTCACTGGAACCTCCGCCTCCCAGGTTCAAGCAATTCTGCTGCCTCAGCCTCCCAAGTACCTGGGATTACAGGTACCACCACGCCCGGCTAATTTTTGTATTTTTAGTAGAGATGGGATTTTGGCATGTTGGTCAGAATGGTCTCGAACTCCTGACCTCAAGTGATCAACCTGCCTCAGCCTACCAAAATGTTGGGATTACAGGCGTGAGCCACTGTGCCTGGCCTTTTTGTTTTGTTTTGTTTTATATTTGAGATGAGGTCTCACTCTGTCACCCAGGCCCCAATCTGGTACACAGTGGCACGATCTTGGCTCCCTGCAGCCTCCACCTCCTGGGCTCAAGTGATCCTCCCACCTCAGCCTCCAGAGTAGTTGGGACCACAGGTGCCCATCACCACACTCGGTTAATTTTTTGTATTTTTCATAGAGATGGGGTCTTGCTATGTTGCCCAGATTGGTCTTGAACTCCTGAGCTCAAGCGATCTGCTAGCCTCGGCCTCCCAAAGTGCTGGGACTACAGTCATGAGCCACCACGCCTGGCCATAATGCAGAATTTCATACTGTTAGACACATGTTAAAACACAGCAATTCTGAATGCAAGACTTTTTGTCCTCTCCATGCCCAAATACCCTCATAGGTAGTTTCCACAAAAATCAGAACTGTATTTATATCTTATATTAGCTTCAATACTACTAACTTAAAGTGCCTGAAATAGTTGCTTTTTTATATCTGTTGTTGAGATGGCAACAACATGTTGAGATGGCATTTATATCTGTTGTTATTATACCTTTGTTCTTAAAATGAAGAAGGATCAAAAATATTTTCTATAGCTGTTTGGGGTAACAATCAAGCATCATTGCTCATACTGTATGAGCAATGTAAGGCTCCGTGAACACAGGTACAGATGTAAAGGGTAGGAGAGTAATACAGTCACAGATATTTTATGAGAATAAGGTAATTATGATATGTCAGAAATGAGTAGGTCAGAAACTCTAATGTAATGAATAAAAGCAAATACTATCTGTAATTAAGACACTTTAAGATCAAGGAACTTAAACAAAGTCTTCAAAGCCTTCAAGATGTGATAAATTCCTTAGGTGGGACTGTATGATACATACTTTGTTCTCAATTATTCTGTATTTAATACCATGTATTGAATACAAGTACTGAATATTTACTGGCGATACCTCTCTAGAGGTAGGTAGACTATCAGTGCAGGTCATAAGCCAAATTTCTCAAGTTATGTTTCGTGGCTTTGAAAAATTTCTGTTTCCTATTTCTCTTTCTCCGAGTTATATTTCACATTGCTATGACCTTGTCATTTTATGACTTCATTTTATTGCTAGTCAATAACCGTGAGTGATTAAAACTATTTCTTTTCTTTTCTTTTTCTTTTTCTTTTTTTTTTTTTTTGAGATGGAGTCTCATTCTGTAGCCCAGGCTGGAATGCAGTGGTGCAATCTCGGCTCACTGCAACCTCTGCCTCCTAGGTTCAAGCGATTCTGCTGCCTCAGCCTCCTGAGTAGCTGGGACTACAAGCGCCCACCACCACACTTGGTTAATTTTTGTATTTTTAGTAGAGACAGGGTTTCACCCTGTTGGCCAGGCTGGTCTCTAACTCCAGACCTCAAGTGATCCTCCTGCCTCGGCCTCCCAAAGTGCTGCAATTATAGGCATGAACCAGCGCCCAACCTAAAACTATCTTTTCAATTTATCTGTTCTGAATAATGCCTCATCAATGACTACTCATGGTTGAGTTAGATCACAAATCATTTGAGGTTGTGACCAGCTGCCAGTAACATTATTAGAGCTGACTTGTTTGGTTAACTTTGCTGAACAACTCAATCTGTGCTCACACATATGGAAGTATAGGCTGTAGTAACTGCTCTTGCAGTAAAATAGTGTTGGGTGTATTTTAGAATTTAGCATTTATTGTCTTTACTTATTCTAAATAAATTACTTGCTATGTCATTAGCTAGGATATGGCACATGAGGTGTTTTAGCAATTGTTAGCTATGGTTTACCCAACTATTAGAGATAAAATTAACTATTTCATTGTTTACCAGGTCTGAGTTTGATTTTTTAAGAATATTAGATTTTAGCAGTACTCATAAAAAATGGGCAACTTTTAAAAAGAAATGTGGACATTTTATTTACATTTTTTTTACCATACATGTATTACTTTTGTGATTAAAGATTTACATTTGTTTTTATGTTAGAGCAATTGTGTAGATAATGCTGCAAATAATCACATAGTATGTACTTCCCCTAAAGGGGTAACTATTTCTTGGTCCAAATAATTTTTATCACTTACCTTAGATTAGACTCAGAACTAGGGCAAAATATAGGGTGTCCACTTAAGCCTGAACTTTGGCTAAATAACAAATAATTTTTTAGTATGTCTTAAATATTAAATGGGACTTATCCTAAAAAATTCATTATTTCTCTGAAATTCAGTTTTAACTAGGTATCTTATATTTTTATTTACTAAATCTGGCAACCCTACACTGAACACATTAGATTCTGACAAATAAAATAGCTACCTGCAATATATAATAAAACATTTTTAAAGTGGGAAAAATAAGTAAGAAATGAGGACTTCTATTCTGACAGCATGGTTGATTAGATAGCCTGAACAACACTCATATGAGAACAACCACAAATACTGGATAAAATATGAAACATTTTTCAATGCATTGCTGAGCTGGCAAGACTGTAAGGAATTTCTGAAGTCAAAAACAAAGGGAAAGTGAGAATCAGAGAGGCAAGTAGAGCAGTTTTCATCTCAAGGGTAACTGCTGAATCCTGGTGACAATAAGCTTCAGATTTGACAACCACACAGACACGAGACAGGAGATGAAACCCAGGGCCCAATAAAAGTGGGGAGTCTAATGGGAGTGCTTGTAAAAATGTTGGGCAAAAAAAAAAAAAAACCTATATTTTTAGGTTAAGGGCGAACTAGACATACCTGCCTCACAAAAGGGGACAATAAAAAACCTTGTCTGTCTCCAGTATGAAAGGAGAATCAATCTTGGGGCCCCCAAATCGCTAAGCTAAAGGGAAAAATCAAGCTGGGAACTGCTTAGGGCCAACCTGCCTCCCATTCTATTGAAAGTCACCCCTGTGCTCACTGACATAAATGCATATTTGATTGCCTCCTTTGGAGGGGCGAATCAGAAACTCTAAAGAATGCAACTATTTGTCCCTTATTTACCTATGACCTGGAAGCCCCCTCCCAGCTTCGAGTCTTCCTGCCTTTGCTTTGAGTTGTCCCGCCTTTCTAGACCAATCCAATGTTCATCTTGCATATGTTGATTGATGTCTCATATCTCCCCAAAATGCATAAAACCAAACTGTGCTCTGACCT
Organism: Homo sapiens; assembly: GCF_000001405.40. NCBI lineage: Eukaryota > Metazoa > Chordata > Mammalia > Primates > Hominidae > Homo > Homo sapiens. The sequence continues at coordinate 55,528,724 of NC_000014.9, forward strand.
CCTTGGGCACATGTCTGAGGCTGTGTCACGGGCATGTGTCCTCAACCTTGGCAAAATAAACTTTCTAAATTAACTGAGACCTGTCTCAGATTTTTGGGGTTCACACCAGCTTGATGCTAGATGGAAGGGGAAAAAAATTTCTCCCTGAGAATTCACATCCACAAGCCAATCTTCATGTGATTTTTCAGGCTAAATTATTTTTATTTTTATTTTTTTTTTGAGATGGAGTCTCGCTCTGTCGCCCAGGCTGGAGTGCAGTGGCATGATCTTGGCTCACTGCAACCTCTGCCTCCCAGGTTCAAGCCATTTTCCTGCCTTAGCCTCCCGAGTAGCTGGGATTACAGGCATGTGCCGCCACACCTGGCTAATTTTTTATGTTTTTGGTAGAGATGGGGTTTCACCATGTTGGCCAGGCTGGTCTCGAACTCCTGACCTCAAGTGATCTGCCCAACTCGGCCTCCGAAAGTGCTGGGATTACAGACATGAGCCACTGCGCCTGGCCTTTTCAGCCTAAATTAATACCACCTACATGTCCTGAAAACCTCAAGTCAATTTTTTAAAGTGATCCTGGCTACTAAGTGAATGAAGTACCTGGAAGAAGCAAATATAAATATTCTTTCAAGAAACCTACTTTTAACCCAAATCTGAAAGAATTTCCACTGAAGAGATTCCAAGTAATATAAATGTATTGTAAAACAAACAAAATTACAACAAAACAAAACAAAACACAGGAAGCAAAGCACCATGATCAAGAGCCAGCAGAAACAACAGACTATAGCACCAAATCTGTAAATATTTCACATATTGGGATTATCAGATATGGATCCTATTCTATCCTGCTCTATTCTATTACATTCTTACTTAAAACATTTAAAGAAATTAAAACTTCTAGAAATAAAAAAATGAAATTAAAAATTCAACTTCATACTGCAAAAGAGAAATTGGAAGCTGGAGCTGAAAAAATTAAGCAGGGGGCAGCAATTAAAGACAGGAATACGGAAAATACGAAAGAGATGGTAAGAAACGTAAAGTGAAAAGATCTAACATATGCCTAATGGGAGTTCCAAAAGGAAAGTAGAGAGGAAATAAAGCTGAGCCAATATTTGAAAAGTTAATGGCTGAGAATTTTCCAGAAGTGATGAAAAACACCAATCCTCAAATTCAAGTTTTCTGATATATCTCAAGTAGCATCAATAAAAAGAAATCCACATCACAGGGTGTGACTTTCCACCAGTGAAATTGTGGAGCAACAATAAGAGAGGAGATATGAAAAGCACCCAGAACGAAGGACAGATTACTTGTAAGGGATGACTGATGGCTAAATTCTCAGCAGAAAAAATAACTGTCGATCTAAAATTGCATATCTTGTGAAATGATTTTTCAAGAATGAAGGAAAAAATACATTTTCATATAAACAAAAACTATATGAGCTTACCACCAAGAGTCCTGTACCAAAGGGAATTCTAAAGGATATCATCGACACAAATGAAATATAGCTCCAGATCAGAGGTCTGAGACATAAGAAGGAATCACAAGGAAAGAAACAGAAATGTATGTGGGTCAATTTTCTGGTATGTTATTTGTGGAGCTAAAAAAGAACTAATTTATAAGCTATCTAAGGTATTTGTATTGTTTTGATGGGTTTTTATTTAAAACAGCTATATCTATATCTATATGTATCTATATATCTATATATCTGTTCCTTATTCCTTTGGAGTAAGGAAATGGAGGCAGAAACAGAGGGAACTCAGTTCAAAAAAAGGCAAGAAAGGAGAAAACAGAAAAAGTGTGACAGATAAGAAGTGACAGTGGTGGGAACTGGATGGTATCCAGGCTTGAAGGTGCTGAGATTTGGCTGCCTGGGGCCAGCGGGGAGGGGAAGCTGAGCTTCAGCATGGTCCTGGAAACTAGGAGTAGTTCCCTACTGGGACACCACTCCTGCCTCAGGGGCTGGCTTGGCAAGAGTATAGTGATCCAGGGTGCAATGCCCAAACAGCCAGCACGCTCAAGCATGTTTGGGTATCATTAGTCCCAGAAAACCCAGTGCAGAGTGGCATCTGCTTCAGGAGAGCTGTTGCTGTTAGGCAGTCCTGCGCTGGGGGTGGGAGTGGGGGATGCAGAGAGCTTGAGAAGGGAAGCTAGCTGCAGTTGTTTCAGGGTTCAGAGAGGGCCACTGCGCTGCAGGGAGACAGCAGTGTGACAGGGCAGGGTACCTGGGCAGGAGCTAAGGGGAGAATCCAGTCTGGTTGATGGTGCAGAATGTTTGAGGAGCCCTGCAAGACCCAGTCTGGGGGTTTGGTCTCTGGTTTCCAGGTACTGAGGAAGATTGAGACAGAGGAGGAAGGCTAAAAGAATGTCATCTTTCTATTGTCATCTCTCCTTTCCAATTACTCTCCCTCTAGGTCAGAAGCATTTCTATGTGCTTTTTCTACTGGTAAATCTACATTAAGAGACCTTCAGTTTTCAGAAATTGCCCCTGTCTTTTCATTACAATTCTAGGTATGAATTTTTACCTCAGTAAGGTTGTAAGTAGGCAACAAAACCATATCAGCCGTAAAGCTTTTTTTTTTTGAAGACAGAGTCTTGCTCTGTCACCCAGGCTGGGGTGCAGTGGTACAATTTTGGCTCACTGCAATCTCCGCCTCCCAGATTCAAACGATTCTCCTGCCTCAGCCTCCTGAGTAGCTGGGATTACAGGTGCATGCCGCTTGGCTAATTTTTCTGTATTTTAGTAGAGACAGGATTTCACTGTGTTGCCCAGGCTGGTCTCGAACTGCTGAGCTCAGGCAATCTGCCCGCCTCGGCCTCCCAAAGTGCTGGGATTACAGGTGTGAGCCACCGCGCTGGGCCTTTTTGTTTGTTTTTAAGTATATCTTTTCTGTAGGCAACAACCAAGTGGCAAAGTAAGTACTTTTAACACTATTTACTAATAGGCTTGTGGAAATCATTATCAACCTAAAGAAATACAACTACTGTAAGAAAGCTTTGCTGGTAAAAGGAAACAAAAATAGTGTCACTAGAAGTTGCATTTTTCTGTGGAAATGTGATACCATCTATAAGAAAATATTAAATCCTTAAAAAAAACAAAAACAAAAAAACAAAAAAAACTAGCAGTTCAGCCCAGGCATGGTGGCTCACGCCTGTTCTCCCAGCACTTGGGGAGGCCGAGGCAGGTGGATTACCTGGAGTCAGGAGTTTGAGACCAGTCTGGTCAACATGGCAAAACCCTGTCTCTACTAAAAAGACAAAAATTAGCTGGGTGTGGTTGCGCACGCCTGTAATCCCAGCTACTCAGGAGGCTGAGGCAGGAGAATAGCTTGAACCCAGGAGGCAGAGGTTGCAGTGAGCCGTGATCGCATCACTGTACTCCAGCCCGGGCGACAGAGTGAGACTCCATCTCAAAAACAAATAAATAAATAAATAATAATAAACTAGCAGTTCTGAGAGCCCCAAGAACCATTCATTTATTCACTCAACATTTACTATGTGCCTTTTCTATGCCAGAGACTGTGCTGTTGATAAAGTGAATGAAACATGGTTCTAGACTTTGAAAGACTTACTGCTAGTAGAGGGAGAGAAATATGTAAAAAAATAGCTAACAACAACAAAAAATCATAATTCTAATAAAATGCTTTCATGAATGAATAGACAAGAGCTAACATTTATTGTCAAGCACTATATAAAGTGCTCTATATCAACAATCAAATTCAATAATCAAAGTATTGATAATCAAATTCAACCCATATGACAGGCATATGTGGTGAGTGCTATTATTTTCTTCATTTTATTGATGAAGAAACTGAGCTCAGAGAGGTTTAAAGATGTGCCTGAGTTAGTAAGTAGTAGAGTTGGATTCAAACCAGTGATCTCTAGCAGTTGAGGAAAAGTCCATGAGAACATGACTCTCAAAAAACAATTAGTGCTTGAGTCCAGGAGTTGGAGACCAGTCTGGGCAACATAGGAGACGCTGTCTCTACAAATAATTTTAAAAATTAGCCAGGTGTCATGGCCCACACTTGTGGTCCCAGCTACTTAGGAGGCTGAGGTGGGAGGATCACCTGAGTCTGGGAGGTCAAGGCTGCAGTGAGCTGTTATTGCGCCATTGCACTCCAGCCTGGACAACAGAGCAAGACCCCACCCTGTAAATTAGGTATTTCCTGGTATGAAGGCTGGAGGAGATGAGTGAGGGTAGGGCAGTCCTGGAAAGAGAGAAGATGGCGCAAGGGTTTGGGAGACAGGATCCCTGGGGTCTGTTAGGGATGCAGGGAGCAATTGGTAGAGCACTGGGTGACGGGTGGGGTGGAGAGGGGAGAGAAGGCTGCAGAAGCAGCAGGGCCCAGAGCACAGGCCCCTTGTGTCCTATTGAGGAATGGCAGGTTTGTTTCATGAAAGGCACTTAAGCAGGAGAGTGACAGGATCAGATGGGCATTTCAGCACAATTGTTCTGGCGGCAGTGAGGATTAGAGAAAAGGAGGCAGGAAACTATTTGTCTCTGTCTCGGGAGACCAGGAAAGTAATCCCGTTCCTGAGAATTTAGCCTGGAGAAACTCTCAAACATCTGTTCAAAAACAGCAATGCTCCACTGTTTGTATTAGCAAAAAACCCTAAATGTTCTTCCACAGAGAATAAATAAATAGATTGTAGTATAGAGCCATAATAGAATACCATATGGTAGTTAACATGAATGAATTAGGGCAACATGTGGCAAAAAGAAGAAAAAACAAAATTGAGTGAAGGAAGCAGGCTGCAGAGAATATATACAGTATGACGTTATTTTAGTAAAGTTTAAAAACCTACAAAGTGCACTTTGAATTGTTTATGAACATATAAATGTCTACAGAAAATATTAACATACGTGAGATTGATAATAGCAAATTCATGAGAATGCCCTGGGAAAGGGGGACTCAGGGACTAGGGGACGAGCTAGTCAAGGTGGGTTTCAATACCTATATTTTTATATAATATGTATTAATACATATGTAGTAAGTAAGTAGTGGAGCTGGATTCAAACCAGTGACCTCTGGCAGTTGAAATATACATTAAATACATAAATTTATATATATTTCTTTAAATAAACTGGCAAACATGACATGATAATGTTGAGATGTTGATAAAACTAGTAGAACACAATTGTTTATTATTCTCTGAACTCAATTGTATATTTGAAACAGATTATGTCATTTTTAAAAAGTGAAGCTTGGACCCAAAAGCAAAAGAACAAAGAGGAAGAAAGAAAAGAAAGCAAGCACTCTGGAAGCAGTGCAGCCCAAGACAGGGAGCTGGGCGATAGACCCCGAGATGTCCTCCAAGAAGTGGCGTGAACTGGTGCAGTGGCAGCAGGAAAGGGAGGCCGTGGGAAGCAGGTGGACTGTTGGGTCATGGGAAGTGGGGGAGGCGGTGGAATCCAAATGACTCCCAGCATTTTGGCTGGTGTGGCTGAGTGGGTGGACAAGCCAATCACCAAGAAAGGGAATGTAGGAGAAGTAACAGGTTTGGCTGGGTTGTGATGCACAAAGATCAGTTTCAGACTTGTTCAGTTTGACATTCTTCCAGGAAGAAACATCCAATATGCAATCTGATTTTTAGGCTGGGGGTTCAAGGTCTGGGACAGAAATAGAAATTTGGTCATCATCAGCATTTGGGGGAAATCATGATCATTATGAGATTATAAGTCTTAATTTAACAAAAATGCACATATATACTATGCATAACAATTAAAATGTTTTGTTTTGCTTGTTTTTGTTTTTTAAAGAGACAGGGTCTTGCTCTGTTGTCCAGGCTGGAGTGCAGTGGTGCTGTCATAGCTTGCTGCAGCTTTGGACTCCTGGGCTCAAGTGATCCTCTCACCTCAGCCTCCTGAGTGGCTGGGACTACAGGCACGAACTACCATGCCTGTCTAATTTTTAAATTTTTTGTAGAGATGGAGTCTTGCTATGTTGTCCAGGCTGGTCTTGAACTTCTGGCCTCAAGTGACTTTCCTGCCTTGGCCTCCCAAAGTGCTGGAATTATGGGGGTGAGCCACAGCACCTGGCTAAAATATATTTTAATGGAAGATGAGCTCAGGTACAAGAAGTATCATATGTAAGTAAAATACTAATTCTGACTTTTACTCATTGTATTGGAAATTCTAAAAGTAGTAACCTGCCCCATTACCTATGATGTGGAGTATTGTGTGGTCTGAAGGAACTTAATAATGATCCACCAGCAAAAAGACATTGCCAAATCACCAATGGGAAACCAACCTGATGTTGGCAACCCAGCTAATGCTCAGAATCACCAGGGTAATCTACAAAAGTGATGCAGAATTCAGACTGACTGAACCAGAATCCTGGGGGCGGGGCCTAAGAATCAGATTTTTGAAAAGCTCCATAATCAGGCTGGTCATTGGTTGGGTGTAGGAGATGCGGTAACAGTTCCTGGACAGCAGTCGCCATCTGCCTTGGTGGGGTCTGTCTGCCTCTGTGTGATGCTCCACTGGGACCTTGGAAAAATCATTTCAACTCTTTGTTTTTTGGTTTGTTTATCTATAAATGGGGGTAAAAATAGTACCTACTCTTGGGTTAGCTGTAAGGATTAAATGAATTAATTTATGTCAACTACTTATAATAGGGTCTGGCACAATAGTATAAACATGCCATAAAAGATAGTTACTAGTTTTTATTAACATATATGCCACAAGTGCACTGGCACACCATTTCTGCTACTATTTTTGTTAACAAAAATATTCTAATAATATTTTTTAAAAGAATAATAGTCTATACTTGAGTCCTTTATGCTAAGATTGTCACTTCTCCTATCTTCCAAGCCTCCTGAGGTTTTTGCCTTACTTGTTCTATTTCTTTGGCACAGGACATTTATCCTGGAGCTATTGGAAACATGGAGGCATATTTTATGCACTAACTAGCCTGAGAGAGTTTTGGCATTCAATAGTAGGTGGATTCTGATTCAAATGGTTTATTACTCTCCAGTGCCTCAGCAGACCTGATGATATTCAGAGTTTCTGGCAGCTTCAGAGGCAGTATTTCATTGGTTAAGAAAATTGCTTCTAAGCAAATCTGGTTTGTTGGACTTCAGGCCCATGCATGCCCTAAATACCTAATTATATGGACTTAAACTGATTTAGAAATATTGTATTCCAACCAGATTTTTGAAGGGAAGATTCCCGAATTATTTTGGTAAACATAGGGTATTAATCCAAAAAGGTGCATAAAGATGAAAAAGAACACATGTACATTATAGACATACTCTTAACCAATCTTACTAATCACCTCATGCTAACCATGCACCTTGGGTATATTTTGTGAATACCATGATGACTCATCTTGACAGAATTCCTTCCTTTGAGCTGGAGATGCAAGGTTAAAAAAAAAAAAGAATTTTCCTTTACGTTGAAAGTTACTCAGTAGTTTTGACTTCATGAGAAGCTAATAATTATAAGATTTTTACCTATTAAGCAGTTAATTCTAAACAATTACTAAAGCACATTTGGAGAGCTAAGACAAAACAAAGCCAAGTGAGAGAGGGAATGAAATGATGCAGCATTAAAATTTCAACACAGAATAAAAATGCTCAACTTTACCAGTCATTAGGGAAATGCAAATTAAAACCACAGGGAAATACCACTACATACTTAGCAGAATGGCTACAATCAGAAAAACTGTCAATCAACTGTTGACAAGGATGTGGAGGAACTGGACCTCTCAAATACTGCTGGTGAAATTGCAAAATGGTACAACCACTTTGGAATCAGTTTGACAGTTTCTTATAAAGTTGAACTATGCTACTATTTGTCCCAGCAGTCTCACTCTCAGGTATTTACCCAAGAGAGATGAAAACTTAAAACAAACACCTTTATGTAAATACTTATAGCAGCTTTATTCATAATTATCCCAACCTGGAAACAACCCAAATGTCCTTCAGTGGGTGAATGAATAAATAATCTCTGGTATATCCATGTGGAAGGCTGAATAATGACCCTTCAGATAATATCATGGCCTGATACCTGGAACCTGTGAATGTTACCTTATATGGCAAAGAAAAAGAAAAAAAGACTGCAAATGTGATTAAGTTAAGGATCCTGGCATGGGGAGATTTCATGTATCCTTATAAATGAAAGTTAAGGGGAGATTTGACTCTAGACAGACAGAAGATGAGGCACTATGACCAGAGAGGCAAAGATTGGAGTGATGTGGCCATAAGCCAAGGAATGCTGGCAGCCACCAGTAGCTGGCAAGTAACAGATTAGCCCCTAAAATTTCTAGAGGCCCTGCCAACACCTTGATTTTAGTCCAGTAATACTGATTTTGGACTTCTGGCCTCCAGAACTGTGAGAGAATAAATTTCTGTTGCTTTAAGCTATCAATGTGGTAATTTCTTATAGCAGCCACAAGAAACTAATGCCCCGCACAATAGAATACTATTCAGTGATAAAAAACGAACCAACTATTGATATATACAACAACATGAATGAATCTCTGATGTATTATGCTTAGTGAAAGAAAGACTCAAAAGGCTGTATCTTTCATATATCACTGTATGATTTCATTTCTATAACATCCTTGGAAAGGCAAAACTACAGGAATCAAGAACAGATCCATGGTTGCTGGAGTTAAGGTTGATTATGAAGGAGCAGCCTCAAGAAGATTTTTGGGATGACAGAACTGTTTTTGTTTTGTTTTGTTTTTTTAAGACAGAGTCTCACTGTGTCACCTAGGCTGGAGTGTAGTGGCACAATCTCGGCTCACTGTAACCTCTACCTCCTGGATTCAAGTGATTCTCCTGCCTCAGCCTCCCAAGTAGCCGGGATTACAGGTACCCGCCACCATGCTTGGATATTTTTTGTATTTTTAGTAGAGACAGGGTTTCTCCATGTTGGCCAGGCTGGTCTCAAACTTCTGACCTCAGGTGATCCGCCTGCCTCGGCCTCCCAAGGTGCTGGGATTACAGGTGCGAGCCACCACGCTCAGCCAACAGAACTGTTTTGAATGTTGATTGTGATGGTGGTTTATACACTCTATTTACTTGTCAAAACTCAAAAAACTGTATAGCAAAGAGAGTAAATATTACTGTATGTATACTTTAAAATAAAATTTAAAAAACAGCTCAAGCTTTAGCAGCCAGGAAAAATGTTGAAGTGTTAAACTTCAAAGATCATGTAACACAGGTTCCTGCCCTAAGAAGCACTGGTTTTCAACTCAGACCTCAATCAGAAAGTTTCTCTTTCTATCAAAGCAGAAGTTAACCCTTTCTTTGGTGGCTGACAATGTAGCAACACAAAAGAGTGGAACTGAGAGCATCTTTTTATAGACCACTGGAGAGAGAACACAGAGTTCATATGAGAGAGAAGAGAATGCTCCTGGGCCATGAGAAGAGAGAGAAGCCTCATTTCCAGGGCACTTGGTAACAGGAGTCTGCATTTGTAGGGTGTATTAAAAGGAACAAACTTCTTTAAGAACTATCCTTGGCCAGGCGCAGTGGCTCACGCCTGTAATCCCAGCACTTTGGGAGGCCGAGGCAGGCGGATCATGAGGTCAGGAGATCAAGACCATCCTGGCTCACGTGGTGAAACCCTGTCTCTACTAAAAAAAATACAAAAAATTAGCCAGGTGTGGTGGTGGCAGGTGCCTGTAGTCCCAGCTACTTGGGAGGCTGAGGCAGGAGAATGGCGTGAACCCAGGAGGTGGAGCTTGCAGTGAGCCGAGATCATGCCACTGCACTCCAGCCTGGGCGACAGAGCAAGACTCTGTCTCAAAAAAAAAAAAAAAAAAAAAAAAGAGAACTGTTCTTAAGGTGAATTTCATTTATTTATTTATTTATTTTTGAGATAGAGTCTTGCTCTGTCGCCAGGCTGGAGTGCAGTGGCGCAATCTTGGCTCACTGCAACCTCCGCTTCCTGGGTTCAAGCAATTCTCCTGCCTCAGGCACCTGAGTAGCTGGGACTACAGGCACGTGCCACCATGCCCAGCTAATTTTTGTATTTTTAGTAGAGATGGGGTTTCACCATGTTGGCCAGGATGGTCTCAATCTCTTGACCTCATGATCCGCCCTCCCATAGTGCTGGGATTACAGATGTGAGCCACTGCGCCCAGCAAGGTGAATTTTAAACAACCAAAGACTGAGAATTTCTGCTAAAGGTCAAGGATGCAAGAAAGTGACATCCTACTGCATGCAGATCTGAGTGAGACAAGAGATGAGAGGCATAGCAGAGTTTGGACAGTACAAAATGTAAAGTGGACCAGAGTAGAGCCTATTCTCAGTCATATCAACCTCACTAAAGGTTTTCACTCAGAAGGGAATGAGTGTTTCTGACAGAATCCTTGCAACATTGGTCATCTATAGTATTCATTATGCTTGACTGTAGTGTTAGCATTCCATGTACTAGTTCTGTTATTGTCAACAGTTCTTTTGTTGCTTTCACAAAATTCAATGTTGAAGTAACCCTTTTAGGCACTGCTGCCATGCAGGCTTGTTAATTAGAAGCAAGTTGAATGCTGGAGGATGATTACCAAAAATGATCGTTTGAGTTTTGAAATACTGTAAATACCATCTCTGAAACTTGTGTGGTCCAAAAACTTAAGCAGTACAAAATGCAGTCTTGTTATTTTGTGGTTAATAAAACTATTCAGAGTGCAAAATTACAACAAGGTAGAGTTGTTCATTGATTGCCCTGGATAATTTTAAGAGTTTGACTCTGCTATCCAGTCTATCCTGGTCCCTGCTGGAGTTTGATATCATATGGCAGCAGTTTATTGACATAAATATTTCTGGGGACAATTCTGGGTCCTGTGGCTGGCTGAGTCTTCTGGGACAGCAAAAATGATTCCAGGAATCTCTGGGTTAGTTGGCTCTCATCTCGATGGCTTAATCCAGAGACTGGGCCAAGAATATACTGTGGACTCAGGGACTCACTTCAAACTCTGCACTTCTTGAGATTGGAATTGTATGCATTTTCCCTCCCTGGCCTAGGCCTCATTTTCATATTCCTCTGCTGAAGATAATAATTTTCGCTGACTCTTGTTTGAGAATCAGGGTTGGGCAGATAATGGAAGCCAATTGACAATTGCCTTATATTTGAATTAATATAATTTCAGGTATGTCATCACTGTGGGTTTTGTTCGTTTGTTTTTATAGTAATTGGGATTAATTCATTATCTTTGACAAGTTGAAATCAGGCCAATTATCTGTTAGGCCAGTCGAAGTTTGAGAAGAAAAAACATGTTGTCATCTTAAAATGTAGTGATACTGAGCCTGCTTGTCCTCAGATATATTCCTCACTCTTCTCCTGCTCTGCAGGCCTGTTTCTCAGCACCTTGTACCAACTGAAATCTAGCTGAGTTTGACTAATGGGAGGCTGTTATAGCCAGAATAATGGTTCCTCAAAGATGTCCACACATTGCCTGGCAAAAGGGACTTTGTAGATGTGATTAAGGTTATGAGATGGAAAGATTATTGTGAATTAGCCATGTGGACTCACTCTAATCATATGAGCCCTTAAAACAGGAGAGAGTTCTCCGGCTGGGAGCAGGAGAGATAAGGCAGAGGGGAAGTCCGGGAAATTGGAAGCATGAGAAAGACTTGATCTGCCATTGCTGGCTCTGAAGATGAAGGGAGGCATGAACCAAGGAATGTGGGGGCAGCCTCTAGAGGTTGAAAGTCACTCCTATTTGACACTAAAGAAAGGAAACTGGGACCACAGTCTTACATTATCATGGAGCTGAATTTGCCAACAACCTGAAAGGGCTTGGAAGCAGATTCATACCTAGAGCCTTCAGAAAGGAGTGCAGCCCTGCCAACATCTTGATTTTGACCTTATGAGACTCTAAATAGGGGACCCAGGTGAGCCACACTGTACTGGGACTTCTGCTGTACATTTGTGACCCGTTGGGGTTGTAGTAATATTAGTTTTTCATATAGTCCCTCCAACCCAAGGGTCCTAAGAGCTTCCTGCTGTTGCTCTGCCCATCTGAGGTAACATCCATTCTCAGGTAGTCTTCTCAGGTAGTCTCAGATGCTGAGATCCAGTCTCAGCATCTTTTATCTCCTGTGTTATCAAGTCAGTGTAGTAAATTCCCTCTGCTTTAACTATTCTGAGTGGTTTCGATGTCCTAATTTGACCCTGTGTGACAATTATAGGATAATAGATATCTTGAAGTTTTTGGTGGTGTTGGAAGGGGGATGCAATCATTCATTCATTCAATAAACATTTATTGACAAGTCTATACTATATATCAGCAGTGAACAGGGAAGACAATCCTTGACTTCAATGAACTCTGCTCTTTAGTCAGGTAGGCAGAACTCTAATCAGGAATTGAAATAAAGCATTAGTATTGTGATAAGCGAAGAACAGAGGCCTATGAGAACATAGAGCAGGGAGTTCTTAAACTGATCTACGATCTAGAGAAGGATTCAATAAAGAGGAAATATTTAATGAGACTTGAAGATTGAGTAGGCTTATCCAGATCTTCCAAAAGTATAATTAATAAGGTGGGAAAGTGGGGTTGGTAGAGATTAAAACAACCCTGTTTTCTCCTGCTAGAACTTTAAATTGTTTTATTAAAAACAGTTTCTCTCAGTCCTGACTCTGTTGATAATATCAAGGTATTGGTTTTGAATAAACACTATGAGTCAGCAGGGTTACAGTAAACTCATAAGCTTAGTCAATGTCTGATTCTTGTCTGTGCAGAAGGAATGAATCAATAATGTGAAGGAAAGGTTAATACCATTTTCAAATATTATAAAGTTCTGTTGGATTGCCTAACCCAGCAGCCATTCTCAATTCCTTTCTTGCCTGCCCATCACATTTTCATTCAGAGGCTTCTTTTCCCAGCCTCTTGTAGCTGGGAGCATCCCTGAAACATAGGTCTGGTCAACCAGACTGAAGCAGGATTTGTTGAGGATTTTCTGTCTTCCTAGTGAAAAGGACAGACGGGGCTTATGCTGCTTTTCCTCTCTTCGTACCTTGAATTGAGATATAATGTCTGAAATCACAACAGCTATTTTGTGGTCACGAGGCAACAAATGCAAATTTAAAAGCCATTATGATAAAGCATGGTCTATAGTAGAAGAGTATTTCCCAAATCCTGTTTGCTCCTTATATAGAATCTAGCCTTAGAAGCCTTTGACTTGAGCTTTACTGAGGAAGAAACTGCATATGTCAAGCAGGAAAAACAAAAGCAAAAATGAGCCTTTTTCTTTACTATATAAGTAATATGTGTCAATTTTAGATAAATTACATATGATGTGTGAATTTTTAAAAAACCTAGATAGGACTTCTTGTTTCCCACCTGGCATATAAGAAGCTTAGAAGTTACCACGCTGGCCTTACAATAAGTAAAAAGCTGAACAAACTGAAAAATCGAGAACTCTTCTTAGATCTGTCAGAGAGTGAGATCACAGGGCAAACTGCTGCCTCAAAGATTGGAGAGAGACAGGCAGAAGCAGAATCACAACTTACTGGAGCAGAAACCTCTGCGGAACCAGTGACAGGATAACTGAACTGTAATTGATGAATTAATAGAGGCTCAGTGTGGGCAGCTCTCAGAGTTAAAAATTCCAGGGAGACCCAGTCAAGGTGGGGATGGGGGCACACTTTTGTGAGTTTTACTTCTGGGAACTCTACCAGCTCCTCACAATAAATATCGGATAATGTTATTGGATAATAAAGGAATAGGAACAATATTTGAAGCAATAATGACTGAGAATTTCCCCCAAATTAATGTCAGACACCAAACCACAGATCCAGGAAGCTCAAAATCAAGCAAGATAAATGCCAAAAACATTGCAACTATACATACGATATTAGATCATAAATATTGTGCTTCTGGCAGGGGGAGGGGAAAAAGAAACCATTTTGAAATACACCAGAGCGTTTTATTTTTCCTAACAAGGCCTGCCTCAGGAGAAACTATTTTACCAGAGCCCTACTTGCTGGGGCTTTATCACGGCCTAACCTACCTGGGGGAAGTGAAAGACCCAACTCCAGCCTCCTCTAGCTATCTTGTCTCACCTAAGAGGAAAAACACCTGAAAAGCACTTGTGAAGTTCACAGTGCAGGGGCACAGGCTCAACAAAAGACTGAGACCAGGCTGGGTGCAGTGGCTCACAACTGTAATCCTAGCACTTTGGGAGGCTGAGGCGGGCGGATCACCAGAGGTCAGGAGTTTGAGACCAGCCTGGCCAACGTGGTGAAACCCCGTCTCTACTAAAAATACAAAAATTAGACAGGCATGGTGGTGCATGCCTACAATCCCAGCCACTTGGGAGGCTGAGGCAGGAGAATTGCTTGAACCAGGGAGGCAGAGGTTGCAGTGAGCTGAGATTGCGCCACTGTACTCCAGCCTGGGCGACAGAGCAAGACTCTGTCTCAAAAAAAAAAAAGAAAGACAACAACAATAAAAACTGAGACCTAATCGTAGGACTATAGAACACTTCCTCCCCCTCCGCCCAGACACCTTACCACTGCATTACTAAAATCCTATTTACTTTACTTTTTTTTTTTAAAACTCAGTACACCATGTTCACCTTTAACAAAAGCTTAAAAGGCATACTAAAAGGCAAAAAATGCTGTTTGAAGAGACTGAATGAGCATCAGAACCAGACTCAGATATGACAGGAATGTTGGAATTATCTGACTAGGAATTTAAAAAACTATAATTGCTCTCTCCTCCTGCCACCCAAGATGCTGAAAAGAAGGCCAAGGGCAAAAAGGTGGCTCTGGCCTCTGCTGTCGTAAAGAAGCAGCAGGCCAAGAAAGTGGTGAATCCCTGTTTGAGAAAAAGCCTAAGAATTCTGGCATCGGACAGGACATCCGGCCTGAAAGCGAGCTCACTCGTTTTGTGAAATGGCCCCACTATATGAGGGCAGAGAGCCATTCTCTATAAGCGGCTGAAAGTGCCTCTTGCGATTAACCAGTTTACCCAGGACCTGGAAGGCCAAACAGCTACTCAGCTGTTTAAGCTGGCCCAGAGACAAAGCAAGAGAAGCAGCAGAGGCTGTTGGCCCTGGCTGAGAAGAAAGCTCTGGGCAAAGGGGGCATCCCCACTAAGAGACCACCGGTCCTTCGAGCAGGAGTTAACACCGTCACCACCTTGGTGGAGAACAAGAAGGCTCAGCCCGTGGTGACTGCACAGGATGTCGAGCCCATCAAGCTGGTTGTCTTCCTGCCTGCCCTGTGCCATAAAATGGAGGTCCCTTACTGCGTTATCAAAAGGAAGGCAAGGCTGGGATGTCTAGTCCACAGGAAGACCTGCACCAATGCTGCTTTCACACAGGTTAACTCGGAAAACAAAGGGGCTTTGGCTAAGCTGGTGGAAGCTATCAGGACCAATTACAATGACAGATCTGATGAGATCTGCCGTCACTGGGGAGGCAAGGCCCTGGGTCCCAAGTCTGTGGCTCACATTGCCCATATGGAAAAGGCAAAGGCTAAAGAACTTGCCACCAAAGTGAGTTAAAGGTACACTGTTGAGTTTTCTGTATATAAAAATAATTAAAATAATACAAATTCTCCCAAAAAAACTATAATCGATAAGCTAAGGGTTTTAATGATAAAAGTAGACAACATGGAATAGACAAATAACATAAACAGAGAGATGAGTATTCTAAAAAAATGCTAGAGATATGAAAAGACTGTTACAGAAATGAAGAATGCCTTTGATGGGCTCATTAGAGACTGGATATGGCTAAGGAAAGAATCTCTGAGCTAGAGGATATGGCAATAGGAACTTGTAAAACTGAAAAGCAGAGAGAAAAAAGACTGAAAAATCAGAACACAATATTCAAAACTGTGGGACAACTACAGAAAGTATAGCATATACATAAATGGGAATACCAGAAGGATAAGAAAGGAACAGAAGCAATATTTGAAGCAATAAAGACTGAGAATTTCCCCAAATTAATGTCAGACACCAAAGCACAGATCCAGGAAGCTCAGAGAACATCAAGCAGGATAAATGCCAAAAAAAAAAAAAAAAAAAAAATTACAACTAAACATATTATATTCAAATTTCAGATGAAGACAAAGAAAAATTTGAAAAGAGCCAGAGAAACAATAATCTCCCTTTTGAGGAAGAAAGATAAGGATTACATATGACCTCTCCACAGTAACCATGCAAACAAGAAGAGAATGGAGTAAAATATTTAAAAGTACTAAGAGGAGGAAAAAAAATCCACCAACCGGCTGGGCGTGGTGGCTCATGCCTATAATCCCAGCACTTTGGGAGGCTGAGGCCGGTGGATCACCTGATGTCAGGAGTTCGAGACCAGCCTGGCCAACATGGTGAAACCCTGTCTCTACTAAAAATAAAAAACTTAGCTGGGCATGGTGGCGCATGCCTGTAATCCCAGCTACTCGGGAGGCTGAGGCAGGAGAATCACTTGAACCTGGGAGGCAGAGGTTGCAGTGAGAGATCATGCCACTGCTCTCCAGCCTGGCCCACAGAGCAAGACTTTGTCTCAAAAAAAAGAAAGAAAGAAAAGAAAAGAAAAGAAACCAACTTACATAATGATAAAAGGGTCAGTATTCCAAGAAGACATAATAATCCTTAATATGTATGCACCTAACTATAGGACATCAAAATACATAAAGTGAAAACTGATAGAATTGCAAGGAGAAATAGATGAACCCACTATTATAGTTGGAGATTTTAACACCCCTGTATCAGAAATGGACAAATACAGCAGACAGAAAATCAGTAAGTACATAGTTGAACTTAACAGCACCATCCATCAACAGGATATAGTTGGTATCTGTAGATTACTTCATCCAATAACAGGAGAAGATAGATTCTTCTCAAGATTCCATGGAACATTCACCAAGGCAGACCCATTTAATTTTTAACAAATTAAAAAGAATAAAAATCATACAATATCTCCTCTCAGACCACAATGAAATTAAACTTAGAAATCAATAACAGAAAGATATCTGGAAAATCCCCAAATACTTGGAGATTAAACACTTCGAAATAACACATAAGTCAAAAAAGAAATCTCAAGAAAAATTAAAAAATATTTTGAACTAAATGAAAGGAAAATACAACTTATCAAAATTTGTGGGATGCAGTGAAAGCAGTGCTTAGAAGGAAACTTATAGCATTAAATAAATATATTAGAAAAGAAGAAAAATCTACAATCAATCATCTAAGCTTCCACCTAAGTAAACTAGAAAAGGAAGAGCAAATTAAATTCGAAGTAAACAGAAGAAAAGAAATAATAAACATTTGAGCAGCAATCAATGAAACTGAAAACAGGAAGTCAATAGAGAAAGTCAATAAAATCAGTTTTTACAAAAAAGCTAGTTTTTTGTAAAGGTCAACAAAAGTAATAAGCCTCTAGCCAAGCTAAGAAAAATAGAGAGAGAACAAAAATGACTAATATCAGAAATGAAAAAGAGTACATGACTGCAGATCCCATAGATATTATTAATACATGGATGATAAAGGAATATTATGAACAGTTCTATATCCAGAAATTTGATAACCTAGATAAAAATGGACCAATTTCTTGAAAGACACTATCTGCCAAAACTCATGCAAGAAGAAATAGATGATCTGAATAGACTTGTGTCTACTACATAAATTGAATCAATAGTTAATAACCTTCCAAAACAGAAAGCCCAGATGGGTTCACTGGTAACTTTGCCAAACATTTAAGGAAGAAATTACATTAATTATTTACAGTCTCTTCTAGAAATAGAAGCAGAAGTAGTACTTCTTTACTCATTCTGTGAGGCCATAATTATCTTACTACCAAAATCAGACAAAGGCATTACAAGAAAACTACAGATATATCTCTCATGAACATAGATACAAAAATCCTCAACAAAATATTAACAAATTGACAATACCAGGTGGCAAGGTGGTTTGGATCCAGGCTATGAGGTGCTGGGAGCCTCAGTAGAACTTTCTGCCTCTGTTTCTTTAATGCAAGAGGAACCGATACAGAAGGGTGGAAAATGGCAGAGCTGCAGATGTTACTAGAGGAGATCCTGTCTCACAAGAGGGCACTGATAGAGAGTTACCAGAACCTGAACCAGGTGGCGAACTACTGTGAAGACAAGAGAAAAGCTTTAGAAGAGACCAAAGCCTACATAACCGGACCTCCAGTTAGTGTCACTTATCAAAAAACTACAGTGTCTAACAATGTACTCCAGTTGGTGAACATCCAAGCCTTTCAACTTTGAAGAATGGAGTCTTTCATCAATCATATCTCACAGATCATGGATATTAATAAAGAGAAAGTAGCTCGAAGAGATATTGGTATTTGGACAACAAATAAGACTACATCAAGAATTCACAAAATAATAGCGCCTGCAAATATGGAGCGTCTTATAAGGTATGTTTGGATACCTATTGCCTACACAGTTCTGAATGATGTGAACCATGGTGCCAAGCATGTAAATAACCAGCCTGCAAGAATTGGCACACTGCCAGCCAGGCGCAGTGGCTCACACCTGTAATCCCAGCACTTTGGGAGGCCAAGGTGGGTGGATCACCTGAGGTCAGGAGTTCACGACCAGCCTAGCCAATGTGGTGAAACCCTGTCTCTACTAAAAACACAAAAAATTAGCCAGGTGTGGTGGCGGGTGCCTGTAATCCCAGCTACTCGGGAGGCTGAGGCAGGAGAACTGCTTGAACCCGGGAGGCGAAGGTTACAGTGAGCTGAGATCGTGCTACTGCACTCCAGCCTGGGTGACAGAACAAAACACTGTCTCAAAAAAAAAAAAAAAAAAAAAAAGAATTGGCACACTGCCAAGAACAAGAGCAAATCCTTCTTTCCAAAACCACCAAGTCCTCTCGTATGAGGCCAGGGATTACTGGGACAGAATACTCCTTATAAAACCCTGGAACCCATTAAACCCCAACTGTTCCTAATGACTATATGATGCATCCTGCTAGGTTTGGAAGTCATCATAGTCCAGGCAGGTCAGCTTCATTAAATCAGAAACCAAGGCAGACAATGAAAGTAGTGGAGGAAGGGAAGTCAAGAAAACAGAGGAAGCAGTAGTGTTAGTATTCACATAGCTGTACCTATACCTTCACCCCCTATTATTGGATAGTTTAACTCCTCCACCACCGACACCACCAGATAATGTTCTCATGTTTGATGACTTTCCACCTCCACCATCACCCACTCCAGTGGATTATGAAGACGAGGAGGCTGCAATAGTTCAGTATAATGTTTCATATGCAGATAAGGATACTGCAAGGTCCCCAAAGAATTATATTGAGAACATCATTGCAGTGTATGATTATACAAAAGACAAGGATGATGAGCTGTCATTTATGGAGGGTGCAGTCATTTATGTTATAAAGAATGTTAATGGCTTATATGAAGGAGTCTTCAATCAGGTGACTGGTCTGTTCCCTGGGAGCTGTGTTGAATCAATCATTCACTATGCCGATTAATTTTTTTTTTTGCTTTTAAAGTAGATTCTTGTTATTACTCAGTCATACTGTGGGACTGTTGTGGTTAACAGAATCATCTTAGTATGTTTTAAAATGTGCTCATATTTTCAGGACATGCTATTTTATTGATATAATTGAATGTCTACCCATAAGCATAAATCTTTGAAGCAGTTTGTGTATTGCTAAACAGCAATTTATACAAGAGGCTGTCCATAACTGATGATGCTTATGTACTTACTTACACATTTCTAACTTTATGACCAGCCTAAATGTTCTGGGGAAGTAGGGTGTAATATTTAACAAATCATGGTTCAGATTGTACATGTTTAGGGCCGCTTGGTTACTAATGAATGCTGTGTCAGACTACTTAAATGCTAAAGTCAGAAAACTTAAATGCTAGTGCTCATCATACTTTCTGTTTAGATTCTCTTATTTTAAAAAATACTGTTTGTTTAAAGCATGCATAAAAATATATGTTTTGGAATATACTTAAAAGTTCCAAGATGCTTCCAGTTTGTGTAATATTTCCCTGGAGGACTCATACTTAGGTATCTTAAAATGAGTTGAATCTCCAAGGTCTTCATGAAACAAAAGAAGCAAATGGAGGGTTATCTGTAGTGCTGTAATTTGTACCTAAGTTTTTTAAGGAGTGGGATTTACATTATAATTTTTTTCCACTCATAAATATATAACTGAACCAAAGGTTTTTGTTTTTCTTTCACTGATTTGCTTTAAAAAAATAAACGATAGTGACTTATTGTAGAAGTACAGTTCTATTTTCTCAATATATTAACTTGGAAAAAATTGTAGCCTTATCTCAATTTGTCCCAACAACAATGTGATGAATTTTTATAGATTCAAAATCTGAGATGACTATTTAGAAGTTAATCTACTGAATTCCATTTTTAAATAACCATTTTTTTTTTTTGAGATGGAGTCTCACTCTGTTGCCAGGCTGGAGTGCAGTGGCACAATCTTGGCTCACTGCAACCTCTGCCTCCTGGATTCAAGCGTTTGTCCTGCCCCAGCCTCCTGAGTAGCTGGGACTACAGGTGTGCACCACCATGCCCAGCTAATTTTTGTATTTTTAGTAGAGACACGGTTTCACCATGTTGGCCAGGATGGTCTCGATCTCCTGACCTCGTGATCCTCCCACCTCGGCCTCCCAAAATGCTGGGATTACAGGTGTGAGCCACCATGCCTGGCCTTAAATAAACTTTTAAAGCTAAGAGAATTTGCCAAAGTGTGCACAATCATTTTGTAGGTAAAATTCTTGAAGATTGTCACATCATTCCTTCAGTTTTACAGTGGACTGTGGTATACCAATTCAACAAAAGGTAATTATAAGGGTCTTTTACATATTGTAAAACTGGATGTAATTGACTTGTGAATAGGCACTATTTATTCCATTTCCTGACGCTAACAACATTAAGGTTTTAAAATAAAATAATTGGGAAAGAAGGTAGATCAGGTATTATTCTGTGAACAGAGATATACCTAACCAACAGATTTGTATTGTCCTTTGACATAATTGAAATGTAACACATGTACTTTGTGTGTCTTCTCTTAATTTAAGGCAGGGCTAAAGGAGTGTTTTCTCTTGTTATCGTGTATGTAATTCTATATTGCTTAGGATATTAAAGTAGAACACTCAAGTGTGAGTTTTGGTGTATTGAGGATTTGTTTGGATTTCAAATTATGGTTGTATACTGGATGTTACAGACTTATAACAGCATAATGAACGGTAAGACTAGTGCAAAACATTTATTTTTGAAAATTAAAGGCCATTATTGCTGCCAAATCAATGTGATTGTTTTAACTTTAAACAAAGTGTCATTAGTGATCAGTTAGCTGTCTTCTGCTTTTCATTTTTCAAGTGGATTGTTCTCTTAATTTATATACAAACTTTTTGTCTAAATTTTACATAGTCTTTTTTAATAAACCATTCTCCTGTATGAAATTTGGGATAGTGTTAAAATACAACTAATGTGGACTTAAATGCAGACTTCACAATTTTCTAATCTTCACCCTGTGGTGAAATAACACAAACCATTTGAATTTTAACATTAATTATTTATTTGTGTAATGGCTTTACATGTGAATATTAGTAGTGTAAACATACCACATATAACCACCAAGATATCTTAATTAGAATTTATAGGACTAGAATGATAGGACTAGATTCATATGGCTTAATTACATTTTTAACAATTTCTGAAAAAACTTTGCCAAGAAAATATTACTCATTAAAAAATTAGCAAATTGAGTCTAACAATGTTCAAGTGGGATTTATCTCAGGTATGCAAGGTTGGTTCAACACTTGAAAATCAATTAATGTAACTCATCACAACAGATAAAAGGGGAAAAATCATAAGATCATATCAATAGATGCAAAAAAAAGTGATAAAATCTATCATCAATTCATGATAAAAGCTCTTAGCAAATGAGGAATAAGGGGGAACATCTACAACTTGATAAAGAACAGCTATAAGCCAGGTGTGGTGGTGTGTGCTTGTAGTCCCACCCACTCGGGATCAATTGAGCCTGGGAGGTGGAGGTTGCTGTGAGCAGAGATCATACCACTGCTCTCTAATGTGGGTGACAGAGTGAGACCCTTGTCTCAAACACACACACACACACACACACACACCACAGCTACAAAAAACTTATAGCTAACAACATACTTATGGTGAGAAACTTATTGTCAAAGGATAGACAAAGAGATCATGGGCAAGAATAGAAAGCCCAGAAATAGACCCACATAAATATAGTCAAAAGGAGCAAAGGCAAGACAATGGAGCTGTTAGGATTATTAGTTTAATATCCTAAATTAAATATCCTATAATACAATATAAAGACAGTCTTTATAAGAAATGATGCTGGAGCAACTGGACACCTACATGGATAAAAATTAATCTAGACCGAGATTTTATATCCTTTACAAAAATTAACTCAAGATGGATAATTTAAAGTGCAAAACTATAAAACTCCTAGAAGATAACATAGGAGAAAATTTAGATGACCTTTGGTATGACACTGACTTTTTAGATTCAACCAAAGACATGACCCATTAAAGAAGTAATTGATAAGGTGAATTTCATTAAAATTAAAAACTCTTTCAAGAGATAATGTCAAGAGAATAAGAAGCCCAGGAGAAAATATTTGCAAAAGACACATCTGATTAAAAAAAACCCACTATTGTCCAAAATATACAAAGAACTCTTAAAACTCAACAATAAGCAAATGAACAACCCAATTAAAAAATGGGCAGAAGCCCTATACAGATACCTGTCCAAAGGAGATGTACAGAGATGGCAAGTAAGCATATGAAAAGATGTTCAATATCATGTTATCAGGAAAATGCAAATGAAAATGACACTGAGTCCAGGCACAGTGGCTCATGTCTGCAATCCTAGCAATTTAGGAGGCCAGAGCAGGTGGATTGCTTGAGCCCAGGAGTTTGAGACCAGCCTGGGAAACATGGTGGAACCCTGTCTCTACAAAAAATACAAAAATTAGCCAGGTGTGGTGACATGTGCCCGTAGTCCCAGCTACTAGGGAGGCTGAGGTGGGAGGATTGCTTGAGCCTGGGAGGTCGAGGCTGCAGTGAGCTGTGATTGTGCCACTGCACTCCAGCCTGGGTGACAGAGTAAGATGCTGTCTCAAAAAAGAAAAGAAAAAAAATGACAATGAGACACCACCATACTCCTATTAGAATGGCCAACATCCAAAACACTGACACCAAGTGCTGGTGAGGATGTGGAGAACAGGAACTCTGATTCATTGCTGGCGGGAATGCAAAATGGTGCAGCCACTTTGGAAGGCAGTTTGGTACTTTTTTTTTTTTTGAGACGGAGTCTTGCTCTCTTGCCCAGGCTGGAGTGCAGTGGTGCGATCTCGGCTCACTGCAAGCTCCACCTCCCGGGTTCATGCCATTCTCCTGCCTCAGCCTCCCGAGTAGCTAGGACTACAGGCGCCCGCCACCACGCCTGGCTAATTTTTTGTATATTTAGTAGAGACGGGGTTTCACCGTGTTAGCCAGGATGGTCTCCATCTTCTGACCTCGTGATCCGCCCACGTCGGCCTCCCAAAGTGCTGGGATTACAGGCATGAGCCACCACGCCCGGCTAACTTTTTGTGGTTTTAGTAGAGACGGGGTTTCACCGTGTTATCCCAGATGCTCTTGAGCTCCTGACCTCGTGATCCGCCCGCCTCGGCCTCCCAAAG
Organism: Homo sapiens; assembly: GCF_000001405.40. Classification (NCBI taxonomy): domain Eukaryota; kingdom Metazoa; phylum Chordata; class Mammalia; order Primates; family Hominidae; genus Homo; species Homo sapiens. The sequence goes on from NC_000014.9 coordinate 55,552,354, forward strand.
TGCTGGGATTACAGGCGTGAGCCACTGCGCCTGGCCTGGTACTTTTTTATAAAACCAAACATACTCTTACCATATGATCCAGCAATCATACTCATTGATGTTTGCCCAAATAAACTGAAAACTCAGGTCCACACAAAAACCTGCACATGGATGTTTACAGCAGCTTTATTCATAATTGCCAAAATTTGAAAGCAACTGAGATATCCTCCCGTAGGTGAATGGATAAACTGTGGTACATCCAGACAATGGAATATTACTCAATGCTTTAAAAAATAAAAAGAACCATGAAAAGACACGAAGGAAATGCATAAATGCATAATACTGAGTGAAAGAAGCCAGTATGAAAAGGCTACATACTGTATGATTCCGACTATATGACATTTTGGAAGAACGTAAAAACTATGAGACAAAACTACAGAGACAGTGAAAAAGATCAGTGGTTTTCAGGGGCTATGGGGAGGGAGGGATGAACAGGCAAAGCACAGAGGATTTTTAGGGCAGTGAAACTATTCTGTATGATACTACAATGGTGAGTTCATGTCATTAAAAATTTGTCAAAACTCAAAGAATGAACAAACCAAGAGTGAACCCTGATGTAAACTATGGACTTTAGTGATAATGATGTATCAATGTAGGTTCATTAATTTTAACAAGTGTACTACTCTGGTATGGGATGTTGGTAGTGGAGATTGGGTCGGGGATGGGGGGGTGTATGGGAATTCTTCTGCACTTTCACTCAGTTTTGCTGTGATCCTAAAACTCCTCTGAAAAATGAAGTTTTTTTTTTTAATCCTATACTTTATTTTAGTGAAAAGCCAGGGTAGATACATGCCATCTTTGCCAGTTAGTTTCCCTGGCCAGGCTACATGGCTCTCAGAGAAATTCTTGGAACCACACTGGTACCTGACCTTATTTGACTTGGATACCATATCAGATGTCTAAGGTAGCATCTTCATGCTTTATTGAGGAATGCAGAAAATGAAAAAATATCTTTCTTGCTAAAACAAATAAATAATGCACCCAGCATTTACTCTTATCAACTTAACATAGAACAGTTGTTCCAACAATTCAACTTCTAATAATTTAGTATGATAAAATAAGCATTTAAAGATGTTGAGTACAGCATTATTTATAATAGTAAAAACAGGAGTCAATTTAAATATTAACCAGTAGGGAATCAGCTATATAAAACAAAGTGAATATATACTACTCGACAAAGAAAAATGTTGAAGCGGATCATATTTATTGGCATATAAAGCTGTCCACACCACGCTATTGCAGGAAAATAACAGGTTAAAAACCATATTGATAACTGTGTGTGTTCATAAGTAGTATCTCTAGGTGGTAAGATTTGGAGCGTGTGCCAGTTATCAATGTATTGCCTCTCAGCTCCCAATTCATCCTTCATTACTTGCTCTCCAAAAATGGAGCTGATCTCTTTCTACATTTTCCCTTTGCCAGCTGGCACATATGTTAAGATTTGTCAGTACGGGGAGCTGGAGTTGGGAGCCAGAGTTACCTTGCAGAAGGACTGGGTTTTCCTCCCTGGTTCCAGTGTGCCATCTTGGCAAGGCTCCTATGGCCAGACATTTCTCAAACACCCTGACCTGTCAGTTGGTTTTGTAGCAGGATGTCTCTGGTGAGTCACCTGCCAGTGAACAGTGTTCCCTAGCATCCTAGAGAACAGATTTTAAGCAAGTTTTAACATCACAGCAGCACAGCAGCACAGTAGCATGGTAACTTCCCTGCCAGCTACTAAACCACAGCTGTACCATCTCCAACATCTAGATCTGAGCTCTGAGAGGGCTTCTTCCTGGGTAATTGATCTCAGACGTAGGGGTTGTGGCTGCTCATACCTGCCATTCTCAGATTCTTTGGCATTCTGTTTACTTTTAACTAGCCAACTCCTTGTTTCTCTGTTGCCCTGTTACAGTCAATAATTCTTTACATTAAACTTTTCCTGCTCAAAAAGAAAAAAATATATAGATAAAATTACCTATAATCCTACTCTCCTTGTGATAACCACTATTTACATCTTGGTTTATATGCTTTAAGTCTTTTTTTTTTTTTTTTGAGACAGGGTCTTGCTCTGTCACCCAGGCTGGAATGTAGTGGCGCCATCTCAGCTCACTGCAACTTCCGCCTCCTAGGTTCAAGTGATTCTCCTGCCTCAGCCTCCCCGGTAGCTGAGATTTTGGATGTGCGCCACCATGCCTGGCTCATTTTTTGTATTTTTAGTAGAGTTGGAGTTTCTCCATGTTGGTCAGGCTGGTCTCAAACTCCTGACCTCAGCCCACCTTGGCCTCCCAAAGTTCTGGGATTACAGGCATGAGCCACCGTGCCTGGCCGTACTTTAAGTCTTTTTTTCTTATGAATGTGTGTGCATTTATTGTGTATGTATGTAAATACATAGAAAAACACATATCTATATACATACATACTATTTTAAGAAAAGGTAAATCACATTATACAGTTTTGTGAGCTTTTCTGCATCAATATTTGGAATGGTTGCATAGCACTTCACTTGGTATATATACCTTAAATTGTTTATATTTCCTTCTAGTTTGGGATTATTTCCAATGTTATGTTATTATAAACAGTGCTCCATGAACATCTTTATGCCAGATCTCTCTTGTTCATTCCTCCATATCCACTTTCTACCCTTTTCCTTCTTTCTCTCGGCTCTACTCTTCTTCAGGGATTACATTAACTGGTTCCTTTGCCCTCTGACTTCCGGTCAGCTTCAGGCAATACCTCTCCCCAGCAGGAGATTGGAGGGAGGAGGGCGAGATCAGAGTGTCAGTCCCCTGGTTCTTTCCTTATGAGGGCTCCTAGAGCTGGCTGTACTCCTCGACTGAAGAGCACTCTTCTCAAGGTGGCCACCTCCATACAATACTTCCTTCCCAGTTCTCAGAACCCATCCCTTTCTTTTGGGCCTAAGGGTGGCAATAGCTTTGCTGCTGCTGCTAGCCCTGGGCACCTGCACTATCCCTTGCAGTTTTTCTACAACTCCTCCACATCTTTATGAATGAACACCACTCTAATTATCTTGGTTTGAATGTGCTAGTTATTTTCTGACTGATACAACCATTGCACCTAAATGTTTATGTATGTCTTTAATTATCTTCTTCAAGTAAATTTCTAGATGGAGAATTTGCTTGAACATTGGGTACACTTGTTTTTAAGATGTGTAACACATGCATTGGCATTCATTTTAGATGGACTGTCTATAGTCTTGGTGATACAGAGAGTCACCCTTAAAAAATGTGCCTGGGCTGGGGGCAGTGGCTCATGTCTGTAATCCCAGCACTTTGGGAGGCTGAGGCGGGCAGATCACGAGGTCAGGAGATCAAGACCATCCTGGCTAACACGGTGAAACCCCGTCTCTGCTAAAAATACAAAAACAAAATTAGCTGGGCGTGGTGGTGGGCACCTGTAGTCCCAGCTACTGGGGAGGCTGAGGCAAGAGAATGGCGTGAACCCGGGAAGGGGAGCTTACAGTGAGCCAAGATTGCACCACTGCACTCCAGCCTGGGTGACAGAGCGAGACTGTTTCAAGAAAAAAAAAAAGTAACTGTTCTCTGTAGCCAACCAGATGAGACTATACCTAAACATTTAGTGAGGATGAAGAAATTGGCAGGAATGCAGCCTACCATTTACTTTGATCCTTGAAAATTTCTGGAAAGCTCTAATATTGCTGAGCTTTTTAATAAACCTATTTTGTGACGGAGTATTACTGGGATTCAGTTAGAAATTGGACTAAAGAAAGGAAATCTAATCAGTTGATGTTGGTTTATAGGGTGAATAAGTAAGACTTCCACATGTCAGTTGTTATCTAGGCTTCAGAGCTATCATTCATCAAATTTCTAACACAGGTAGCCATGTTCCCAAATTTGTCTTTAGTTTTCAATTTAAGGAGAGAAAGTCTTGATGAAGATTTCTTATATTTGAGCTTTTCTAAGACAGTGAAAAATTTAAAGCAGGTGTGGCAACTATGAATGTTTTCTGCGAACTTGGGAGGTACATGAAATATTGCACCTTTTATAGGTTGAACAACATCAATTTGATGTTTTTGCATGTCAAAAATTGTCAGATATCAGCAATTTTATATGCTTTACCCTAGTGATTTTCTCTAAATCAATTTAATTCCATTTTGAACTTTTATCTTACCATATTGGCATAAAGTTAAGCTTAGTCATTTGCAAGATTTCTCCATACCTCCACCTTCTTCTGTCCCTATTCTCCCTTCAACCTCCCCCTTGCGTGGAAATACCTCAAAGTTCCAGATAGAAGAGGATTAGGGGAAGGGGCCAACATCTGCTTGAATTCACACTGTCTCTTTCACTGACCCCTGTCTGCCTCTGTTCTTTCTGTGCTGTTCTGGGAGCATGGGAGCCTCAAGACAGGCTGCCTAAGGATCAGCACTGGTCAGTGGTTTCTTCTCTGGGGTCTTACTGCCTCCATAATAAGTACAACCAAGAGTGCAAAAGGATTTCCAGATGACCATGCCAAAGCTTACCGTAAAGCAAATGGATCACTGTACATAATGCCCAGAATATCATAGGCACTCAGTAAGTATTGATTAAAGGAATAAATAAATGATCTGAAGTGGTCAATCTAAGCACAATAAGCAGTGAGTGGAAAAATAGCAATAGCAAACACTCATAGGGCTTTTAATGTGACAGGCATTGTTCTACATGCTTTACATACATTAACTCATGCAGTCCCCAAAATGACTCTTGGAGGTATGAAACAGAGCAGAGCTAAAGTAACTTCTCAGGTTGCTGGAAGGCCCCTGTAGTCTGACTCAAGAGCCTGTATTATATTTAAGCACTAGTTCATATGGCAGCTCAGACATAGACTCAAGGATGATTTCTAACTTCGTAGACAAAGAGCTGGGCCTTAGATGTCCTTAGATATTGCAAGTTGACTTCACACAAGGTTTCACCAGCGGCATTTATCCATGGTGCTTAAGAGCACTAACAAATTCCAGGCAACATCCTGGCATGCAGCCAGCCCACTGGCATTCCTGTCTGGCACACTTTGCAGGACTGGTCATGTGAGAAAGACAGCTAACAGCAACAATTGCTGGGTGATGAATAGCCAGAAGGAGGGCAGCTTGAAGCATGACAGGGACAAGGAATGCAATCAGGAAAGGCTGACCTGGAACTTGGAGCGGGGGTAAGTTAGGCTGTGATGGATGGAAGGCAGCAGCTGCATGTACAGCATGCTGGCAGGCACAGTCTGAGAAACACTGCTTAATTTGAATCGAATGGGCAGCTTAAGAGGCAGAGAGGCAAGCAGTGACCAAAGCCACAAACCGAAACACAAACCTTTCATTAATCTTTCCAACCATACTCACACTCTTGGCAACACAACTTTTCAATGAGTTGAACATAACTCATTGTTGTTCCGCATCATTTTTAATTAATTATTTTATTTATTTATTTTTGAGACAGAGTCTCGCTCTGTCGCCCAGGCTAGAGTGTAGTGGCATGATCTCGGCTCACTGCAACCTCTGCCTCCCAGGTTCAAGCAATTCTTCTGCCTCAGCCTCCTGAGTAGCTGGGACTACAGGCGTTCGCCACCACGCCTGGCTAATTTTTGTATTTTTTTTTAGTAGAGATGGGGTTTCATCATGTTGGCCAGGCTGGTCTTGAACTCCTGACCTCAAATGATCCACCCGCCTTGGCTTCCCAAAGTGCTGGGATTACAGGCATGAGCCACCATGCCCGGCCTGCATCATTTTTCCATATGATACAGGGCTGTGGGTCCAGGACCATGCCTTATGAGACTTACTATAAAAACAGGGAGGAACTGGCAGAAGAGGCTTCAAGCTAAGATCTAATGAGAACATCTGAGCCAATCTCTGGACAAAGGTTCCTATTTAACTTTTTGAAATGAAAGTTCTGGAGTACACCGAGGTGCTCATGAGTAGGCACAGAGTATTGTTGGTTCTCCTTTATTTCACATCTCAAAGTCATGGGCTCCTTCTCTTATTTTCCTCTCTCCCCACTGTGCTTGTGGCTTTTGCATCTCAGCCTGGGTGAGAGCTCTGGGATTCTGGTGGCCAGGAGACTCAACCCGGCAGAAACAGATCTGTAACCGTCAGTGTGATGCTGGGTTTTATGTTGTTGTGGATCCATTTGCCCATCTTGCAAGAGGAAGACACTTTGTGGGTCAGTGACTTTTGATTCCAGTGACTTTTGATTCTCCACAAATGAGATGTAAAAGTGATGATTAAAGGTAAGAAGAAGAATCTTATTCAACTTTAAAACTTCCTAAGGATCTTCATAAAGTCAATCTCTGAAACAAAAGTGTAATTCAACTCATAGTAGCTTCACATTTACAAAAGCAATTCCAGATCCAAGTGTAAAAGATTTGTAATTTCCTTTCTAAATAAGGTCATATGAGCTCTTAGATGATTTACTATGGGTCTAGTAATTTATATAATCATACCACTGTAGACCTGGAAGAAATTTCAGAGATGATCTAGTAAAATCCTTTGGTTTAGAAAAGATGATAATGGATAGAGGGATTAATGGACTCATCCAACGTCACGCATCTGAGGAGCGGAAAAAACCAGTGATGCGGGAACATCTTTCCCCAGTTCCTAGTTGCAGCTGACCATACTCCTGGTCCCTTTCTGTCCCTGGGGTGTCAAAGTGACTTGCCCTGGCTTGCTTGCTTCAGCTTTATCTCCTTCCTCTTCCCCTCCAGGGACTCTGCCTCTAAGGATGATGTCTGCCTTGGCCTGCCATGCCTGGAATTCCAATTCATCTTTACTGGTTCTAAAGGTGATACTTTGGCCTCAGTGTGCTTCACATTTGCTTTTTATTTCTCAAATTGTTCAGAATCCAGGCTGGGAAGAGGAATGCTATAATGAGGTTCCCCTAGAGACTTCAATACCTCACGGAGTCTTTACTCCCAAATCTCCTTTCATTACAATTCACTGCTCTCTGCAAAGCTTCAGAAGGAAAATAGCAGAGGTCGTCCTATCAGAGTATAAGCAGAATTTGTCTTCTTTCTTCTTCATATTCCCTTCAGTGTCACATGAAGCTAAGTGCATAGTTGTAACTCAATCTACTTATTGAATGGAACAAGCCCAGTTCTGGAAAACTTTCTTTAAAATGCAAGTTTTTTGGCTGAGCACAGTGGCTCACACCTGTAATCCCAGCACTTTGGGAGGCTGAGGCTGGCGGATTACTTGAGGTCAGGAGTTCAAGACCAGCCTGGCTAACATGGTGAAACTCCATCTCTACTAAGATTACAAAAATTAGCTGGGCGTGGTGGCATGTGCCTGTAATCCCAGCTACTCGGGAGGCTGAGGCATGAGAATTGCTTGAACCCAGAAAGCGGAGGTTGCAGTGAGCTGAGATCACACCATAGCACTTCAGCCTGGCAACAGAGCGAGACTCTTTCTAGAAAAAAAAGCAAGTTTTAAAAGTAGAGAACAATGAAGAGAAGATGTTTTGTGAGCATTAACCACATGATTATGATAGCTGCATTCTCTCGTAAATCTATTTCACTTACTCTTTGCAATAGCCCTGAGTGGTAACTTTCATTCCCCTCCTTTTTACATATGAGGAACTTGAGTTCCAGAGATGTCAGCAAAGCGGCCCAAGGTTGTACAACAATTGGGCTCAGAGCTTGGTTTTGAGCCCTGGTAGGTCAGATTCCTGTGCATTTTATACAGCACCTGGCTGATTCCAGTAAAGGAGAGCCCAGGCTCTGTTATGAAGATGAGATGCATTTCACTCAGCTGCTTGCTACAGTGCTCGTCTGTACTTGATGGCGGCCTGGTGTCTGTTCTCTCTTTCTCTGGTAACATTACTCCAGTTTTCCTTTGGGCAATAACCTCTTTCCCACTTTTAGTCCATATGACACAGAAGGGAGCTGACCCCATCACTGGCTTCAGGAGTACGTATGTAGTTGGAGCCTCAGAAACTGACATAGTCCTTCCTCCTAAAACCACAGTGGTTTTTCAGAGGTCGGCATGTGACCAAAGCTCAACCAAATTCAAATCAACCCCAGACTTTTGCTAGAACTATTGGAAAGAGATCTCCCCCTTTAGCTAGGGTTACTAATCTCATAGGGTGAAAGCCTAAATCTATTGGTGGAAACTCCCAAAGAAAGCCTTCCAGAGAATGACGCTGACAGAGGAAAGCAGGGCCATGGGTGGGAGCAAGAGTGAGGGATTCCTGAGTCTCTGGATCTTGCTGTGCCTGAAGCCAAACTCTCCTTGGACTTTTCTGTGACATCAAGCAATAAATTAGTCCCTTCTTTGTTCAAGGAATTTGAGTTTTGTTTCTGTCATCGCTGAGACAGTCCTTCCTTGGTTCTACTGTAAATGGACATTTGACTAATATTAAGTGGCATAGTTATTCACTCTAAGCTTTACTTTTGTTTATTCTGTTAGTCAAGAATACACTACCTAAGGTCTCCTTTTTAATTACACAATATGGGTTGAAAATTTGTTTGACCTGGGGGAGTAAATTCTAGTCAATTAAACTATTTACTGAACACTCACTATGTTCAAGAAACTACTAAGTCATGGAGAGAAAAAAAGATGAACATGACTGTTTTAGGGCACAGGTAGGTCATTGAGCCCAATCGGATGACCATGAATTAATACTGCAGCAGCTGATTCCAATTAAGTAGTAGACTCCCCCACCCACCAAGCTCTGTTCCGAAGGTGAGATGCAGTTTATTTAGTTGCATGCTGTGGTACTCACCTGTTGTTCTGGGAAGGCTTGCATCCATTTCCTCTTCTTTTGGTGATGGTGCCCCAGGCATAAATCAATTTGTCTCTATAGGCAAATCAATAGAGACAGAAAGTAGATTAGTCATTTCCAAGTAAGGAGACTGGGGTAAAATGAGGATTGACTGCTAATAGGTATGAGATTTCTTTTTGTGATGATAAAAATATTCATAAATTGTGGTGATGGTTGCACAACTCATACTAAAATCATTGGATTGTACACTTCAAAAGGGGTGAATTGTATGGTTTGTGAATTATATCTCAATTAAGCACACATGTGTGTAGTAGTCTCATTGTCTGTGGAGGATACAATTCAAGACTTCCAGTGGACACCTGAAACTGCAAATAGTATTAAACCCTATATATACAGCTGACCCTTCAACAATGTGAAGGGTAGAGGTGCCCATTCCCCTGCACAGTCAAAAATCCACATATGGTCAGGCACGGTGGCTCACACCTGTAATCCTAGCACTTTGGGAGGCCAAGGCAGGTGGATCACCTGAGGTCAGGAGTTCGAGACCAGCCTGACCAAGATGAAACCCCATTTCTACTAAAAATACAAAAATTAACTGGGCGTGGTGGTGTGTGCCTACTGTAATCCTAGCTATTTGGAAGGCTGAGGCAGGAGAATCGCTTGAACCCAGGAGGCGGAGGTTGTAGTGAGCCGAGATTGCACCACTACACTCCAGCCTGGGTGACAGAGCGAGACTCTGTCTCAAAAAAAAAAAAAAAAATATATATATATATATATATATACACACACACACACACATATAACTTGACTCCTCTAAAATTTAACTTACTGATAACATGAACTACCTATTAAGATGCATTGTTTTAGGTTTATATATATATATTATATACTGTATTCTTAGTAAGTTAGAGAAAAAATGTTATTAAGAAAATCACAAAAACTGGAAAATATATTTACTATTCATTAAGTGGTAATGGATCATAAAAGAAGTCTTCACCCTCACCTTCTTCATATTGAGTAGGCTAAGGAGGAAGGGGAGGAGGATGAGAAGGGGTTGGTCTTGCTGTCTGAGGGGTGTGGGAGGCAGAAGAAAATCCACGTGTAAGTGGACCCATACATTTCAAACCCATGTTGTTCGAGGGTCAACCAAACTATGTTTTTTCAATCTATTAACCAAGATAGCTACTAAGTGACGAACAGGTGAGGAGTGTATGTGGTGTGGATATGCTGGACAAAGAGATGATTCACATCTTGGGTGAGATGAAGCTGGATGGCATGAGATTTCATAATGCTACTTAGAATGGGGCATGCAATTTAAAACTTATGAATTGTTCATTTCTGGAATTTTCCATTAATATTTCCCAACTGCACATAACTGAAAATGTGGAAAGTGAAACCATGGATAAGGAGGGACTACTGTATATGGAATTATCAGTAAAGGAATAATAATAATATATTAATTTTTAAAAATTTTGTTTTATCCTAAAACATATCAATGTGATTTATTCTCCAAAGGTATGATGTAGGGCCAAGATTTCTTTGGGCATAGGTTTGCTGATTGTAGTTCTACATTTGTCTTTCTGGCATAAACCTGCTTATAAAGCATTATCTATGATTTTCTTTATATTTTCTTTTTTGCTTCCCATACCCCACAGACCCAATGTTATTCTTTACATTTTCTTAAGAGAGGGATGAGAAATTAAAGATATTTGCGAAGTCACTGCAAAGTCTTCTGGATTTTTTGAAAGTTTTTGCAATCTTTTGTAGTTATCTCACCCACAACTAATTTTTTATAACAGCTTTATTAAGATAAAACTCACATACCATAAAATCCACTCCTTTAAACTATACAGTTGAGTGATTTTCATATATTCAGAGTTATATACACACCAAATTTGACATGAAAGTTTCTAGCTATTTGCTTTTACCAACTCTTTGCAAAGTAATTCATATAGTTTTAATGAACAGTTCTTTTTTTGTACTCAGTATTTGACCAAATTATGAAAATACAGTAACAGATATCTGACATGAACAGGTTTATGAGGAATATCACTGATCTTTGGGAAGCCCACTCAATTGTAGGCATAGAAGTGCCTGGGGTACTAGTGTAGCCTATACTTAAAAGTGTTTTGTGTTCCATGTACAAAGTCAGTATGGAGCAGAGAGGAGACAGCCATTTCATTTGGAGAATTAGTTAAGTGGAGGCTAGTTAAGAGAGTTTCTCCTGATGAAGTAAAATGCTTTGGAAGTTCAAAAGAAGAAGAGAGAAAATCTTTCAGCTTTATGGAAAAAGTGGCTTTGAAATGGGCTTATTAGAATGGATAAAAGGGGTTTTTTTAAAAATGGAAATAATTTTTAAATGAGAAAATACAATGAGCCTCCATATACCTATCACCCAACTTCAACATTTACCAACACATGACCAACCTAGTTTCACTTATACCCTTATCTACTTTCCCCACTCTGCCCCTTGGAAAGATGGGTACAATTTTGTTTTTATTTATTACTTTATTTCCAAATTGAAGTATAACTTTGCTATAGCAAAGCACACAAATCTTAGCCATACAGCTCAATAAAATTTTACATATGTATATTCCAGTATATAGTACCACCTAGATCAATATATAGAACATTCCCAGCTTATTAGAGGGCTCCTTCATGTCCCCTCCTAGTCAATGCTGCCCCACTTCTAAAGGTAACTACTATTCTGAACCTCTATCACCACCAATTAGTTTCATCTGTTCTTGAACTTTATCTAAATGGAATGATACAGTATGTGTCCAGCTTCTTTTGCTCAATGTCATGTCCATGAGATTCATCCATGCTGCTTCATGTAACAGTAGTTTGGTTTTTTTTATTGCTGTATAGTATTTCATTATATGAATACACAATATCATTTTTTCATCCATTTTACTGTTGATGAACATACAAGTTGCTTTTAGTTTTTTGCTATGAACCTACCTGTATATGCCTTTTGGTGGATATACACACTAATTTCTGCTGGGTGTAAATACTGAAGTGGAATTTCTGGTTCATAGAGTAAACATGTATTTATCTTTAAGTTACTGCAGGTTTCCTCAATTGTTTTTTTTTTTTTTTGAGATGGAGTCTCGCTCTGTCACCCAGGCTGGAGTGCAGTGGCGAGATCTTGGCTCACTGCAACCTCCGCCTCCCAGCGTCAAGCAGTTCTCTGCCTCAGCCTCCTGAGTAGCTAGGGTTACAGGCGCCCGGCACTACGCCTGGCTTATTTTTGTATTTTTAGTAGAGACGGGGGTTTTGCCATCTCGGCCAGGCTGGTCTTGAACTCCTGGCCTCCAGATCCACCTGCCTCGGCCTCCCAAAGTGCTGAGATTACACCTGTAATCTCACACCTGTAATCGGCAGGTGTGAGCCACTGCGCCGGGCTCCTCAATTGTTTATACCAATATACACTCCCACCAGTAATGGAAGGCAGTTTAGTTGCTCTACATCCTTACCAACATTTAGGGTTGCCAGCCTTTTAGCTGGCACTTTATCATGGAGATAAAGTGGTAATCACTACTCTTTTTGTTTTTCATTTTTATTTATTTTAATCAGACACTTATATTTATTATGTAAGTTCATGATGTCATGAACAGAGACCTAATTTTTTAAAGTCAAGTTTTTTGAGGTGTGTGATGGTTAGTTTTATGTGTCAGCATGACTTGGCTATAGCACTGTTATTTAATTAAATACTAACCTAGGTGTTGTTGTGGAAGTATTTTGTAGATGTGGTTAACATTATCATTCAGCTGACTACAGGTAAAAGAGATTACCCTTAATAACGTGAGTAAGCGTCATCCAGTCAGGTGAAAGGCCTTAGAGCCAAAACTGGTTTCTCAGAGAAGAAACAATTCTGCCTCAAGACTATAGCAGCAACTCCTGCCTGAGTTTCTAGTCTGCTGGTCTGCCCCAAGATTGGCTTTTCTTGGGGCCCCTGGGGTCTTGATAGGGATTGAATTAAACCTGTAAATCCCACTGGGGAGAGTTGCCATCTTAACAATATTAAATTTTCCAATCTGTGAACACAGGATGTGTTTCCATTTATTTAGGTCTTTACTTTCTTTCAGCAAATTTCACAGTTTTCAGTGTACAAGTCTGACATGGTTTGTCTGTGTCCCCACCCAAATCTCATCTCAAATTGTAGCTCCCATAATTCCCGCATGTTGCGGGAGGGACTCTGTGGGAGATAATTGAATCATGGGGGTGGTTTCCCCCATACTATTCTTGTGGTAGAGAATAAATCACACGAGTTCTGATGGTTTTGTAAGGGGAAACCCCTTTCACTTGGCGCTCATTCTCTCGTCTGCTGCTGTGTACGACATGCCTTTTGTCTTCTGCCATGATTGTGAGCCCTCCCAGCCATGTGGAACTGTAAGTCCATTAAACCTTTTTTATTTTATAAGTTACGCAGTCTCGGGTATGTCTTTACTAGCAGTGTGTCAACAGACTAATATAAAATCTTTCATCTACTTTGATAAATTTATTCCTAAGTATTTTATTCTTTTGATGCTATCATAAATACATTTTCTTTTTGGATTGTTCATTGCTAGTGTGTAGAAATATATCTGATTTTTGTACGTTGATTTTGCATCCTGCAAATTTACTGAATTCATTTATTATTTCTAATAATTTTTTGTAGATCCCATAGGACTTTCTATATATAAGTTCATGTTACTTGTGAATACTAGTTTTGCTTCCTCCTTTCCAATTTGGACTGCTGTCTTCAAGACCACTGCTGAGCTGCAGAGGGGTAGAGAGCAAGGGTAAGAAAAATGCCACCAAGCTCTTCTACTGTGTTTCTGTGGCCCTTCTCCTATCTGAGCATTCCCCTTGGACTATCTTCCAGTGTTCTGATTAAAGTTGATTTTGGAAGCTCTTTTGGTGTTTCTGTGGAGGGACAGGTTCTCAGAGTTTTCTACTTTGCCATTCTTGCTGAGAACATGCCAGCACAATGTCTGTGGGATTCATCATGTTGTTTGTTTCAGAAATTCATTCTTTTTTTATTGCTGACTGGTATTCTACTGTATTGATGCACTACGATGTATCTGATTGACAGTTATGGGTGTTCATTGTTTCCAAATTTTGACTATTATGAATAAAGAAGCCCTAAACATTCACCTATAGGTCTCTGTGTGGATATATCCTGTCATTTATCTTTCATTTGCCTAGCAGTGAGATTGCTGGTTGTATGGTTTTATGAATTGTGTCTCCTTCAAATTCCTAGATTGAAGCCTAACCCCTAGTACCCCAAAATGTGGCTATATTTGGAGATAAGGGCTTTAAAGAGGCACTTCAGTTCAAATGGAGTTGTTACGATGGACCCTAATTCAATATATCTGGTGTAGTTATAGGAAAAGATGAGGATACACAGAGAGACACCAGGGCTGTGCATGCACAGAGGAAAGACCACAAGCACACAGCAAGAAGGGGGCTCTCTGAAAATCACGGAAGAAACCAAACCTGGCGGTACCTTGAGATAGCCTCCAGAACTGTGATGATTTGTGTTTTTTTTTTTTTTTGAGACAGACTAGGGTGCAGTGGTACAATCTCAGCTCACTCTAACCTCCTCCTCCCGGGTTCAAGTGATTCTCTTGCCTCAGTCTCCTGAGTAGCTGGTACTACAGGCACATACCACCATGCCCGGCTAATTTTTGTATTTTTAGTAGAGATGGGGTTTCACCATATTGGCTAGCCTGGTCTCGAACTCTTGACTTCTCGTGATCTGCCTGCCTGGGCCTCCCAAAGTGCTAGGATTACAGGGGTGAGCCACTATACCCAGCTGTGTTAAAGGTATTTTTAAATGACAGCCATAGCAAACTACAGGTTGAGTATCCTTTACCTAAAATACTTGGGACCAGAAGTGTTTTGGATTTTGAATTTTTTAAGATTTTGGAGTATTTGCACTATACTTACCAGTTTTCCGTATCAGAAAATCTGAAATCTGAGCATCATCTCAGCACTCTAAAAGTTTCCAATTTTGAAGCATTTCAGATTTTTAATTTTCAGATTAGGGCTGTTCAACCTGTTATATATATATGTGTGTAAATATATATGTGTGTGTGTGTATATATATAGTGTGTGTGTGTGTATTTAGTTTTATAAGAAATTGTCAAGCTATTTTCTAAAGTGGCTGTGACATTTTGCAGTCTCACCAGTAATATATGAGCGTTCCAGTTGCTCTGCATCCTTGTCAGCACTTGGTACTGTCACAATTTTTAATTTTAGTCATTCCAGTAGGTACAGTCATTGTTCAGTGTTCATAGGGAATTGACTTCAAGACCCCCTGCAGATACCAAAATCCGCAGATGTTCAAGTCCCTTATGTAAAATGATGTAGTATTTGTGTAAAACTACACACATCCTTATACTTTAAATCATCTTTAGATTACGTATAGCACCTAATACAATGTAAATGCTAGTAAATAGTTGTTATACTATATTGTTCTTAAATTTGTATTATTTTTATTGTCTTTGTTATTTTATTTATTTTTCAAATATTTTCAATCCAAGGTTGGTTGAATCCACAGATATGGAGAGCTGATTATATGCTGTAGGACTTAAATGTGTTTTAAATTTGTATTTCCCTAATGACTTAATAATATTGAGCATCTTGTATTCTTCTTATTTGCCACTCAATATGGTTTTAATTTGCAATTTTCTGATGATTAGTGATACTGGACACATACTTATTGGCCATTTGTAAGGTGCCTGCTCAAGTCTTTTACCCATTTAAAAAATAAGATGTCAGTCTTTTTCTTTTAGAGTTGTAGCTGTTCTTTACATGTTCTGGATACAAGTACTTTGTTGTGTATCTGTATTGCAAATGTCTTCTTCCAGGATTTAGCTTGCATGTCACTCTCTTAATGGTGTCTTTTCATAAAAAGAATTTTAATGAAGTATTATTTTCAATGTATAGTGTTATGCTTATTTTTAAATCTATGACAAATTTTTGTCTATGTCAAGATTTTAAAGGTATTCTCCTATGTTTTCTTCTAAAACTATTATTTTATTCTTCATACTTAGGTCTATGTCCATTTCAAATTAATTTTTTGTGCATGTATATATGAGATAGGCAGCATATTCCCTTGTCCAATTGATTCACCACTATTTACTAAAAAAAATGCACAAAATTTAACTATGGATAATATTTGCAGAATGGAAGGCAGTGGTATTCCAACATGAGAAAATGGAAGGCATTACCAATGAAATAATATATTTAGGAATGGGTAAGTAGGTCTGTTTGAGGTGGACGTCAATTTATCTTTTTTCTTTTTTTTTTTTTTTGACAGGGTCTTGCTCCGTTGCCCAGACAGGAGTGCAGTGATGCAATCATAGCTCACTGTAGCCTCGAACTCCTGCGCTCAAGCGATCTTTCTGCCTCAGCCTCTTGAGTCGCTGGGACTACAAGGGTATGCAACCATGCCCAGCTAGGATGTCAAATTTTAACGTCTATACGTATTATCTATTATAAATGTTGATTCCTGGATATGCCTCCATTCTTTTCTCTCCCTCCCTACCCCTGCAACATTCAGACCAAGAGGTCTGGTGTGGATCACAATTTGTGAGTTACACTTTGAAAAATGCTGGTAAAATCAGGGTAGGTGCTGTCCTGTCTCTCTTTCTCAGATCAAGCTTATATAATTACCTTAAAAACTCTGTGGACTTCCTGAGTGTCAGTTTATAATCCACCCACCATATAAAAGCCAAGCCCACAAACCTCTTGATATAAGTATCTTCCTGGACTCTCTGAAGTTGTTGTGGGACAATGACCTTACATTCCTGGAGGCCCTGCTGTTTAAACAGAGAAAGTCTGCAAGATAAACTCTTAAAATCCCCAGAAGGCCTTCTTCTGTCTGTCTGCTAGGACCTAGGAGATGCCACCTTAAATTTCCCTGACTTCTTAATAAAAGATCTCACAGCTCTATGCTAGATTTGGTTTTGCTCTGAAGCTATTTGATAATAGTTTCCTGCCTAACATAGACTCCTACCACTGATGGGACAAGAGTAACTAAAAGATTTGTGAAAAGACACTGGAAAAAAAAACTTTAGAAATCATTCAACCTGAAGCTTTGTGTAATGCTTTGGCTGTTAATTTGAACTCCTCCTTCTAATAAAAACTTTCTTTGCAAAATACTTATTTTCTTTTCTCAATAATAAATGACTTTTGACAAAACTATTTAAAGAACTTAGTGGAGCATTGATGCTTGGGTCTGGTCTTTTTAGCACTCTTAATATTATATCCTCTATTGTCAGGCTAGAAGCTGAAAGGTGTTTGTTGCTGCTAATCTTGGTGCTTCTGTAATCTTGGTTTCTTTTCAAACCCCTGAACGAGTGGGAATTGAGATCTCCCATAACGGTCCAAATACACTCAATAGAAGAAAATTAAGTTATAAAATAATAAATTTTAAACCCAAAGAAGGAAAACAGTGGTAAAAAATATTTTTCTTTAGAAATCCCCTTTCTTTCCTGGCAATTTTACAGGAGGTAGACTCTGACAAACTGGAGTGAGTTTCTAAGCATAACGAATATCTCTTGGTTACAATTTAAATGGCGTCACAAATTCTGTTCTTCTTTATTGTTAACCTCAAAAAATTAGAGGACTGATTCATAAGAGCAAAATACAAGACCAGTAGTCAATTTACCCCATTATTTGACTGAGATTAGCACCAGTGGAGGATTTGTGGGATGGTATTGTTTTATCTCAGTTGTTTCTTATATGAAATGAAATAAATCTTAATCTTGGTTTTTGAGTTCTACTCTGTGGTTGGTGCTGTAAGCCAGGTCCATATGGAAGCAGATCTTTTGACAATCACAGACGTTATTACCAAGACACAATAGAAAATGGGACTTAGCAGACCAAGGTCCCTCATCAACAAGCTCTCATTGAGTAGTGATTTTTGATGAGATGCTAGAGAACACTGAGGTTTTGAAACTCAGAATTCACGATCATTATACAAGCAAAAATAAATTACTCACTACATCAAATGTGCAAGTGTAATTTTTGGTCAATTGAGGAAATAAATGCCTGGTGAACATGACAAATCATAAGCTAAAACAAAAATAATGAAGTTCTAATATTAGGGCAGTTGCAGATGAACATGAAATATTTGGGTTTGGGTTAGATGATTTCTATGATCCCTTCTTGAACATAAATTTTCCATGGTGCTGGAAAAATTAGATTGATGAGAGAATTCATTTAAAAAACTAAATATCAAGTAGTACATCATTCTGGGAAAATATGAGTAAAGAACAAAAATGAGCTCAAGTATATGACATGCAGGGTTTTCCCTTCAGCTTGCCAGGGAAGCACTACTCCATCCTCAAAGGCATAGGAGCCACTGAGGATGATGTCTGTGGATAGAAGTAAGCCAGTGAAGGAGCAAGCCAATGCTATCTGCAAACATTTCTCCCTGGGATGCCAAATAAGTTTGCGTGTCATCAAGGATCTACTTTGGGAGGATTGGGATGGATTCTGCTTGGCATAAACAAGATCCACTCTAAAGCAAATGTATTGAGTGTCTACGATGTCCTAGGGAAGTTAGCTGGGTAACCAATTGTCCCAAGCTGCCTAGGACTAAGGGATTTTCCAGCATGTGAGACTTTGAGTGATATAACTGAAAAAGTCTCAGACAAACTGGTATGAGATGGTTAATGCAGTTACAAGAAAATCAAGCAGGGGTCAGATCCCCTTGGTAGTATGGATCCATGATTCCAGTAAGAATAGCATATCCCTTCTCTGTCTGTTCGGTGGCTGGAAAAACACATAAACGACCACCTGGAAGCCTCAACTGTCAGATCAAATAGGATATATTTATCTCCTGATAGAAGTCTTCCTCCCCTGGCATCCAAGACCTCTAAATATGCAGAGATTAATAGGTATAATAATAAGAGCTGGCGGGGCACGGTGGCTCATGCCTGTAATCCCAGCACTTTGGGAGGCTGAGGTGGGCAGATCACCTGAAGTGAGGAGTTCAAAACCAGCCTGGCCAACATGGCGAAACCCTGTCTCTACTAAAAATACAAAAATTATCCCAGTGTGCCGGCACACGCCTATAATCCCAGCTACTCGGAAGGCTGAATCAGGAGAATCACTTGAACCCGGGAGGCTGAGGTTGCAGTGAGTTGAGATTGAGCCACTGCACACCAGCCTGGGAGACAGAGCAAGACTCCACCTCAAAAAAAAAAAAAAAGAAAAAAAAATTAAGAGCCATTCTCACTTCTTCCTTTTGGTTTCTGCACCTATATATTTTGTCTACAGATTTTTTAAAAAGTCATACAGATTTGTAGCTGATTTGGAGCACACATATTGCATCTGGTAGAACAGCACTCTAATGCCTCGGTCTCTGTCTCTCATTTGTCACCAAAGCTGTTTTTTTGATAGCCATTCCAACCATTCTGTAATGTTAGCTGCTGCTTGTGAATTCTTTGCCCATTGTCTCACTCTGCTGTGATTATCAGTTTGTCAGAAGCAATGGTGTGTGGTGTGTCAGAAGAGCCATGTGGATGAGGTTTCGACTGAAGTCAAGGAAAGAGAAGCATTTCAAGAAGTGATCAGTGCTGTCATATGTAACAGAGAGGTTTTACCAGATGAAGACTGAGATGCTTCACTAGAGTTAGCAGCAAGAATGTCATTGGTGACTTTGGTGAGAAGTGTTTCAGAATCTAGTTGTGGGTACAGAAGCATAATATGAGGAGTGAATGTGAGTGAAAATACTCAGTCAAGTAAGTGACTCCTTTTGTTTTTTTTTGAGACGAGGTCTCACTCTATCACCCAGGCTGGAGTGCAGTGGTGTGATCTCAGCTTACTGCAACCTCCACCTCGCGGGCTCAAGTGATCCTTCCACCTCAGACTCTGGAGTAGCTGGCACCACAGGCACACACCACCATACCAAGCTAATTTTTGTATTTTTTGGTAGAGATGGGGTTTTACCATGTTGCCCAGGCTGGTCTCAAACTCCTGAGCTCAAGTGATCCACTCACCTCAGCTTCCCAAAGTGCCGGGATCACAGGTGTGAACCATCACACCCATCCTAAGTAAGTGACTCTTAATTAACCAGTCAGCCAACCAACCAACCAACCAACCAACCAAAAACCTGGCTTTGCAAGAAATGAGGTAGATGGGGTGATCTGGAGTTGGAAGTAACTTTTTTTTTCCCATTTAAGTGGAGAGAGCTCTCAATGCACTAATGACTGACAGAGAGGGAGAGGTTGGAAATACAGACAGAAAGGGCATTGCTGATGGAGTGAGGTCCCTGAGGGGGCTGAAAAGGCTGACATCCAGAGCTCTGTGTCATGAGACTTGGCATCTAGAGAAATTATTCTACAGCCTTCATGGAATAATGATTTGTAACAGAGCTTGGAATCTATTTGCTTTTTCTCATAAATAGAAAATTTCCAAAACAATATACAGAAGTACCAAAAGGTGGCTTTAAAAAAATTGTTGACTCAGAAGAAATTGGTATACTGGAGATGTGGTCAAAAATAAATGGAACAAAGCCTATGAAGGTTAACAGAGCTGTCATGCTACAGGGGGAAAAACACTGGGTAAGGGCTGGCTGGGGTCCAAGTGTTATCACAAAGGAACTGAATAGGAGTCAGTAAACAGGAGCGAGGGTTAAAATGTGAGCACCACTTCAGAGGACAAAAATTTTTGAATGCATGTTTTACATTCAAACACCTAACAGGATGCTATGCACGTTATAAATATTTGCTGACTTGATTTGATTTGTTGCTACTGATCTGCCCTCGCCTGGTCATATTAAGAGTTATTTGGACAGCAGTGGTGATGGTTTATGCTGACATATCGACATTCTCTAGCCTGATTCCTCAGGCCAGGTTTATCCCTGCAACATAGTTGGTCAGGATGAAGGTTGTGCAGGCAGTGAAAGAGAACTTTTTTGTTTTTCTTTTATATGACACATATATGACAGCCTGCTGCCTGTATGTTGACCAAATTTTTTATTTAGGCCTTGTTGAAGAGCTAATACTGATCACCTAAAACTGATCTAACTTTCCAAGCAAATAAAACTTGTCAAGTGAGGACTAAAGAACTACAAAGTAACCTTCCATTACTGGGAGCATTCTTTAGGGATCTTACTAGCAAAAGTGTAGCATTCATTATTAAAGAGAGCCATGGAAAATCTTCCAGAGACTTCCCCAACCACACCCCAACCCCCCAGAGAGGAGGAGAGCACTAGCAGCATAAGATGCATGGGTAATTAGATTAGAGGATAAAGACTGCAAGGCTGATTTTTAATAAACACTTTAAAGTATTTACAAAAAAAGTGACCATCACAAAAGATACAAGGAAAGGTTGCAAACCACTGGGTTTTGCTTTTACATTTTTTTTTCTGCAAATTTTCTACAACAGCCATAGTTTTCTTTTCTTTTCTTTTTTTTTTTGAGACGGAGTCTGGCTCTGTCACCCAGGCTGGAGTGCAGTGGCGCCATCTCAGCTCACTGCAAGCTCCGCCTCCCGGGTTCACACCATTCTCCTGCCTCAGCCTCCCGAGTAGCTGGAACCACGGGCGCCCGCCACCGCGCCCGGCTAATTTTTTGTATCTTTAGTAGAGACGGGGTTTCACCGAGTTGTTAGTCAGGATGGTCTCGACCTCCTGATCTCGTGATCCGCCCTTCTCAGCCTCCCAAACTGCTGGGGTAACAGACGTGAGCCACTGCGCCTGGCCTCAATAGCCATAGTTTTCTTTTGGATTTTTCCCTCAGTATTTTATTGTGAAAATTGGGAAGCATGCAGAAATGTTGAAAAACAGTGCAATGTACACCTGCACACCTACCACTTAGACCGAACAACTGTTGACATTTTTCCATGTTATCTATATATATATTTACTAAATCATTTGAAATGAAAGTAAGTTAGACATCATTAATTTACTCCTAAGTACTTAAATGGGTGTTTCTGAAACACAAGGATATTGTACATAATTCTGTAGTATAAGCACATATATAATCATTCCCAATAAAATTAACAAGTCCTCTAATATTCAATATTCAGTCCATATTCAAATACCTCCCATTTGTACCAAAAACATCTTTTATAACTTTGTTTTTTGTATGAGGATCCAATCAAGGGTAACTTACCATGTTTCTTTGATCCGTCTCTTTGGTCTTTTAAAATATATAATAGTCTTCCCAAATTTATTTGTTAATTTTAAAGTCAGAAAGAAATAGATGTTAAAAAAAACAACAACCCAGGATATTATTTAAAAGTTTTGCATGTGTTACTTCATTTAGTATTTACTAAAACAATTACAATAAAAGTATGCTGGTATTTAAAAAGAAATAAAAATGTTAGGGTTATCTCTAGATATAAAACTATAGGTGATTTTTCAAAACTTCTTTTTATTTTTTTCACAATGAACATGCAATTTAAAACGTTTATAAGATTGAAGCCAGGTGCGGTGGCTCACGCCTGTAATCCCAGCAGTTTGAGAAACCGAGGAGGGTGGATCACTTGAGGTCAGGAGTTGAAGACCAGCCTGGCTAGCATGGTGAAACCCCGTCTCTACTAAAAATACAAAAAATTAGCCGCGTGCAGTGGCAGGCGCCTGTAATCCCAGCTACTCGGGAGGCTGAGGCAGGAGAATCGTTTGAACCCGGGAGGCAGAGGTTGCGGTGAGCCGAGATTGCGCCACTGCATTCCAGCCTGGGCAACGAGAGCAAAACTCCGTCTCAAAAAGAAAAAAAAAGGTTCTAAGATTGAGTTCAGAGTGATAGAAGAATTACATAACTGTGAAGAACATTAAACCTTTAAACACTGGGTAAGTAGCTGCTGAGAAAGGGTGTTGAATTATATGTAAAGCTTTTAAAAATAAAGGTTGGGAACTGTGGCTCGCGCCTGTAATCCCAGCCCATTGGGAGGTTGAGGCGAACAGATCACTTGAGCCCAGGAGTTCGAGACCACCCTGGGCAAAATGGCGAAACCCTGTCTCTACAAAAAATAAAAAATTTAGCCTAGTGTGGTGGCGTGTGCCTGTAGTCCCAGCTATTTGAGGGGGCTGACGTAGGTAGACTGCTTGAGCCCCAGAGGTCAAGGCTGCAGTGAGCTGACATTGCGCCACTGCACTCCAGCCTGGGCATCAGGAGTGAGACATTGTCCTTCCGCCCCTGCAAAAAAGGATTCCCACCTATGTGGTGAGGCTAAGAGTGGTTTGGGCTAAAAGTGAGAAGAAAGAGATCAAATCTCCCTTTTCTCCTGCTGTTCAAGCAGGTTGTAAACTAGCCTGTTGGCATGTAGGGAATAGTTTGGTAGAGAGGAAGGAGCTTGAACTTTAGAGTTTCAGTCCCAGCTCTGCCACTTAGTAGCCATTTGACCTTAGGCAAGTTATTTTATTCATTCTTTCTATTTTTTCCTCCTTTTGCACACTTCTTTGCTGTGAATTATTTCCTTTCCTAAGCCTGCTTTCTCATCTGTAAAGTGAGCATAATTACATCCCATGAGGTTGTTATAATTGGCAATTATATATAGTATATGAAAAGTAGCTACTAGGGTGGTTATTATTATTCAGATACATTATAGGTTAAATAATGCCTATTTATATTTAGACCCTATGAGGTGGTTACTCTGTTATATAGTTATATGCTATTTTGTAGTTTAAAAATATTTTAAAATACATTATCTCATTTATTAATAATTCTCACACTCTTAGAGCTAACTCTTGGCCTCCACTAACTAGTGAGGAAACTAAAGCTCTGGGAAGTGAAGTGACTTGTCCAATGTCTCATTACTAGAAAGGGACAGAACCGGGAGGAAAATCAGGTTTTGTAGTTGCAAATTCAATACCTAAAAAAAATTCTTATAAGGAAGTGTATAAAAAAAAATCACAAAATCAAGCATCCAAGTGGCTTGGATTTTTTCTTTCAATTGCCAGGTGTACTTGGACAAAAATGTACACATTTCAATGCTACATTCTTTCTGTTAGAAAAATTTACATGAAACTGGTTGATAGCCAGTATAATATTGCTGATTTAAAGTTACATATCTATTATTATGCAAGTGACAAAAAACATATCATAAGCAAAAATTGCGTATAAATGAAAATTCACATTTTAATAGTTTGTATACCTGAAGATTTACACCTTGGGAGTCAACATGGTATTGGGGCACGTACATGGGAATCGGAGTCAAAGAGCTCTAGGGTCAAGTAGCAGTTTGTGAGCCTTGTGTCTTTGCACTAGTTAGTTACCCGTGTGAGCCTGATACTACAATATGGGGTTGTTTCGAAGACCACATGAGCTAAGATACGTTAAATACCTGGCACAGTGCATATGCACAAATACTAGTTTCTCTGTCCTCATTTAATCCATTAATTTCCAATTCACTGGCAGCCTTTGAGGATGGGAGACATTAAGGTGGTTTTAATCATGTTAAGTAATGTTACATAATAGCTTTACCTCTCTACCTACTTCTGCCCAAATTTCCCTTGAAAGGCTCCAGGGATGTCTTGAGACTGTATGAACAAAGTAGAAACTTCCTTCTGCTTGAATAAGATTTCTTGCAGCTATTTAAAAGACTGGAAGAAGGCTGTTCCATTTATCTATTACATGACGAATTATAAAAAATTACAAAAATTATTTTATTTGTATGGGGTCAGAATTCTGTGGGGTCAGAAACTCAGGCAGTGCTTGGTTAAGTGATATTTTTGCTCCACATGGTATTAACTGGGGTCGCTTGGTGGCATTTAGCTTGTAGCATGGATGGTCTGGAGTTCAAGAAGGCTTCATTTATATTTCTGTCATCTTGATGGGGACAGTTGGAAGATGGTGCAGCTGAGCCCCTCTCCCACCCAATGTAGTCTCAGGGCCTCTCTACATGGTTTTTCCAGCAGGGTAGATGAACTTTTTACATGGATCTAAGAGACAGTGAGTGGAACTGCCTGTCTCGTATAGCCTGGACCCAGAAGTTGGCAAAGCGTCACTTCTGCCATATTCATTGGTCACAGCAGTCACAGAACCCTCCCAAATTCAAGAGGGAGGTCTACAGATCCCACCTTTCACGCAATGAGTGGCAGATAATTTTCAGTCATCTTTAATCTGTTATGACAGCACATGCTTGAAGACACAGGTCAAAAGAGCACAGTGCAGACCTTTATGAAGCACCTTTCTGTGACAGATACTTTGCTAGAATAGCTAATGACTTCTAGATCTGCAGCTGAAGAAGTTTCGATGAACCTTCCGTCTCCATTACTTGGGTGAAAGTGGACCTGGAATCCTCCAGCTGCTTCCATTATACTTTCATTTCTGCTATCCCTGATCTTGTGGAGTCAAGAGATATAATCTGTTACTCACGCATTACTCAAATCTCTACACAAGTCACCACTTATGGGAAAACTACCCTAGTCAAAACAGGAATAGCCAGCTTGTTCTCCATCTGCAGGGCAGGCATGTATTATTTGTCTTTAAAACTTTCCCCAAACTCAGAAAAAAGAGTTGTTACACGCAAAAAATTCAGAAGACAGTCTTCAGTAAATTGCAATTTTGTTAAATTAAAAAAAAATAGGATGTGTGCTCTTTAGGTAACAGTGTTTAGACTTTATAGTTTTCAATAAAATTTAATTTCTTAGTTGTTGCAACTAGAGGTACCTCAGATGCTGGGTGTGTTGCTAATCCTTTTTAACAAGTTAGTTGTTGGTTTCAGTGACACTGGAGGGTAGTAAATAGCAGCCAAAGTTAATTATATCGTAGGTTAATTATATGTGTTAACTATAGCTAATTATATTATACTACACTTTAAAACCTAGAGGGTTGGTGTTAATTCATAATAGGGCTTGCCTATTATGCATAACACTAGAGAAGCATAGCATTTCTAGTGAATCTTTTTTTTTTTTAAGACAGAGTCTTGCTCTGTTGCCCAGGCTGGAGTGCAGTGGCACCATCTTGGCTCACTGCAACCTCTGCCTCCTGGGTTCAAGCGATCCTCCTGCTCAGCCTCCCCAGTAGCTGGGATTATAGGCACCTGCCACCATGCCCAGCTAAGTTTTGTATTTTTAGTAGAGCTGGGGTTTCACCATGTTGGCCATGGTGGTCTCGAACTCCCGACCTCAGGTGATCCACCCAGCTCGGCCTCCCAAAGTGCTGGGATTACAGGTGTCAGCCACTGCGCCCGGCCTCTAGTAAATCTTTTTGTTTTGATGTGAATAAATAGAAAGCTTATAAAAAATAAAGCATTCAACCACTTCCCTTTCTATAGTCAAAGTTCAAACGCCAGAAAAGCCGAAATAGGTGATACAAAGTCATCCTTTAGTATAAGCAGTAGTATGTTTTGAGAAAATCCTAAACTCCACTCATTGTCTTACTTACAAGTGCACCGAAATATTATTGCCTGTAAATGACATTGCGGTTTTACTGGTCAGGAAAATGAATGATATAAATTTTTAATTCTAACCTAAAACCTGCGTTAGTACTAACCTGAGGAAATAACATGGTTGTTTGTAAGCTAATCAAGAGCCCTTAAACTCCATTACATAAATGATACACTTACCCTTTGTATTAAGGGACTAACGGCTTCGCTTTTCAACAAAGCTGGATCTTCTGGCACACGCTCAGAAGATAGCCAGTACTTCAGAGACAGATTGCTTTGAGGGCACTGGAACCGCTGAGGGGCAGAGTAATCCTAATGAGAAAGAAAAAAGAGGACGCCTCTGGAGTTAAAATAAGACAATGCATCTGTGGAGAACACGGTGACTGAAGACTGGCAGAATTCTCAATATCTCAGGCCACTATACACTGCGCAGTTTTCATTTGTATTTTGGAGGTGCTCTAGAAAACTTAG
The DNA here is from genome assembly GCF_000001405.40 of Homo sapiens. Taxonomy (NCBI): domain Eukaryota; kingdom Metazoa; phylum Chordata; class Mammalia; order Primates; family Hominidae; genus Homo; species Homo sapiens. The sequence goes on from NC_000014.9 coordinate 55,578,897, forward strand.
AAATGATTAGAATAAAAAGTATGGATACTTTTAACCAGCCCATGTACAGGAAATTCTGTTGGTGTAGAAACGGTTCTGCTGTTCATTCCTTAACTGCTTCTGTTCCCACTTTGTCAGATGTAGGGCGAGGTGGTGGTGGTGAGTCCTAATTTTTTCTATCTCTATCCACAGTCTGGAATCGTTAGGATTATTTTAAGCCTTCATAACATTTGCGGACAGCTTGGAGTGTTTTGTACATGTAGTGGGGCAGTGCCTGGCCTCCTGTGAGAGATTGATCATCGGTAAACAATCCACACGAAACTCACTTGCCAGTGGACGGGGAGGATCGCTGCCATCCTTTCAGCAAAGAGCAAACGAATAAGGAGAGATCCGGGCCCATCCCTCCTCGCGCAGCAGTTTCTAGATTTTTACCCCGGCTTCATAAATGGCTACCAGCTGGCAGTCACAACACTTTCATAATGTTTGCACACAACTCATTTGGGTCGCTTTCTTTTCTTTCCTTTTTTTTTTTTTTTTTTTGAGAGAAACGGAGAGTCTTACTCTCTCGCCCAGGCTGGAGTGCAGTGGCGAGATCTCGGCTCACTGCAACCTCCGCCTCCTAGATTCCTGCGATTCTCCTGTCTCAGCTTCCCAAGTAGCTGGGGCTACAGGCGTGCGCCACTATGCCCAGCTAATTTTTTGTACTTTTTTTGGCAGAGACGGGTTTTACTATATGTTGGCCAGGCTGGTCTCGAACTCCTGACCTCAGGTGATCCGCCTGCCTTGGCCTCCCAAAGTACTGGGGTTACAGGCGTGAACCACCGCGCCCGACCATTATTTGGGTCGCTTTCTAATTTCTTTCTCCGTTTGTAGCTAGCGTTGCCCGAAGGAGATTTCAGAGAGATCCCCTGGAGAAAGGGACGGGGGATGTCGTTTTCCAGTAATTTCTGGGGGAAATCTGGGATAGTCAGGGGGTAAATCTAGTGCCGTTTGCTGAAGTTAAAAGGCGTGGGGAGCCAGGTGGTGCCCTGGAGGGAGGGCCGCGCGAGACGAGACCAACCTTCGGGACAGGGGAGAGCGGGGCTACTGAACGCAGGGGATTCCGCTGAGCCTCCAGCCCCTGAGCGTCCACCTTCGGCCCAGCTGGGGGACGCGGTCTCGGGAAGAAAGCCCGGAATCCCGAGCCGGCCAGCCGCGAGCAGCGAGTACCGGAGCGCGTGGGCAGGCGCGCGGAGGCAGAGGCGGGCCGGCGGCTGTCCCTTTAAGGGGCCGGTCTCCCGGCGCCGCCGGCCCAGACGCCAGGACGTGCCGGGTCCGCCCCGCCCCGCCCCGAAGCCGCCCGTTTCCTGCCGAGCGGCGCGACGGCACCTGAGCGACTGCGGCGGCGGCGGCGGCGGCGGCGGCGCCTCGGAGCGGGCGGCCCGGGCTGTAGTGCCGGCGCCGCCGCGTCTTCCCGGTCTCCTTTCCCGGCCGCACAGGGTGAGGGAGAGCAGGCCGCACCGGGACGGGCGCCGGCGGCGGGGAGCGCGGGGGGAGGCGGCGCCGGCCGCGGGGTCCTGGGGCAGGCGGGAGGGCCGCGCCGGGCGGGGGGGCGCGGCCGCGGGGCCCGGACGCCGCCCGCTGGGTAGGCCTCGGGCATCCGGTTGCCGCCGCGGGGCTCTTGTTGGGGCCGGGACGCCGCAGGGGGCGGGCTCGGAGGGACCTCCTCGGCCTCGCGGGGCCGCTCTGGGCCCGACCCCGGCTCTGTCGCGGCACCCGGGGCGCGGCCGAGGGACACCCCCCACCCTCCCCAAGGACGACTCTCCCGAAGGCGAGGTCGACCCGAGCGGGCCCTGGGGTGACCGAGGCACCTATTTTTAGCCAAGCCTGAGGGCCCCCGGGAGGGAAGGCGGATTACCGCCTCCTCGGCCGGTGGACGGAGGCAGCGCGTCTCCGGCGGCGTCCCCGGGCCGGAGCTGGGCCACACTTACGCCATGCTGGAGTTCCAGTCCTCGCCGCTGCCTCCGGCGGTCTGGGCGCTCGCCCCCTTCCCCGGCGCCCCTCCCGCTGCCCTTTGCGAGTCCCCAGGTCAGGGCGGGAGGCGGTTGGGCACGGAAAGCAGCATGAGGGGGGACTTTGGAAAAATCCATGGACCACTCTCGACACCGGCGAAGTTATCCCTTCCTGTCCCCGAGGGGTGTGTCCTAGCGATTCGGCCTGACCCCTTCAGTTTCCAAAAGTGAGATTTTTGGCCTTGGGGACCTCGCCGGAAAACTACGCGGGAAGTCTAGAGAAGTCGTCTGGCTCTCAGCCATACGTCTGGTGTGGGATGTGCAGCCCCGCATGCTGGCGGTGAAGGCGCTGGGTGCACTAGATGTGGGCAGCCCCGGACGCGGGCAGCGGCGTCCCAGCCGGCCCCAGTTGCACCTTGACTAGGTTAGGTTGAAAGTAAGCTGTTCAGTGTTGGCCCTTCTTTCCTGTGGGAGGAAGGAGGAATCTAAATTCAGAACTGTGTTGGCAAACGGATTCCTTAGCCGCTATTTAAGTTAGTAGTGCTTAAAGAGCTACGGTTGAAGTTAACTGTTAAGGTGTGTGTGTGTGTGTGAGTGTGTGTGTGTGATGACTTTGTGGAAAGCCTTGAGTAAAGAGCTACGGTTGAAGTTAACTGTTAAGGTGTGTGTGTGTGTGATGACTTTGTGGAAAGCCTTGAGAAATGTAGACACTCATGGCCAGCCCAGCTAAAGATAAGCATCTTCGGTGAACTAAAGGTTCTGAATTGTATAGGAGTTGACTTAAAGTTAGAATTTTTGCTAAATTAGGTTGCATTTGTTTTCCTTAGCTTACCTAGCAGGCTAATGGCAACAGTGTCTCCAGTTTGGTCCGAAGCAATTGCTGGTGAGACTTGGGATAATGATCCCAAGCTGGTGAGACTTGGGATAATGATCCCAAGAATAACACTAAATTACTCTTGAGTATTTTGGGTAGACATGCCTTGCAGTAGACTTTCATATTTGATGTGCTGCCTGATAAAAAAGGCTCTTTTTTTTTTTCCTTTTTCCTTTTTTTTTAGTTTAAGGATCTAACCTGAAATAGCTGGGTCTGTTCATGAGTTTCCCTCCCACCCCAACATTGAGTTTCAAATGTCTCTTCTAATTTTGTAGCCTTCATCAGACATAACAATACCTTATCAAGTGAGCTTAGAGAATAAGGTGTTCTACTTGATTTACTTGAGGCTGATAATGAATTTGAAAATATAACAAGATCTATTGAAAAATTTTCTTAATACTTGAAAATTATAAAGAATATCAAGTATTTAACTCTTAATGATTCAGCGTCAGCATTATGAAGAGACATTTACGATTTTGTTTCCAATTTAGATCTTTCTGTATTCTTTTAATACCAGTAGTCTCTTCTGTTTGATGTTGTGTTTGTCCCTAAAAATGCCTCACTTCAGTCTCCCTTCTAGTTTATAGGCTTTAATCTGCTTTTGGTAGGGAGATCGTTTTAATAATTATATTTTTAATATCAGTCAATATGGCTTTTTAAAAGAGCCTAAGACGTGAAAACCTTTTTGAGACTTCTAAAGAACCCATATTAAGATTGTCACTGTTCTTAAGTTCTTAACTTGAATGTTAAGTTATGGTTAAAAGTTCTTAATCAGCCTGTCATGGTTAAGATGACACGTAGAATACTGAATCATAATTGTTTTTTTAAAAGTTGAATGTGTCTTATACATTTCCTATGTGTAAGTTAATTTCTTAACTTGAATGGAACATGTGTTTTTAATTGTATGCCTATAATTTTTATAGCAAATGAAGTTTTAACCTGAAAGATCTCCAATACTTTGTTAAAATATTAAATTGTTAATGAACTTAAGTGGTTCTAGGAAGGTTTTGGTTCTCTTGGGAATCTGACCTAATATGTAATAAGGAAATGAGAAAAATCGTGCTTTGCAAGATCGTTCATATATTTGAGAATACACCTTATGACCTGCTTGTTCTCTGTACTGTTTTTAGTGACTTTGAAGGTAAATCCAGAGTATACTTAGAGGATACAAGCAAGTAACTATTTCTCTAGAAGTGACATTGGTGATCACTCATGCTCAAAGAGAATTGCATTTCATTGCTTCCTCTTTCAGTTCCTGTGAACATGACTTTGTCCCAATCAAAAAATGTAATTTATTTTCAAATCACTGGGAAAATATTGGTCTAGATGAGAATATAAGCCTTTTTCCCTCCTCTATAAATAGAAAATTAAACATTAAGGGGAAGAACCTTATGTGCTGTGAACTAAGGGGTTTAATTTAACCTTCTGTATCTGAGGTCTAGAGAAAGAGAAATAATGACAGTTTACAACTGTGTGCCGAGCTGTTGTGCTTAAATGTGTTTTTGACAGAGGTGGCAGTGAAAACTAGGCTATTTTTCTTTTTTAAAAAATGGTACAAGCTTTTAATTGGTTTTATGTAAAAGAAAATAGGCAAGATATACTTTTAATTCTAACAATAGTTTTAGTAGATACTCTGATAGGAAATATAATATTCCTCGGAAATGTAGAAGACATACCCTAAAAAAAGTTATGATTTAGTATTTTACGAATCGTCCTAGCTACTACAGGGAGATTAAGAACTCTTCCGTAACTTAAATCTGGTTTCAGCAAAGTGATTTGTACACTAAATGTAATTTGTTTGCACTCTTCTTCCAGGACATTCTGCTTTTTGGGCTTTCTCCTTCCTAATTGCTTTGTTCATTCTATCTTACATCTTCTACTCTTAAACTTGACATGCTCAGTCCTTGTTTCACTTTTCTTTTTATATTCCTCTGACAATCTTATCCAGTGTCATGGTTTTAAATACCTATATGCTGATGGCTCCCATATTTATATCTCCAACCCAGACTTTCCACATGTGCTGTTAGGCCTATCCACTTGGATGTGCAGTAGTCAACTCCAACTAAATTTCCGTATTTTTCCTCAAACATGTTTGATGTTTGATGTTTCCATCAAACATTCAGGTAAAAAAACGTTGGAGTCATCCCTGACTTATTTCTTTCACACTTGGCATTCTGTGCTCTGTCTTATCTTGAAAATATAACCAGAATCCAATCAGTACTTACTGCTTCCACTGCTCACCAGCCTGGTGCAAGCCATTCTTATCTCTTACCTAGATTTCTGCAATTAGCCTCCTAACTGATCTCCCTGCCTCTGCCCTAACTCCCTGCAGTCTTTCCAACACAACAACTGGATCATATTACTTATCTTCTCAGAATGCTACAGTGACTTTCTCTATGCACAGTGAAAGCTGAAGTTCTTATGTCCTTAAGGCCATGCAGAATCTGGACACTTCCACTCTCCTCATTCCCCCTTACCTCTAAGGTTAGCTACTATCATCCCTCTGCTTACTTCTCTCTGGCTCCAATGGTTTTCCTAAGGGCAGCTACATATCAGACACTGCCCTAAACGCTTAGGCTCCATCAATAAACAAAACAGACGAAAAGCTCTGCCCTGATAGAAGTTGTGTAATAGTGTATGTTTGAGGGCAAGGGGAAGAGATAATAAACACAATCAATGAGGAAATTATATACTGTTTACTTCTCCTGGCAAGAAGGTGACAAGTGCCATGGAGGAAACAGAGCTGTTTTTTACACTGGCTGTTACCCTGTAGATACATGCATGGCTTGTTGTCTCCGTCCAGTCTTTGCTTTTTAAATGTCAGTTTCTTAAAAAGATGTGCCTATTTTATTTAAAACTGCACTCCCCTACGTCTGATTCTTGTACCTTGCTCCGTTTTCTTTATAGCATTTGTCACCTTCTGTCATACTATATAATTTCCTGGTTGTGTTTATTGTCTCTTCCACATAACCCTCAAACACAGTATTACATAGCTTCTATGAGGGTAGGCTTTTTGTCTGTTTTATTGATGACTCTTTAAGAGTTCAGAGCAGTGTCTAGCACATAGCAGGTCCTCAATAAGAATTTGTTGAACACAATAATTAAATCCTGGCTGGGTGTGATGACCCACATCTGTAATGCCAGCACTTTGGGAGGCCAAGGTGTGTGGATTGCTTGAGCCCAGCAGTTTGGGACCAGCCTGGGCAACGTGGCAAAACCCCATCTTTAAAAAGAATATAAAAATAGCCAGGCATGGTAGCGTGTGCCTGTGGTCCCGGCTTCTTGGGAGGCTGAGGTGGGAGGATTGCTTGAGCCAGGGAGGTGGAGGTTGCAGTGAGCTGAGATGGTGCGACTGCACTCCAGCCTGGGTGACAGAGTGAGACTGTGTCTCAAAAAAAAAAAAAAAAAAAAAAAAATCTCACATTCCTTCCTTTGATGGATAACTCATTATTGGATACATGTAGTTTTCAGTTTGCTCCTTTCCTCTTTCAGGGATGGTCAGAGAGTGGAAGAAAGTGGCATGGAGCCTTTGGGAGCTGCTTGGTGGAAGGAATGATGTTAGAGTGTGGTGGAGACCCTCTTACATACTCCACATGATTAGGACCATTTGTTAGTTAATTCAAAAAGTTGGTTAAAGCAAGGAATCAAAATATATGTGCACCTTAAATGTTTTCACTTAAAATATTTGATTTTACTTTTATTTGCCTTTTTATTTTTACTGATTTCTTTTCTTAAAATAAAGGTTATCCTGATTTTCCTTTCATAGATTGTACTCTAAAAGCATTATCTATGATTTCTAGTATTGGTTTCTTTAAAGTGGAATGAAAAGATAGGCACTGGGAAACTCTCCAAGTACAAAATCTTTATAGATTTTTCCAGTTATTCATCAAGGCCTTCCAAAGGATTTAATGTCATTTTTATAGAAATAACACCTTTTGACTCTATTTTCATGTTTGATAGATATATAGAAATAAGTGAGTAGGAGAGTAATTGCTAGCCAGAAACAGCTTTCTGAAGACACCAGCCCATGTATTTTTACAAAGGAGGAGAATGTCAGTTAATCCAGTGAGAGATCCTGTAAGACAGCTTCCACTTTGAATAGGTTCCATAGGGGCCGTAGGATCATAGCAGCCTATAATTACTAGAAGAGAATGTTATTTACCCTTATTTCTTTATTTTGACTCTGAGTAACATCTACAATTAGTTTTCAGAACTTATGTGAATTCAAGTAAGTGTACATTGTCTATCAGGAGACATGATGTTACACTGCATTTTCGCTGGAAAATGTGGGACAATTATTATTCTTATGCATGAGTCATTGAGTTGTTAAGGAAACAATCTGGTCTGGTATAATAAGCTGGAAGTCACTAGTTAGGAGACCTACAGGTCTTAGACCTTATTAACTCTAAGGTTTTATGCAAGTTCTTTATTGTCCAGTTCTTTAATTACATAATGTTCTGTGGGGTAGTGGAAACAGCTTGGGCACTAGGGAGCCTGAAGACCTTGGGCTTGAATTTAGTTTTGCTAGTCAGTACCACTTACTGCATGTGTGATCTTAACCTATATTAACCTGCCTAAGGCTCATTAAGGAATTATCTTACCTCAGTAGTTGCCTCATAAGTGATAGCTAACATTGGAGTACATATTTGCTGTCAAACTCTAAATGCTTTAGGTGCATTATCATATCATATCATATTTAATCTTCTCAACAACCTTATGAGGTAGGTACTATTTGGTGAAAACTAGGGAGACAAATAATTTGTTCAAAGACACAAATATCTTTAGGAGGAGCCTGAATTTTAACTGAGGCATTCTGACTTAGAGCCCATTCTTACCCGTTGAGCTGTTTTATAAGAATGCTTTCTGAAGAAAACAAAACGCTGTCCATGTGCAGCTGTCTAATGTTAGGCATTACAAAGCTAAATTAAGGTTATAAGGATCCCCCTCCCCCCCATAGGAATTAGAAGATTAATTCTTAAAACTAGTGATTTAAATTTAAAGACTTGAAGTTTTTCAAGTGGAGAAAACAGTAAAAGCTACTTAAACCACATGCTATAAAATGTTTTAGTTATATGGAAAGCAGTAGATAGAATGTCGTCCTTTTGTTTCCAAGAAACTTTTCTGTTTCATTTCCTGCATATGTTCATTATAAGTTACTCTTGTGTGATCTTATAGACATTTCTTAATGGTTACCTCGAAAACGCCAACTCTGACCCTACCTAAAAATGCATACCCTCCCTATTCTTTGTCACAGCCTTATTTTTATTCATTGCATTATCAGTCACAACCTGATGTTATAATACGCTTATTTCTTTCTTGGTATCTGCCTCACCTACAAGAATATAAATAATGTGAGGCAGGGACTGTCTTGTTCATCGCTGTGAACTATATGTCTGACACCTAGCTAGTGCTCAATTTGAATGAATGGATGGTCTGATGCTTGAAAATGATTGGGACTCATTGAGTCTTTTGCTTTACTTGCCATCCTTTATTAGCATGGCTAACTGAGTGGTATTTGGTATGCCATATAAAGTGAAACTCTAAGAATAAGGGTTTTAGGTTTACTCTTGGGAGAGTGGAATGGAAAACAATTTGAAACATGAATTTCAGCAAAATGGGTGTGCTTAGTCCCAGTTAATCTTGTTCATCAGTAATGTAAGTGTTCTGAGTGGAATCTGTACATAAATAATTTAGTGAATGCTTGTGTTTAGATCTAATTACCTTTTGAAATAAATTTGGACAAGCTAAGCTGTGCACTGAAAACTCCCTAGTGTTCTGAATGCTATGTTGCAGAACGTTGAAGATGTTGCCTTAAATCTGTAATATCCACACAGGTTGAATTCACTTACGTGCCACCAACCTGTACTTGCCTACTTTATTGGGAAGTCATGTTCATTTGAAATGTTTCCGTAATTACTTTACGTAGTTTTCATAATCTGGGTCTCTTGAGGTTGGCTGAATGTCATGATTTCTGTAAAGGGAATTCCTCAAGCTTGTATTTAGTGCTCTTATTTCTGGGTACAGTTTCAGGTGCTGTGCTGGATAATCTTTGTGCTTGGTACTCTATTGCTGGAGAATCATTTCTTAAATAGCTTCCAGTTTGACTAGATGTTTGCTGTAATTTTAAGTTTAAATTGAATCCTTTTGTAAAAGTGGCTTAATTCTTTCACTCTTTTTTTTCTTTTAGTCTAAATAATTGGATTTAGTTTTAACTTGAAGTATTTCTGAGCTTGAAAATTCTGGAGCACTTTTCAAGTAAAAAATACAGCTGACCTTTGGACAATGTGGGAATTAGGGGCACTAGCACCCTGTACAGTCAGAAATGTTTGTATAACTTTTGACTCTCCAGAAACTTAACTACTAGTACCCTACTTTTGACTGGAAACCTTACCAATTACATAAATAGTCAATTAACATGTATATTGTACGTTATATGTATTATATACTGTATTCTTATAATAAAGCTAAAGAAAAGAAAATGCTACTAAGAAAATCATAAGAGACTGTGTATTTACAATACTGTACTGTTTATTGATACCATAAGTTTATATCATCTGTAAGATGAATCATCTGTCTGAAACAGTGAGCAACTGTAACTGCAGACCTCAGTCTAAGTACATATCAAGTAATTCAACTTTTCCTTGTCATGACTTTTCTCTGCTTCTCGGGAGCACTTCCAGCATTACTAGTGGCACTTGGCATGGGTCTCATGGTGTTATTCAGGGTTTACAGTGTTGTGCTAAAAATGATGAAAAATATGCGAGAACTATGATCACTTTTTACTGTGATACTGTTACTGGAAGGACAGAATGCTCATGTGGAGATAATTAGAGTCATGGATAGGAGTCAGGGATACTTCAGACACTTGAGCTCACAGTAATACCAACAGGAGGTGGCCACAAAATTATTACAGTGGTACAGTATGTACTGCAGTTAATTTTATGCAGTTGTGATTTGGTACTGTATCTTGACCTTTGTTTACATTTCCATCTATTGCAAATGGCACCATGTACAGTAACCATATAGGGTCTGGTTTGTGTAAGTTTTGATAAATTTTAACTTTATTATTTGTGTATATTTTATGGTAGTAAATTATGAAATAGACTGGGATCTACATATATTTTATGCATTCATGACATTTTTCTTAATTTTTTTCAATATTTCTAGGCTGTGGTTTCCCTGTGAGTTTTTTTCATATTGTTGCAGTCTCCAAAAAATTTTCCAATATAGTTACCGAAAAAAAAATCTGCATGAAGTGGACCCACACAGTTTAAACCCATAGTGTTCAAAGGTCAGTTATACATTCAAGATTAGCCTTGGAATTATACATAAAATACAGCCGAGGCATTTACCTTGTCTGAGGTTTTGGGGAGAAAAGAAGTAATTCATAAATATAAGTTAGTTGTAAAGTGATGAAAGCCGAATTTTTGTCTGCTCTTTTAGGATTAATTACCTGGCATAAATTGGTAGTTATATTTCATATCCTTTCAGTGTTATGTAACCTTCATTTAAGCAGAAAGTCCTGGCAGCATTCAAAATAACATACTACTTTTGGTATAAAGAGATTCTTTTTTTTGAAACGGCGTCTCGCTCTGTCACCCAGGCTGGAGTGCAGTGGTACAATCTTGGCTCACTGCAACCTCTGACTCACTGCAACCTCTGCCTCCTGGGCTCAAGCGATTCTACTGCCTCCTGAGTAGCTGGGATTACAGGCACCTGCCACCAAATCTCGCTAATATTTGTATTTTTAGTAGAGATGGGGTTTCATCTTGTTGGCCAAGCTGGTCTCGAACTCCTGAAATCAAGTGATCCACCTGCCTTAGCCTCCCAAAGTGCTGAGATTACAGGCATGAGCCACCATGCTGGGCCAGAGATTCTTTAATTATTATTCTTGGTTACTATATTCATCTGATTTCTTTTTTTTTTTTTTTTTTTTGAGATGGAGTGTCTCTCTGTCGCCCAGGCTGGAGTGCAGTGGCACGATCTCTGCTCACTGCAACCTCCGCCTCCCAGGTTCAAGTGATTCTCCTGCCTCAACCTCTTGAGTAGCTGGGACTACAGGCATGCATCACCACGCCCAGCTAATTTTTGTATTTTTAGTAGAAACGGGGTTTCACCATGTTGGCCAGGATGGTCTCGATCTCTTGACCTTGTGATCTGCCCACCTCAGCCTCCTAAAGTGCTGGGATTACAGGTGTGAGCCACTGCACCCAGCCTTATTTATCTGATTTCTTAAGGTAGCTTTGTAATAAGTAAAAACAAAACAAAACAAAAAAAACCACACATACAAACCTAGATATTTTCTGTAAACATTTTTAATAGATTTCTTATTTTAAAGGACTTTTCTTTTTGGGGAAAATTTCTTCCAAAGTAGGAATAACTTTCTACAATTATTCAGTGCTTTTATTGTAATTGTATAAGTTAAGAAGCAGGGAAGCTTATGCCTGTTTGCTTGTTTGTTTTGATTTACATTTATCTCTTCCTACTTGTCTTTTTATTGTTTTATTGAAAGTTGAAACCACTATTAAATGATTCAGACATATAAGAATGTATAATGTATATGTACAGTTTAAAGATTAAATATAAAATGAACATCTGTGTACTGAACACCTGTGTACCTTTCTCTCAGCTTTAAATTTTTTCTTTTAAAATAAAATACGTATGAGATAATATTTTAAGAGTACGTGTAAGATATAAAGACATAATGAACAGCCTTGTATCTAATACCCAGTTTGAGAACATAATCCTTTTTATTTCTTTATGTCCCTTCCCACACTCTAACCACTACCTTTCTTACCTTTGCTTTTCTTTTAGTTTTGCCAGATCTAGTTGTATCCCTATTTTGTTGTTTTGTTGGTTTTTGAACTCTAAATGGAATCCTTCTGTATGAGTTTATTTGTAACTTCCTGTTTCCCCTCAACCTTGTTATCAGGATATTCTTTTTTTTTTTTTTGAGATGGAGTCTCGCTCTGTTGCCCAGGCTGGAGTGCAGTGGCGCGATCTTGGCTGACTGCAACCGCTGCCTCCTAGGTTCAAGCGATTTTCCTGCATCAGCCTCTTGAGTAGCTGGGATTACAGGCATGCACCACCACGTCCAGCTAATTTTTATATTTTTAGTAGAGACGGGGTTTCACCATGTTGGCAAGGCTGGTCTCGATCTCCTGACCTTGTGATCCACCCGCCTTGGCCTCCCAAAGTGCTGGGATTACAGGCATGAGCCACCATGCCCGGCCCAGGATATTCTTTCACCATGTTGTATGTAGCTCTAACTCATTTGGCTACTTCATGTATGAATATTTTACAACCTGTTTCCTGTTGGACATTGGGTTTCTAGGTATTTTTGTTGTTAGTATACACAGTGCTGCTATGAACACCTTGAATAGCATAGGTCTATTTGTTGCACTTGTGTCTCTAGGATAGTGTTTTTTTTCAAACTTTTTGTTACCACTCACAATAAGAAACACATTTTAAATTATGACTCAGTATATTATCAGGTATACTATTCCATGCTGTTCTGTTTCATTAAAACTAAAAACGCTAGTCAAGACCTAAGTTTTATGCTAATCGCTAGTGAGTTGAGACTAGAGTGTAGATAGTTTTGGGGCTTATGACTAGCTAGAAATAGAATTGCTGGATTGTAGGAGACAAGACATTTTCAACTTTACTAGTTAGTGTAAATTGTTTTCTTTCCAATATAAATGTGCCAGTTTATTCCTGTCACCAGTGTATATGTGTGATGGCTCCACATTCTTCCCTATACATGATAATGGCAAAAACCAGTTAGCCTATTGTGTGTGAATTGATACATTGTATGTCTTGCATTTCTTTCTTTCTCTCTTTCTTTTTTTTTTTTTTTTTTTTTTTTGAGACGGAATTTTGCTCTTGTCGCCCAGGCTGGAGTGCAATGATGCGATCTCTGCTCACTGCAACCTCTGCCTCCCAGGTTCAAGCGATTCTCCTGCCTCAGCTGGGATTACAGGCATGCACCACCACACCTGGCTAATTTTGTATTTTTAGTAGAGATAGGGTTTCTCCATGTTGCTCAGGCTGGTCTCGGACTCCCGACCTCAGGTGATCCGCCCGCCTCGGCCACCCAAAATGCTGTGATTACAGGCGTGAGCCACTGCACCTGGCCTTGCATTTCTGATTAATGAGAGAAAACATATTTTCAGAGTTTGCTGGGCACTAGTTTCCTTTTCTCTGAAATGACTGTTCATTTTTCTGTTGGGTTTATCTTTTTGGGTGGCAAGATTTCTTCATATGTTCTGAATACTAATTATTTGCCAATTATGTGTTATAAATGTCTTCCTACTTTGTGGCTTGTCTTCTGACTTTCTTATGGTGTCTCTATTAAAAGTTAAAAATTTTAATGTAGTTGAATTTATCAGTGTTTTCCTTTTATAATTTGTACTTTGTGTCTAGTTTAAGAAATTCTTCTCTACCTCACGGTTATGAAGATGTTCTTGCATGTTGTCTTAAAAAGTTTTATGTTGTCTCACAGTTCTTTCCCTGGAATTGATTTTTGTTTCTTCCCCTTTATGCTGTTTTCTTTTTTCCAAGATTTCCACTGCTTACCATTTCAGTTTTTAAGGGCTAAAATGTGTTTATTTATAGATGCTTTGAAATAATACTTTGACAGTATGGAGTTGTTTCGAGGATTGCATCTACAACTTACTTTTAGAGTCATAAGAAAATAATTGCAGTTGACCCTTGAACAACATGGGTTTGAACTGCACGGGTCCACTTATACATGGAGCAGGATGGTGAAACCTGAGTAGATGGGCTATGGGACTTGACTATGGGAGATTTTGGTGTACCTGTGTGTGTCCTTAAACCAATTTTTGGCGCATACTGAGGGATGACTGTATGTAGGAGTGTTTTGAAAAAGAAACTTTGGATAGTTATTCAATAAACTTTGAAGTCCCTCCTCCAGTCCCTATTTGACATCCTAAGTGTTTTGTAAATATTTCACAGTGATGCCAGTGTTTGCATGTGGTTTTCTTAAATTGTTTTGCACATATATTGTGAAGTAGATCTTTGTGCTTGGTATTTTGAATATGTATGGACAAACTTCTATGTATACAGCTTGTACTTAGAGTATACTTACAGTATGAGGAATCAAATCTTTAATTTTGAAAAATTCTCACCTCTTTAAATATTGCTTCTTTTATTTTCACTTTTCTCTTTTGCTAGACCTGTCTTGGAGGCTAAGTTTATCCCGTGTTTTTAATTGTTCTATCATTTTTTTCTCTTTTCTGTGCTTCATACTAGGTGAATTCATTACTGTCTAGCAATTTACCATTTTATTTTTCTATTTTGTCTAGAGTGTATTGTATCTGTTGAGTCTATATGCCAGTATCTATAATTTTCATATTTTAAATTTGGAATTGCTTTTTCATAATCACCTGTTTCAATTCTCTTTGTTTGGCAACCCTTTTGCTACTTAGAAAACCTCTATCTCCTTCTTTAACATGTTCAAATTTAAAAATCTTTGTCAGACCATTTCATAAAACATCTGGTGTGAATTCGTGTTTTTATATGATTGTTTTTTCTCATTAAATTTCTTGCTATGTTTTGGATTAAAAAAACTGGTTTTAATGTTGGACAGACTCATTATTTTGACAACTCTTGCATTCAAATCAAAACTCTGAAATTTAATCTTATTTTTGAATTTACTAATTGATCAGAAATAGACACCCCCCCCCCAAAAAAAAAAAAAGAAAACTTGTTAAACACTGTGAGGGTACTATCAACAAAATTCACACTGGGAAACGCGCTAGGACTAGCTGCTTGGTTTTTTTTCCCTTCCCAACTAAAAGTTCTAAGAATTGTAAGAAACTGAAAAATAAAGAGATAGGTATAGTACGTGAAAGGAGACAAGAAATATACCAGTCAAGGAATAACAAAATACTTGCAAAGCACTTGGGGAACGTGAACGAACACTAGCTTTGCATTAAGGAATTACTAATTTTTAATTTGCTATGACATTGGATGTTTTGTTGTCTTTTTTTTTTCTCCAGGCTTGGAGCTTCTGTAAAGTTATAGCTCTGGATTTGCAGTGTCATTGTTTTTCTCCCCTCTCCTCCCCTCTCTTTTTTTACCTTTTTATTTTTTTGAAACCTCTCTTTTTACAAGCTGTGCAAATCTTGACCCCTTGGTGTCAGGCGATGAACCTTGTTCTGTTTTGTTGCTGTTACCTTTAGGAACTGAACTATCCAGCCATCTTCCTGGTTCCTTCTTCCCTCTACTGCACTTAAGATATGGGTTACTGTTTTGAATTTTTATTGCATTTCTCACCCAGTACGATGTTTATCTTAGTTTTGAGTTTAGCCATATCTTTTAAATTTCCTTTTATATTCGTGCAAAAGGTTGGTGCAAAAGTAATATTTCACACTATTACTAAGTATTTGGAGGAGGATCCTTATTGGAAGTCGTTATCTTCATTTCTACCTATCTTAGGCTTACTTGTTTTTTGAATCCCAGCTTATGTATCCTGAGTAGTATTCACAGTGTATCCTGAGTGCTCTAGTTCAGTGATCTGTTCCCTTCCTTTGCACAAATCTTTTAATCTTGTTGAATATTATTCAGCTCTACAGAACACATCTGATATTAGCATCACACTAATTTATGATTATATAATAATTAGTTAGACTCTTTAAGCATTGAAATGTGATTCTTGCTTTTGCTGCTTGATCTCACTCATCCTGTGTTTCTTCGTTCTGTTTTGGAGTTGCTGTTCCCACTCAAGCAGAGTAGAGTTTTTTTTTTTTTTTTTTCATTTTTGAGTTTGGACTGGTATCCATTGTTGTGTGAAATATTTTTGCTTGTTGTCTCCAACTTGAAAATCAAATATCCAATGTTTTGAATTCATTCTTGAAAACCCTGCTGCTAATTTAAAAGCTATTAAATGAAAGCCTATTTCCATTAATTTTAGTAGGGAATTATGATGCGGTATTTCATCCCAAACAGTTTTCACACGTAGGTAAATATTAATCTAACAATGAAGACAAATTTGTGTAGGTATAAACAAGTTGAAAGTAAATACACTTTATACATAAAATATAATGTAGTATAATGAAGGCTAATTGTATTTGCCAAAGGAGAAAGAAGATTTGATAGTGGATGGTAGTGTAGTTGGTAGAGTGTCACTTTTTGGGAAGTCTGTTTCTTCTGTACTGTGTTTTTTCACCAATTCAAGCTTTCTGGAGTTCAGAGTTACCTTGCATTCAGTCTGCACTTAAGTTGTCTGCACAGAAAAGCACCACTAGGGCAATAACAAACACAAGTTGTTCACAACACGGGAAATAGAACACATGCAGAAAAGACGGAGTTGTAGGAGCTGGAAGCTCATTGACTTTCTTGCTCTGCATATGTACACGAAGCATATCTAGGTTCATCCAGTGTACTGTATGTACAGTATAGATCTGTTCCATATGATTTACGCTGATGGGAAATAATTACGTTGAATAAAACATTGAGTCTGAAATCATAAATGTTGAAATTTCACTCTATAGAATATTTTGTGTGTGCTTAGGTAAACAGTCACTAATACCAAAAAAGGTCATTGCTTGAAAAGTGGTAATTTTCAAGAGCCATTTTGATGAAAACCAGTTAAATGAACAGCTCATTATGTGGTTAAGTCTGTAGTAGACTTAGTAATGTGGTGTTCCAGCTTATCTGAACTAGTTGTCAGAATTTCTGCTATTCTAACCAGGTAACTCAGAGTAACACAGGATAATACAAATCTTACGTTCTGAAACCTTTAATTGGTTTGCCCTTTGTTCTCATCCTCATATTCAACACATTTGTAAACTGGCAAGATTATCTTTAATTGATTAAAATGTTAGTAAGGTCAGGCTTAGTTTTTTGGTACATTGTTAAGATACTTTCTAAACCATTAATTGTCAACTTTGGGATATTATTGTTTAACCTTTTAAATATTCTTCAATTTATGCCAGTATTCAGCCATGTTCAGGATTTATCAATCTTGTCTCCAAGGATAGCTTGTTTACTTTATTGACTGTTCTGACAAAATCAGACATTCCATAATGTGTATTGGGTTTTCCTGATTTAGTAACCCTTTTATTTAAAAAGGTATCGGAGTGATTTTTTTTAATAGTGACTGGTTTGGCGGCTGGGCGCGGTGGCTCACGCCTGTAATCCCAATACTTTGGGAGGCCGAGGTGGGCGGATCATGAGGTCAGGAGATCAAGACCATCCTGGCTAACATGGTGAAACCCCGTCTCTACCAAAAATACAAAAAAATTAGCTGGGTGTGGTGGCAGGCGCCTGTAGTCCCAGCTACTCAGGAGGCTGAAGCAGGAGAATGGTGTGAACCTGGGAGGCGGAGCTTACAGTGAGCTGAGATCGTGCCACTGCACTCCAGCATGGGCGACAGAGCAAGACTCAATAGCAAAAAAAAAAAAAAAAAA
The DNA here is from genome assembly GCF_000001405.40 of Homo sapiens. Taxonomy (NCBI): domain Eukaryota; kingdom Metazoa; phylum Chordata; class Mammalia; order Primates; family Hominidae; genus Homo; species Homo sapiens. The sequence goes on from NC_000014.9 coordinate 55,596,173, forward strand.
AGTAAAAATAAAATAAATAAATGGTTTATAGTGGATGGCTTTTGATGTGCCTATATTTTTTAGTAACATTGTCTGGATTTACCTAAAATAAATTCATCAATTTTAATTTGACTACTTTCTATTTTTAGTACATGATATTTAATAGCTTTTACTTTTTTCCCCCTAACTCTTAGGCATTTTCTAATAGTGAGGAAAGCAGAAGCCTTTCATGGAACTTGAAATGTAGGATCATGGCAGCTGTGTCTGTTGAAGGCAACATCTGTCTTTGCATGGCTGTTGAGGTGATTGTGTTGTAAACATGGATTCTAAGGATGACCATAGGATAGGAGCCTCTACTTGTGGCTATATTTTAGGTTCTGATAACTGATCATCTTTCATCCTCTTACCTCATATTTCTGTTGTCTGGAAGGCAGTCTTTGCAATCACAAATTTTGAAGGTTCATGGTGTGCTGTGTTTTAATTATGTTAATTACATAATTGACATACTTAAACCAACTTTCAGTTGGTGAAATCACAAGGACTACTTTTTCTTGGCGTTAGCTCCCTAAGGTTCTTAGTAAGATCGGGTCTCTCACTAATTTTTTGCTTAGGTTTCCTATTATTGCGAGTGATGTCAAAAGAATAGAACCTTTTTTTTTTTTTGACAAAGTTTTTTTTGCCACTGTAGACTTAAACTTTGTTAATATATCAAAGCTACACTTATTTCCAATTCAAGGTAATTATATCTGTACTTTTTGATGTTTTTTCTGTCATAGACTCTTTTTGCAGCTTCAAGAATAGAACGTTATGGTGAAGTCCATATCATGATAAAACATCCTTGATTTTGTGTTTCAGAGTACCAGTGAACACAAATAGGATTAGTATATACTGTATATATGAAGGATTATTTTGAAAAAAAAAATCCAAAGGGAAGAACTCACAAGGACCACCTATATAAAGTTATTTATGTTCAGAGAAGTAAATATTTGACAACATTGTGCGTTGGACTCTGTGTTGGGCTCCCAGATAGATGGGAGAACATGTATTTGAAAAGGGGAGTTACTCATTTGGCTTACACTTTTTGAGTAGTATAAGCTAAACTTTGTGTAATAAGTGAGTAAAAGTCTTCAGGGAATGTTTTCTTAAGCCATAGTTCTTAAGGTACAATTTCAGAGAATGATAAACACATAAGATTGTGAATGTATTAAAGCAAATGCCTCTTAATTTCAGTGAATCAGAATGAACATTTCTTAAGTTTATCGGATTCTTCATTTGTACTTGTTTTTAGATTGTGTGTAAGATTTTGCTGTTTATTCACAATTTTGCTGTTTGCGTAGATGTCGAATCTCTTTGCTGTTTCTTAAATAGCAATGATAGGAATTTCCCTGTGGAATATGAACATTAAAATTGAAATGTAGAAGGGCTGGCATGGTGGTTCATACCTGTAATCCCAGCACTTTGGGAGGCCGAGGCGGGCAGATCACTTGAGGTCAGGAGTTTGAGAACAGCCTGGCCGACATGGTGAAACCCCATCTCTACTAAAAATACAAAAATTAACAAGGCATGGTGGCGGGCACCTGTAATCTCAGCTACTTGGGAGGCTGAGGCCAGAGAATCATTTGAGCCCGGGAGGGGGAGGATGCAGTGAGCTGAGATCGTGCCACTGCATTCCAGTCTAGGCGACAGTCAGACCCTATCTCAAAAAAAAAAAGTAGAAATGTAGGTTGTAGGAATGTAGAAATTAAAATGTAGACTACAGAATAGATTGTAAGGTTTAGAAAAAAAAATTCAGGCTTTCACCATTTAATTGGTGTACTTAACTATCTGTGAAAATTTGTCCTAATTTCATATGGCTTTGTATACGGAAGCTTGGAGTAATTGAGGGGCCAGAGAGGGAAAACTCTTTGCTAGCACTCTTCTTTGTGCATTCCTGAAAAGTTTATTAGAGAAAAGCAAAGGTCAGCTGTAATCCCTAGTGAAATAATAAGAATATTGCTTTCTCGGCAGGGCGCGGTGGCTCACGCCTGTAATCCCAGCACTTTGGGAGGCCGAAGCGGGCGGATCACGAGGTCAGGAGATTGAGACCATCCTGGCTAACATGGTGAAACCCCGTCTCTACTAAATATACAAAAAATTAGCCGGGCGTGTTGGCGGGCGCCTGTAGTCCCAGCTACTCTGGAGGCAGAGGCAGGAGAATGGCGGGAGCCCAGGAGGCGGAGCTTGCAGTGAGCCGAGAACCCGCCACTGCACTCCAGCCTCGGCGACAGAGCGAGACTCCATCTCAAAAAAAAAAAAAAAAAGAATATTGGTTCCTCAATCAGTCATACTCTGGTTGGAAAGAGGTACTGTTCATTAAAAAAAAAAATTACATTCTGGATTAGTAAATTTCATATAAAGTCTGAATTAATTTTTACTAATTATTTACTAATGTTGATCAGTTTTGTTTGTTGCAGAGCTGACAGACTTATTGCTTCTAAAAACTAATATTCCAGTGTTCAGCAGGGTCTAGAATTCTGTGGCAATTAATGGTCATTGTTTCTATGGAGATTTTATTACATTATTCTTTGGCTTCTATTGCTAAGTACTATGTAAGTCTAAATTTTTCGGTACTCTTTTCTGTATTGGTTTCAAGACTTGTTTGAGTTACACAACGTTACAACAAATGTTTAAATATCTTTTATTCTGTTCAAATTTTGTTGCCTTTCCTGAATTGGAAGATCCATAGCTTTCAACAGTTTTTGAAAATTCTCAGCCACTGTGTTTCTTTGTTCTTTCCTCTCCTTGAATTCCCATTGGATTTATTGGACATTCTCATGTATCCTTTATGTCTGTTAATTTTTCTTTCATATTTTCCCTTATGTATAATTTTTTGTGGTACATTGTCAGTTTTTTAATCGTCTGTCTTGTTTGATAATTCAACTTTATATAGTTATCAGGCCATTTAGCTTTTAATTGCTGGGTGTTTGTATGTCTGTGTACATATGTATGTACACATAATTTATAAAATTCAAGTTCTAATTTTTCTGTTTTTTTATGAGTGTTTTCTGTGTTTCTGATTTCTTTTATAACTCTCATGGCTGAAATTTTTGTTTTAATAGTCTTTCACATTCTGTTATCAGTTTTTTGGGATCTACTCCCTGTTTGTATGTGCTACTCTTGTTTATTTTGACTGGAAGTTCACCTCTGGCAGGAGTATATCTGCAAATACTATACTGTACGGACTAGATTGGACAGAGGTAGTTTTTTTCCAGAGAGATTTTTCCTTCCCAAGAGTTTTTCCTGAGTCCCAGGGCTTTTGTGGCCATTGAGCCATTTTTTTTTTCTTTTTTTTGAGACAGAGTCTCGTTCTGTTGCCCAGGGCGGAGTGCAGTGGCGCAATCTTGGCTCACTGCCAACCTCTGCCGCACAGAAGCACAGATTCAAAGCGATTCTCCTGCCTCAGCCTCCGGAGTAGCTGGGATTAACAGGCTCCCGCCACCACGCTCGGCTAATTTTTTGTAGTTTTAGTAGAGACGGGGTTTCGCCATGTTGGCCAGGTGGTTCTCGGAACTCCTGACCTCAGGTGATCCGTGAGCCATTTTTATGTCAATATTTGTGGTAGGAAGGGGGCAGTAGGGGGAATTGGCAGAAACTGTAGATGAGAATTTAAGGTTGTACAATCTTAATGGAGACTTCTGGCCTTTGGAAAAGCAAACAAGCTTTCTCTTGTGTCTTTTTCTCTTTTGTGTCAATACTACTTATTAAATCTATTTTTTTAACTTAGTGATTTGAAATGGCACTGTGATAATATACCAAACTTTTTGTGTGTATATGGGCTATTTTGCCTTTAATTGGGTGTTCTTGGACAAGAATTAAAAATTCTTATTTACATAAGCAAAACTTTTTCAGTAGTCATTTTTGATAGTATTTGATGTTCTAATTTACATTTCATGTTCAGTTTGTGAGATGTTTTAGGTATTATGTCTCTTCTGGGGATAAGCAAGAATATCCCCAGAAGAGACATAATACCTAAAACATCTGATCATTTTAGTACTTCCATTGTTGAGTGACCTAAGGTGATACACCTAAGAGTTATTTTATTAATATTTTATTAATTAACCCATTATGTTCAACTTTAATACCCTAGCTAAACTTTTCCAAAGGATGATAAATTTTTGTGAATGATAAATTTTGAAGTAAGTTTTTCTATTTGCTGCTAAATTTAATTTCATTAAGTTTAAGCATCAGTTATTAAGACTACCCTGTGGTAGTGGGATTGGACAGATTTGTTATGGTTAGGGTAGAGCTAGGACCACTGGGAGAAGTTATAGGATGATGTGATTTTGGATCAAAACTAAAAAGAACTTGTCTTTCCAAAGAATAAAAGGGGTTTATGGGAGGTATTCATCCCTGCTTTTCAAACATAGGCTGGCTGCCTGTTGAGCTGGGTCTAATCTCTGAGTGGCTAGTTGGATTAGATGGCCCTTTCTTACTCAGAAATCTTATGAAAGGAAAAGCAGGTCAAGATGGTAGATTTTAAGGGGAGGAAAGCTTCTGTACATGGTGTAGCTGTTTTACGGTATGAATTTCATGTTGTAGTGTTAATTTTTGAACAGTTTTGATGACATGTTCTTTTGTCTTCAAAAACTGATTTTATGTGATTTGAAAACTGATTTGAAAGACTATTTTAAAAAGTTATTACTTTTTTGGTATTAAAGCTTTCAGTTTGTCTAATTATAAATTAGATTTTTTTTTTTACCGAATAAACTTTTAACCAGATTATTTCCCATGGAAGTGTTTTTAAATGAGCAGTGCCTTTTCCTGAGAAAATGGGCTGGTTTGGGCATGATGAGTAAGCAAAAGTCTAAAAGATACTTTCAGCAGCTATGACCTCTGCAATTCCTTTTCAGTTTCTTGGGAAAGCTGTTCAAATGGATTGATCTATTCTCATATTAAAGGGAAAAAAGTTTGATTAAAAAATAGAAGTCTCATTTGTTGTGACATGATACCTAATGGAGAAATTAAATTTCATTACTCATTTCTGGCATTAGTTGTATTCATTTCACATTGGGTTAGCAGTACTTTAGAATGGATATTGCTGAAGTAAGTGGTGTGTTAATAAGATGTGAGTCATAGAAATAACTGTGTTGCAGTTTAAAAGGAGAAATTGTACCATAGCTTTGAAATTTTAGTGTGGTCTATAAAGTTAATCTTAGAAAAGATACTGTAAATGGGATTCCCATGTTGGGGAATTCCAATGTTTGGATTTCCTGGATTGTTTTGTCTTTTGCTTGCTTTGAATGTTTTTCCTCTTATTTTAAAAGATAATTGTATAATTGCGTTGTGCACTCCGGGGCCATTATACTTTTGGTGTAGTGACTGAGTAGGACAATAGGAATTTAGATGAGTTTTTGCGTTTTGATGGCCGTTTCAGGAAATGGTTAATGCTTTGTCTATTTTTCTCATTGAATTTTTTGTTTTTTCAAAATGATTTGTAGAGTCATTTATTTTTAAAAATTCTTACTGCAAATGGAATATACTTACAAACATTTAAACATATAGAACTATGTAAAATGAGCCTATTTTCTTGTGTTTTGAAGTGCTTTATATTTTTTCTTTTTTTCAGGTAGATTTTCGTTCCGTCACCCAGGCTGGAGTGCAGTGGTGTGACCTTGGCTTGCTGCAACCCTTTGCCTCCTGGGTTCAAGTGATTCTCATTGCCTCAGCCTCCTAAGTAGCTGGGATTACAGGTGCGTGCCACCGCACCCAGCTAAGTTTTGTATTTCGGTAGAGACAGGGTTTTATCATGTTGGCCAGGCTGGTCTTAAACTCCTGCCTCAAGTGATCCACCCGCTGTGGCCTCTGAAGGTGCTGGGAGTACAGGTGTGAGCCACCACGCCCGGCCCTCAAGTGCTTTATATTTTTTCTTATGTTTGAAACTTTATTTGGATGTTTTTAGTTGATTTGAATGATACAGCCTTCTACTGATTAGAAATAACTTAGAGCAAACTAAATTTTTGTATGTATTTAGATTTGTTTTAGATTTTGAGTTCAATTTTATTTTCTTTATCACACTGCAGTATGTTGCTGCCTTGCTATATTAGTTGAAACCATTTACTGTCTCATAGAATTATATGCATGTCTGTGTAAATAGAGAATAAGTGCTCTGGAACTTTAGGAGGAGAACTAGCTGTAGACATGGTACTTGAGCTGGAAGAGTAGAACCATATGGAGGCTCAAGTTAGGATTTTTGCTCTAGTTAGGTTTGTAGATACTATATACTTCCTTTCGCAGTGAGATTATAAATTCATTTAAAGTCGGCAAATTTATTTGTGAACACTGTCAAATACCCTGCATTCAAAAACTTCAGTGGAAGATTAAAGTGAGTGCAACTTACAAAGAATGAAAACTACAGCAATAATTAAAATGTGTTTTATAAGACCTTCAACACTGTCTTTTTTTTTTTTTTGAGAGAGGGTCTCCCTCTGTCGCCCATGTTAGAGTGCAGAGGTGAAATCATGGCTTACTATAGCCTTGAGCTTCTGTGCTCAAGCGATCTTTCTGCCTTATTCTTCCAAGCAGCTGGGACTACAGGTGCATGCCACCACGTCTAGCTAATTTTTTATTGTTTGTAGAGACAGGGTTCTGCTATGTTGCCCAGGATGGTCTTGAACTCTGGGCTCAAGCAGTCCTTTCTCCTTGGCCTCCCAGAGTGCTAGGATTACAGGCATGAGCCACCGTGCCTGGCCACCATCTTTTTTCCACTTATTCTCTGCTTATGACTTTGCTTCTCATTTCGTAAAGAGAATAGTAGCATTAGGAACAGAATTTTCACAAATGTCTATACCGTCTACCTCCTTTCCTGTCCTGGGTCTGTGCTTTTATATTCTTCCTTTATGTTTCTACAGATGAACTGGCTGTGCTACCATCTAAGGCCAGTCACTCTATCTACTTGTCCAAATTCTGTCTTTTCTTGCTATTTGAAAACATTGCCTCTCACTCCTGCATCATTGTTCTTTCCCTTTTTACTGGATCATTTTTTTTTTTGTCAGCATATTATCATGCTGTAATTTCTCCCATCTTTAAAAACCAAACTGTTAACCTCATATTCTCCTCCAAGTTCCATCTTATTTCTCTGCATCCTTTCATAGGAAAGCTGCTTCAAAGAGTTGTCCACACTTGCTAGAGTTCTTCTAACTTTTAAATTCATTTCAATCAGGTTTTGATCACCACTACTCTACTGCTTTGGTCAAAGTCACCAGTAACGTCTGTGTTGCTAAATTCAGAAGTCAATTACTAGTTTTCATTGTATTTTACTTACCAACCCCATTTGACAAAATTGGTCCGTCTCTCCTCCTTAATAGACTTTATTCATCTGGCGTCCGGGACAGCAAACTCCTAGTTTTCTTTATAGCTCTCCTCAGTCTCCCTTGAGAGTTCTTCATTTTCCTGTTGTTGAATTTCAGTGCTTCAGTCTTGAGACCTGGTCTCTATTTATACCCATTTGTTTGGGATTTTATCCAAGTTTATGGCTTTAAATATAGTCCATTTGCTGAATACTTCCAAATTTATATCTCCAGCCTTCACTTGTCATGTGACAACTCTTATTTAGCTGTCTCCTGGACATCTCCACTTACCTAAAACCTAACTCCTTATCTCCAGCCTTAACCATGTCCCTGCCACTTTTCCCCTATCTCAGTAAAGGGCAGCTCCTTTGTTTTTGGCCTAGTCTAAAAGCTTTGGAATTGCCTTTGGCTTTGTTTATTCTCTCGTACCCCACATCCAGTCCATCAACAAATCATCTTGGCTCTACCTTTATAAAGTATCAAAAATTTGACCATCTCACCTGCTACCATCATCTCTAAATTATTTCAGTTGTCACCTAACAGTTCTCCCTGATTTCACTTTCTCCCTACACCCTTCCCTAGTCAGACCCCTCCAGTAGTTTTCCCATATTACTGAGAGTGTTAGCCACAATCCTTTTCCTGTAAGAAACTACATGAATTGTTAACCACATCCCCTCTCCCTTTCAAATTCTCTTTGACCTCATCAGTTTATCCTTTTGTTCATTCTACCCGAACCACGTTGTCCTTACTGCTCTTGCTCATATATAGCAGGTATGTTACTGTCTCATGATCTTTGTGCTTGCTCTTCCCTCATTCACTGTATTTTGCTCTTCACTTAGATATGGATAGCACCATGGCTCTATCTTTAACTTACTTCAGGTCTTTATTGAGATGTCATTTTTTAAAAATGAGATAATCTCTGATCATTCTACTCTAAATTTTAACCATTAGGAGTTTGAGACCAGCCTGGGCAACATGGCAAAACCCTGTCTCTATATTAAATAATTAAAAAAAATTAAATAAAATTTAATGACTGTCCACATCTTCCTGTGCTCCCTATTTCTCTTCCCTCCTTATCACTATTCTTGCTACTTGTTACCCTTTCATATACTGCATACTAATTGTTGGTCTGTCTTACCACTTAGTAGAATGTTAGCTCTGTGAGTGCAGGGTTTGTGGCCCTTTTACTGCTGTTTACTCAGAATGTCCTAGAGCAGTCCTGACATATGGTCAGTGCTAAATAACAAATGAATAATAAAGACTATTGTGGAAGAGAGTTGAAATTACATATTCATAGGTTTGATTTAAGCTGGGTTTTGAAGGATAGGTGGAGATTTCATACAAAGGACATGGCAAAGATTTTTAGATTTGATTGCAGGGATAAGGTGAAGTGCTTTAAATGGAACTTTAGAAGGTGTTTCCTTTGGTTGCCTGATTTAGAATCCATAGTAGCCTCTTACTGCTGATTTTTCCCACTTGGTTGACTGCTGATCTTTTCTAGCTGGTCGTCCCATATTTTCTTCAAAATCTGATCTAGAACTCCCAGATAGGAACCTATTCCTATATTCTTAATCTTGTCAAGGGGTTTCCTCATTTATGGAACCTTCCAGGCATGACATGTTGGAATTGTCTTATTAGTGTCCTCACTCACTTTCAGATAGTTGCGTTTTCTTATTAGTTGTTCCACCCAAGTATTTCTGTGTTGAAATTGATTTATTGTCATTAGATCTACTTAAACTACTGAAAGTCATTTTAATTGGTCTCCTTGCAACTATTTTTAACCTATCCATTTGGTTTTATTTATTTAGTTAGTTATTTGAGACGGAGTATTGCTCTGTCGCCCAGGCTGGAGTGCAGTTGGAGATCTAATTCTTTAGCTCGTTTCTGCTGCCTCTTGTTCATGATGGCTTATCACGTGTTCTGTTATTTTGCGTTGTGGGCTTATATCTGGATAATAATTTTTAAAAACCTTAAGGAGCCTGGCTTGGGGAAGGAGTCCACCAAAGAGGTTATGCATTTGTTTCTGCCACGGGTACTCTGGGCACCACCAGCTGGGGGCCACTTAAATTTTTTGGCTGACATATCCAAGATCATGCAAGTAGTTTGGGCCCTAAAGCCATGTGAGAAGAAACTCATGGATAAAAATTTTTAAGTAAGACTCTGAGTGAAGGCCAAATTGGGACTAAAAGCCAAGACTCTTGCCTTCCATTTTACTGCCTCATTATATTGCTATTCACTAATCTTAAAATAATTTACTTTTGCTCAGGATATATCTGCAATATAACACGCATACTGTATTTGAAGGTTATCAACTACATGATGGCTAATATTTACTTTTAGCAGGAGGAGTTCATTGTATCTAAACCTTTTGCAGAATGGAAATCTAATTAAATGATACTTGGCTACCAATAGTAAACTTTTTATCACTGTAGAGTACTTACCATAAATCATTTTTCTTAAAAAAAGATTAACTTGTCTGTTTAAAAAAAAATAAGATAGTAATGTGGGTTTAAAGAAAGGTAAACATGGTATGAAGAGTGTGGCACGTTTGGAATGCCAAGTATTTAGATTCAGTGTGATCAGATTACAGATAGTTTTTTTTGTTGTTTTTTGTTTTTTTTAACCTATGAACATTATTTTTACAAATAACCTATAATAATAGCTTTCAGCTTAGGCCTCACAGCTACTTCTGTAATATTTTAACTGTATTCAAATAATGAAATAAAGCTCTTATAGGCTACTCTGGAAGCCTGTATATCTTAAAGGTGTATTCATTTAGTTGTCCAGACATTGATTTATACTGGAATTTTTATGAAATTATGCATTCCTGTGTTGAAAATTACCTTTCCCTCAACTTACTGTTTTTGTTTTTTTCAAATGTGTCTGCTTGCTTAGTATGTTTTGTGGTGGAAAAAGATTTTCACTGTGTTCAGATTTCAGTCTTGAATTTTGATTTGTTAAGTTTTTGCTAATGGTTTTTTTGAGCCACCCCAGCTGATAAAATTGTGTCAGTTGAAGGACAGAAATATTGATAAAATTAGTTTTTTTGTGTCATTTGTTTTCATTGTTTTTAATGTGAAGAAAAGGATAGCAGAAGCAAGAGCAACTGAAACACTATAGTAAAAAATATAATTCAAAATTGTTGTATTACTTGAAATTTAATAGTATACTTATCAAACTGCCTCAGTTTTTTCTCATAATGTTAACAATTCTTATGTTTATGTATTTAAGCTTTTAAAAGTTTAGTACTGTGCATTCAGTTTGGTTACTTAAATTATTGTTTCAATGTGCAATTTTAAAAGTTGAACAATTAACCAAACAGTAAAATGTTTGTAATAATCTCCCTTCAAAAAATGTAATGATTCTCATTTTTTAGGTATCATCTATGAGTGTATATAATACTCAACACAAAACTTTTAGTCTTTCTGCTGTGTAATGTATTTTGCTGCATTACAATCTTAATTATTTTAAATGGTTGTGTGATGTGTCTTCACATGTCCCACACTGAAACAGTTTCATTGTTTTATTATATAGACAGTGTGGTGTGTCTTGTATATACATAAATATATTATCCTTTTTGGTTAAGCAGCTCTATTGAAATTCTAATAATTGCCGCCAGATTTTTATATCACTTAAAATTTTAGGTTTCACTTCTTTGTTATATTAATATAAATTGGGTCATTGTGCCTTCTGAGAAGTTTGTAAAATTTAACTCAGTGATGTGTCTCAGGTTTTGTATGAACAAATGTAAGTTATAGGAGAGCGAGTAAATAGAATTTTAAAACTATTTGATTAGTATTTGTAATACGTACTCTGACGAAACACGACTTACATATTATGCGTGTTAACTTATTATAATTTTTTTTTAGTTCTTTTAAGATAGGGCAGGAATGAAAACTCTCAATATAGAGCAGGATTTTAAACCTGGGGCCCGTGCATATTCTTCAGGGAATCCAGAAACCTGGAGATTATATGTAAAACTTAGTGAGTGTGGATACTTTTTTTCTTTGAGAAAGCGGGTCAGTATCTTTATCAGTTTCTTGAAAGATTTATGTCCGAGTGAAAGATAAAAGACAATGGTGTGGAATGTGGTTTTAAAATAGTTTGGACTTGCTTTCCTATTGTTCCATGGATATTTCTCTCCTGGTTCTCTTGACAGAGAAATCCTATTTGCCACCACTGGCTGTTTATTGCATTCAGATTGGAATCTATTATGACTTATGTGTGATGAGGTTAAAGAGGTAACTAATATTAGAAAGGGTAAGCCAGGCTAGGTGGTACATGCCTGTAGTGTAGTTCCAGCCACTTGGGAGGCTGAAGTGGGAAGACCTCTGGAGTTTGATGCTGCAATGCGCTATCATAGGGATTGTGAATAGCCAATGTGGTCCAGCCTGAGCAGTGTATATATAGAGACCCCATTTCTTAAATGTGTAAAAATACTACACATTTTTTGTGAAAACTCGGGTTGTGAGTTAGCAAAAATCACCAGTGTTATTTCTTCCATGTGTGAAAGAACAACATGAGCGTCTACATGTCTCCATGTTTTTCAACTCAACAAACATGTATTGAATTGTATACTGTGGACTTAGAAAATTTTAATGACCTGGTTCTTATTACCCAGAGCTAAATTAACTTTGTCTCAACCTCTTTACTTTTATTTTTCAGTTTTGCCTCCCTGCTTTTAAAACTTTGTCTTTGTTCTTCCCTGAATTTTCCTGTTTCATTCTCAGTTCCTTTTTGTCTCCTCTTTTTTCCTCCTCATGTAATTCTGATGCTCATGGGTAAAATGTGAATTTGAGGTATATTTATTGGTATTGTAGTATTTATTCAATAAACACTCATGTTTTGCCTTTTTAAAATAATATTTTATGAATTTATCATAAACAAAGTTTAAAACTAGAGTATTAAGGCAAATGAGACTGTCCCCATGATTCTGGCACAACTCCTTAGTACTGAACTTGCATACATAAAATGTTTTGATCATATAATTACATATGATTTTGACTTTTTAGCAGCATTGAATTGAATTTAACAAAGTTTTAGTGTTCATGGTTTTAATACCTATACTTTGAGTTGATATTTGCTGATTGAAATCATTCTGATTTTGAATGTTTTATTTCTTAGTTTTTATGTAATATTGCTGTGAACTTTTTTTTTTTTTTTTTGAGACAGAGTCTCGCCCTGTTGCCCAGGCTGGAGTGCAGTGGCGCGATCTCAGCTTACTGTCACTGCAACCTCTGCCTCCTGGGTTCAAGTGATTCTTTTGCATCAGCCTCCTGAGTAGCTGGGATTACAGGCGCGTACCACCACGCCCGGCTGATTTTTGAATTTTTAGTAGAGACGGGGTTTCACCATGTTGATCAGACTGCTCTCGAATTCCTGACCTCAAGTGATCCGCCTGCCTCGGCCTCCCAAAGTGCTGGGATTACAGGCATGAGCCACCATGCCCAGCCTGTGAACATCTTTCTATATGTTTTTTTCTTGCAAATAAATTCCTAGGGATAAAGAATTGGGATTGTTGGGTTAAAGGAATGCAAACATTTTCTTCTTTTTTATTCTTCTAAAAAAAAAAAAACAGGATACATGTGGAGAACGTGCAGGTTTATTACATAGGTATATGTGTGTCATGGTGGTTTGCTGCACCTACTGACCCATCCTGTACGTTCCCTCCTCTCAGCCCCCACCCGCAACAGGCCCTGGTGTGTGTTGTTCCCCTCTCTGTGTCCATATGTTCTCAGTGTTCCACTCCGACTTATGAGTGAGAACATGTGGTGTTTGGTGTTCTGTTCCTGTGGTAGTTTGCTGAGGATGATGGCTTCCACCTTCATCCATGTCCCTGCCGAGGACATGATCTCATTCCTTTTTATGGCTGCAGCAAACATTTTCTTGATTCTTCATCTCTTGGTGTCTAGTTAGGTTCCTCTAAATGCATAGTGAGACTCAGGTGAGCTCAAGTGAAGGTGAATTGAATTGTGTGAAGAGAGACTCCCGTGAAAATCCAGAGACAGAAAGCTTGATTCCTTCACGCCTATATATGGGACCTGGGAAAGGAAACTAGAAAATCATTAAAACATTTGAAGAATCAGTGTTTCAGAATTCTTGTGGTCTCATACCCTCTCTTCTTGAACATTTGCTACTTTTTCTTTCTATACAGGTGAATTTGCTGTGCTTGATCATAATTTCTGCTTTCCTAAAACCTAGGTTTGTACAGGGCTGCAGCTTATTCATTAGGCCTTTTTGACTTTTACCCCTTTTTTCAGCTTCTATTACTGCTGCTAAGTGCCTTAGCGTCTCTTCTTCACCAAAGCAAAAACTCGAAGCATTCCAACTCATTGTTTTGTGTTTTTTCTCCCTCGACTGCCCAGCTTTTGTTGAATAGGCTGTGTATTCTATGGATGCTATGTTTAAAAAAAAATTCTGGGCTCTTTTAAAGCATTCCTGGTTGACGAATCACACTTAATGGAGGCACAGTGAAATGTGTCTAATTTTAAAACCTGGATAGTTCATGTTAATTTGAATTATCAGGGAAACAATTCTGTATGGAGTTTCTTTTAGTATTTTGTTAGCACATGATTCCTTTTCCCCCTTAACTTGTTAAAACCTTGTCTTAGTAAATCTAGGGTATAACTAATACTATTAAAAAATTGCTTATGGAAGTATGAAATGTTACTTCAGTCATATAGATTAATAGCATGCCTGTTGAACAAACGACAGTCATTCCTTGGTATATGCAGGAGATTGGCTTCAGGACCCCTGTGTATACCTAAATCTAAGCATGCTGGAAGTCCTGGAGTACTGTGGAACCTGAGTATACAAAGTTGACCCTCCATATACTTGGGTTTCACGTCCAGCAAATACGTATTTTCAGTAACAATTGGTTAAAAAAAAAATTCATGTGTAAGTGTACCTGTGCAGTTCAAACCCGTGTTGTTACAGTTCTGGCAAAGTCTTATATTCAATAAACTCACATTTATCCAATTTAAAATCAGGTATTTTCTTAGGTGTAAAATAATTCTTAGAATAAGTTACCCGTTTAGGTAGAATTTGGTTTCTTTATCTAATCATGACATATCAAGACTCTCCAAATTGATAATTTAAAAACTTAAAAAATTCTCAGATTTATTTTTACATTAAAAGTGTAGCAATTAACTTTAATTTGCTTTATCCTAAACATGTCCTGATGTTTAATTATATCTGTATTATATACCTTGTCTTTTTCTACAACACATTTGAGATGAATAAGAATACAAGTCACTTTTATGTGGCTTATGCATGTTTGTAAGGAGCATCAATATCTAGAATCTCAACATCAGAATCATTTATACTTTGAGATTTAATTTTAGCAGAAACTACCCTTCACGTAAGTGATATGTATATTCAAGGCAGATGTTGGTAGTCAAATTACATCGCCACCCGCCCCCTTCCCGCCCCGGGCGTACTTACTGAGTCCATCTAAAAGTAGGGCTGATGTTCTGTTGATGAGGCAAAGCCTTTTATTTAGCAATTTCGGTAGGATGTTGATGGCAGCCTCGCTTTTGCTGTATAACTTGTTTTGTGCAGTATGGGGTGCCTTTAAAAAACTGAGATAAGTTCCTAACTTGTAATTTATTTCACTATTTTATTTTTTTGAGACAGAGACTTGCTCTGTTGCCCAGGCTTGGAGTGCAGTGGCAGAGTCACAGGTCACTGAAGCCTCGACTTCAAAGGCTCAGGTGATCCTCTCACCTCAGCCTGCAAGTAGCTGGGACTACAGGCTCACTTAACTACGCCCAGCTAATTTTCTTGTCTTTTTTTTTTTTTTTTTTTGTAAAGGCAGGGTTTCGCCATGTTGCCCAGGGTAGACTGGAACTCCTAGGCTCAAGTGATCCGTCTGCCTCAGCCTCCTAAAGTGGTGGGATTCAGGCATGAGCCACTGCGCTTGGTCTGTAATTTATTTTAATGCAAAATGCCACATCCTAACATTTCAATTTTAATTTTATTAGATTTTTATATCCTTGATAGATCCCACTGCATCATGAGGCTGATAGTCACTGGTGTAAAGATGCAAGCAGTTGGTGACTGGTCTTAATCTGTAAATAAACCACCTCTTTTTGCGTGTGTGTGCATTTCAGAATATGACACTTTTAATGAATGTCCATTGAGTTGGTAATAGTACCTCCTTATTTTCACGTGTAGTAGTTATCAACACTGTACAATAAACAAAAAAGTTAACTACTAATAAAGTACCAAAAGTGGATATTTCGGGAAAAGAAAGTAATGAATATTTAAATTTTTTCTCTTCAATTAGGATATTTTCACATGATTTAGAAATGGAAGGATGTTTTCTACTCCTTCTAGTTACCACTTGTCTTATTTTTCATAGTATATATGAATTGTAGTTGGCAAATAAATCAAGAATGTGATTTAAAGAACTAACCTGTTTAGATTTGTAGGTCAGGTTAGATTTGAAATGCCACTTGAAAGAGCAGCAGTTTTGACTTTAATTTTTATGAGACTGACAGGTTCTTTTTTTTTTTTTGTCCCCACCTTCTTCCCTATTTAGGTTTTATAGGATCACATTGACAAAAGTACCATGGAGTTTTATGAGTCAGCATATTTTATTGTTCTTATTCCTTCAATAGTTATTACAGTAATTTTCCTCTTCTTCTGGCTTTTCATGAAAGAAACATTATATGATGAAGTTCTTGCAAAACAGAAAAGAGAACAAAAGCTTATTCCTACCAAAACAGATAAAAAGAAAGCAGAAAAGAAAAAGAATAAAAAGAAAGAAATCCAGAATGGAAACCTCCATGAATCCGACTCTGAGAGTGTACCTCGAGACTTTAAATTATCAGATGCTTTGGCAGTAGAAGATGATCAAGTTGCACCTGTTCCATTGAATGTCGTTGAAACTTCAAGTAGTGTTAGGGAAAGAAAAAAGAAGGAAAAGAAACAAAAGCCTGTGCTTGAAGAGCAGGTCATCAAAGAAAGTGACGCATCAAAGATTCCTGGCAAAAAAGTAGAACCTGTCCCAGTTACTAAACAGCCCACCCCTCCCTCTGAAGCAGCTGCCTCGAAGAAGAAACCAGGGCAGAAGAAGTCTAAAAATGGAAGCGGTATTGTAATCTATTTAATCTATTTAATTTTATTGTATGATTTGGAGCTTGGAATTGAGATATTCTGTTAGGTACATACACAGAATGTTTAATATTGAATTTGAAACCATGATTATTCATTTCATTATGTGTTTGCTTCATTAACATTAATTGCTGGTAGAAATTAGTATTGATCATAAAATAGCACTTTAAACTTCAGGGCCTGATGCAGTGGCTCATGCCTGTAATCCTAGCACATTGGGAGGCTGAAGTGGGAGGACCCCTTGAGCCCAGGTGTTTGAGACCAGCCTGGGCAACAAAGTGAGACCTCATCTCTACAAGAAATTAAAAGAAAAAAAAAAAACCCCATACATCTTATAAATATCCAACTTTGGCTATTTTACTTAAAACCACTTAGGACCTGTAAATATCAGCAGTTACGAACTTTCTAAATGATATGGTAAGAATTAAAGGTGAAAAGCTAAAATCAGATATCATTTCTCACCCTTGATTGCTTCATTTTGCTAACATTTATCATATATCTGTTTTATGCTAGGCATTATGCTAGGTATTAGGGCTACAGAGATGAATAGTGCGTTTTCGAGGTAGTCGTGTGCTAGCTGTAGACACAGATAGGTCATTATGAAAGATTTAGTGTAATGGTCTAGATATGTCTAAACCAGTGTAGGAATTCTAAGGTAGACCACTTAAAGCAAGTAATGCCAGAAATTTTTAAAGTTTGGTTAAGTACTAGTTAGGTTTTTTGGGTGGATGGGGAGGGGAGGGAGATTCCAGGGAAAGGGGGTTGATAGGTACAATGGAAAAGCCTTGAAAATTGGCGTGGCGATGTGTGAAACTGTAAACAGTTTGTTTTATTTGAAAGGACTTGTATGTACCATTAAGTCATTTGTGTGTCTTAACTTGTAGGAGGTTATATTTGATTTTTTTTTTTTTTTTTTTGAGATGGGAGTCTCACACTCTCACCCAGGCTGGAGTGCAGTGGTGCGATCTTGGCTCAGTGTGTCCTCTGCTGCCCAAGTTCAAGTGATTCTCCTGCCTCAGCCTCCCGAGTAGCTGGAATTATAGGCGTGTATTTTTAGTAGAGATGGGGTTTCACAATATTGGCCAGAGTGGTCTCGAACTCCTGACCTCAAATGATCCGCCTGCCTTGGCCTCACAAAGTGCTGAAATTACAGGCGTGAGCCACCACGCTTGACCCGGTTGTATTGGATTTTAAATATTTGCATGTCAGCTAGGATCAAGGCATAGTAAGAACTACATGTTTTAGTTGGGGAAAAGGACACGTAAGCCAGTAAAAAAAATGTGGTTTATGTAGGAGATAGAGAAAGTATAGAGGAAATATAGAAGCTAAAGCAACTACTGCTTATGCTGGGCTGAAAGGCTTTACAGGGGAGGCAGTTCCTGAGCATTGAATCGCTTCATCAAGCAGATAGTGGGGTCTCATTACTCATTGGCAGAATATCATGTAAAGGCACAGAGCTGCAAGAGTACAGTGTATTATTGAGCCATACAACGTGAGGTATAGAGAGTGGTAGGGAACAGAGCTGAAAAGATAGCAGTGGCTAGATCATGGTGGTTTTTGGATACTGTGCCAGGGAGCTAGGACTTCTTAGGTTAGCCATTGTTGAAGATTTTCAAGCAGTTTAGTTACATGGTCATATTTCTGTTTTAGAAAGATTTTTTTGGCAGAGCTAGCAAGAACAGATTTCATGGGGCAGTATTTGATGCCGGCAGACTAGTTAAGAGGTTATTTTAGTTTTCTAAAATTAAGATGTAGGCCTGAACTATGGTAGTGACAGAAGAAACAAAGTTGAGAAGTATGCAAAGTAAGAATGACACGAATAACCTCACTATATAGAGGTGTGGCAGATAAAGGAGAAGATAGGATTAAAGCTGATCTCCCAAGTTCTGAGTTAGGTTGGGGTTGGCAAACTGCAACCTGTGAGCCGCATGTAGCCCACTTCCTTTTTTTATGCCCATGAACCAAGAACACTTTTTGCATTTTAAATGGTTGGGAAATAGAATAATATTTTGAGAAATGTAAAAATGTAAAAAAAAGTCAAAATCTCAGTACTCATAAAGTGTTTTTATATGCAGCTACATTCATTCACTCATTCATAATATGTTTATGACTGGCTTTCATGCTGCAGTGGCAGACTTGAATAGTTGTACCAGAGACCATATGTCCTATAAGGTCTAAAGTTTTTACTACGTGGCCCTTTGCAGAAAAAGTTTGCCAACTTGTGCTTGGCAGATGGTTGGTAGCACTAAAATAGGTAATACTGGAGAGAGACTAGATGTGAATTGAGAAGAGAACACTTCCAGTTTGTGTTTCCAATGCCTGTGGGGCCATCTACGTAGAGCAACTCAGGATGCAGTAGGGTATGTAAATGTAGAAAAGTAGATTCAGAAGCCTTAAGCGTGAAGGTAGTAGAAGGCATGGGAGTAGATAGCTCATCCAAGGGAAGTATTTTAATTGAAGCCCCAACCCTGAGAACAAGCAGTATTCAGTAGAAGCAGTTCCCAAAGGATACCGCAAAGGAATATTTCAAGTGTAAGAAGAGAATTATCATGGGAACTGATAGGAGATAATTTATTTTATTTATTTTTATTGTGGCAAATTACAGCATGAAATTTACTATTTTAACAACTTTTAAGTGTGTAGTTTTGTGGTGGTAAGTACATTCACATTCTTATATAATCATCACCACTAGCCAAGTCCAGAACTCTTTCATCTTTTCCAAATGAAACTCTGTACGCATTATACACTAATTCCCCATTCTGCCTGCCTCCCCCTTTTCCCCCGTCCCTCCCCCTTCCCCCATATCTTGACAATTACCCTTCTACTTTCTGTCTTTATGAATTTGACTACTCTGGGAATGTCATATAAGTGAAATTATACGATATTTATCTTTTTGTCACTGCCATATTTTACTTAGCATAATGGAGAGGAGATAATTTTAAGAAAGGGGTAGAGACCAAAAGTATAAAATGCCAAAGAGTAGTCAAATAAGGAGTAATGAGTATTTGTAGAATATGGCATTTGGGACACTGGGGGATCTGAGTTAATCCTTTCGTGGAATGAAAGAGATAAAAATCAGGTTGCAATTAGCTGAGGAATGATTGGTAGAAAAGGAACTAAGAGTATTTTGTCAATATGTAAGGAAATGGATGTGGGATGCTGGGAATTATGGTGATGGGGAAGGGTTTTCTCTTCCTTCCCTTCCCTTCCTTCTTTTCCTTCCTTTCCTTCCCTTCCCTTCCTTCTTTTCCTTCCTTTCCTTCCCTTTCTTTCTTCCTTTTCTTCTTTCTTTCTCTCTTTCTCTCTCTCTTTTCTTTCTTCTTTCTTTCCTTTTTCTTTCGACAGGGTCTTGCTCTGTTGCTGAGGCTCGAGTGAATGGTGTGATCTTGGCTCACTGCACCTTCGACCTCCGGGGCTCAAGCTATCCTCCCACCTCAGCCCCAGAGTAGCTGGAACTACAGGTGTGCGCCACCACACCTGGCTAATTTTTTTTATTTTTTTCGTAGAGATGGAGTTTTGTAGAGATGAGGTTTCACCACTTTGCCCAGGTTGGTCTGGAACTCCTGGGTTCAAGTGATACTCCTGGGTTCAAGTGATCCACCTGCCTCAGCCTCCCAAAGTGCTGGGATTACAGGTGTGAGCAGCTGCACCTTGCTGTTTATTTTTTAAGATGATAGAGACTTGATCATGCCTATAGGCTCAGTAGGGTTGAAAATAGCTGAGGAATGGGAAAGGAGGAGTAAGTACATTGAAGAGCTGGTGTAGTGGAGTAAGAAAGCTAGAAAAAGTTATTGGTGAGAGCGTTATATGTCAGACTTTAAATTTTTAGTGGTAAAACATTCTGGGAATTACTCAGTGATTGCATCTTTTCCGTTATGTTCATTGTTTGCCACAATTATTTTTTTTGTTTGTGTTTAATAAAGATGACCAGGATAAAAAGGTGGAAACTCTCATGGTACCATCAAAAAGGCAAGAAGCATTGCCCCTCCACCAAGAGACTAAACAAGAAAGTGGATCAGGGAAGAAGAAAGCTTCATCAAAGAAACAAAAGACAGAAAATGGTGAGATGTTTAGATATGTATTTTTATAATGCTAATTCTAGAGAAGTACACCAGCACAAGGACCCTGGAATCTCACACGCTCTTTAGCTCCCAGTTTAATGTGTGCTAATGACAACTGTAATACTAATGCAGGTCTAAAATTATCTTTAGCCTTATGACTTTATAGCGCTTTGACAGATGGGCAGGGTGTACATTTGAGATGAAAAAGTTTATATACCATTTACAAAGGGCAAAGCATTTATAAATATTCTTAACTCAGTTTTGAAAAAATAAATAGCATACAGACCATAGAAGAAAAACATTCTTGAAATTTTGTGCTTTTTAATATCACTTAAAGGTAATGCTTAAGGACATTAGCTAGATCTGGCATTAGCTTACATTTCCAATTAATTCCTAAACAGAACTCACATGTGTATATGGCAAGCATCAGATTATAAGAGATGGAGCAATCTTATTTGTTCACAGTTTTCCAGGGAAAGCTTGGCTGTGAAATTTGTGAAGACTAAACAACTTAAAATTATGACATATCAATTAGGTATGAGAGAAATATTACCTGAATATATTTGTTAAAATTAAATGTTAAACAATTTTAAATAAAAGAAGAGACATATATAAGTAAAGAAGCTCTTTTTGAAAGGTAGGAATGAAAAGAAAAGAGATTTTCATCTGGGTGTGGAAGTTTGTATCTCTAACCAGCAGACATTAGGCTTGATGTTCAAACTCTTCAAATTCTTCCCATTAAAATTAGGAACAAAATAAAGAGGCTTCCTTCTTCCACTTTTAATGTATTTTGGAAGTTTTAGCAAGTGTAGATGTGCCATGGAAATTAGAGGCATAACTCTTCAGAAATGAGAAGCTATCTGCAAGGAGCACTGTGGTTTTTGCACTTAGCAAGTACAAAGAACTTGTTTAAAAATTATCAACTACAGTAAGTTGGTAAAGTACCAACATAAATAAAAACTAATAGTTTTCCTTGAGCACTAATTAAGTGGAAATAATTCTTATATTAAAACAAAAATTAAAGGAGACTTAAGGATGCATAAAAAGTTTTTAGATACCATTAGAGGAGATATGCTATACACTTTTAGATGATTTAAATGATTTACTATAAAATAAGACTGTTGAGCTGGTACGGCTTCATTAGAATGAGTGTTTTGACTTGTTAAATGACGAAATAGGAATTTAAAACCAATTTGAGCTACCAGTAAATGTTTCAAAAGAACTGCATTTATCATTAAATTATGCTTGCATGTCATTTACTCTGTTTTGTAAAAATTCTAATTATGATTTTGTTGAACTTAAATTGCAGTCTTCGTAGATGAACCCCTTATTCATGCAACTACTTATATTCCTTTGATGGATAATGCTGACTCAAGTCCTGTGGTAGATAAGAGAGAGGTTATTGATTTGCTTAAACCTGACCAAGTAGAAGGGATCCAGAAATCTGGGACTAAAAAACTGAAGACCGAAACTGACAAAGGTAATATATGGGATTTATAGTCTTTGTTGTACTATAAAAACACATTTCTGAGTTCTGATGGAGTCATAGATTTCATTTTCTCATAGAAACAATGCATTTCAAAAGAATCAAATCCTTGTGGTAGAAGACTTATTGGTAGTCTTTTAGTCCAGCCTCCTCAGTTTTGTAGATCTGGAACTTGAATTTGACTTTTTAAAGGTCCTACAGCTATTTTGCTATCTGATGATTATTTCCCAGCTACTACTGTCTCCTGTGAGGTTTCTTGGCTAATTCATAACTGTTGTTTTTTTTTAATAGACTGTTTTTTTTAGAGTAGTTTTAGGTTCACAGCAAAATTCATTGGAAAGTTCAGAGTTCCCACATATCCCCTGTTTCCACATAAGTACACAACTACCTTTTAAAACTTATAATTTAGCTGAAGTATTAAAAGCCCGAGGCTCCTTTGAGTCTGATGGGTGGCAGCTCTTTTTAAGAAGAGGTTGTTAATGCCTAATACGAGAACCTTGGGAAAATAAGGGTGGGTGGGTCAGGAGGTGCTTGATGCATGGATTTTTAAAATGTCAGGATGGTTTGCATATATTTGATCTTCATAGAATCAGATTTCCTTTTTACAATTATCTTAGAACTTATTTTCTCATGTGTGGAATTTGGCTTAATATCTCTCAGGATTATTTTGTTTTTCACAGTTGGTTGTCAGTGTGCAAGGATTATTAAAGTTCATTGAGATTATTGTGAATATAATAGTGCAGATATTAGCACATACTAGACACCTAAGTGATTTTTTTTTAAAGTGAGGGTATATTGGCATTTTAGTATTTTGCAGTTTGAGCAAACTTTTAGCTAATGTAATTATTCCGTATTATAGATGATAAACCCTTTTTTTCCTCTTGACTGGAGTATTTGTTTTATTTAACCTGAAGTATATATCTGTTTTCTTTCGGTTATTGACTTTCTGGGCCGTGAATTCTTCATGCTTACCTTTGCTGAAGTTATTATTTGTGTTTTTTAAATGCCAACTCTTTGTTTGTTTGTTTTTTTCAAATTAAGAAAATGCTGAAGTGAAGTTTAAAGATTTTCTTCTGTCCTTGAAGACTATGATGTTTTCTGAAGATGAGGCTCTTTGTGTTGTAGACTTGCTAAAGGAGAAGTCTGGTGTAATACAAGATGCTTTAAAGAAGGTAAGCGTGTTTTTTGATTATGGGCATATTCATGACCAGTCATTAGAAGTTCACCAAACAAGACTTTAGCCAGAGCAATTAATATCTACTCCCATCCTTAACATCTCAGAACATACATCTGGAATGCCTTCAGAAATTACTTTATATATCGTATTAGTCTGTTTTCATGCCGCTGATAAAGAGATACCCGAGACTGGGTAATTTATAAAGAAAAAGAGTTTAAATGGCTCACAGTTCTACGTGGCTGGGGAGGCCTCACAATCATAGTGGAAGGTGAAAGGCACGTCTTATATGGTGGCAGGGAAGAGGGAATGAGAATCAAGCGAAAGGGGTTTCCTCTTATAAAACCATCAGACCTTGTAAGGCTTATTTACTACCACAAGAATAATATGGGGGAAATTGCCCCCATGATTCAATTATGTCCCACCAGGTCCCTCCCACAACACATGGGAATTATGGGAGCTACAATTCAGGATGAGATTTGGGTGGGGACACAGCCAAACCATAACATTCCACTCCAGACCCTCCCAAATCTCATGTCCTCACATTTCAAAACCAATCATGCCCTCCTACTGGTCCCCCAAAGTCTTAACTAATTTCATCATTAATTCAAAAGTCCACAGTCCAAAGTCTCATCCGAGACAAGGCAAGTCCCTTCCGCCTATGAGCCTGTAAAATCAGAAGCAACTTAGTTACCTCCTAGATACAGTGGTAGGCATTGGGTAAATACAGCCACTCCAAATGGGAGAAATTGGCCAAAATAAAAGGGCTACAGGCCCCATACAAATCTGAAATCCAGTGGGGCAGTCAAATCTTAAAGCTCCAATATGATCTCCTTTGACTCCATGTCTCACATCCACGTCATGCTGTTTCAAGAGGTGGATTCCCATGGTCTTGGGCAGCTCCGCCCCTGTGGCTTTACAGGGTACAGCCTCCTTTCTGGCTGCTTTCATGGGCTGGCGTTGAGGGTCTGTGGCTTTTCCAGGCTCACAGTACAAGCTGTCAGTGGCTCTACCATTCTGGGATCTGGAGGATGGTGGCCCTCTTCTCACAGCTCCACTGGGCAGTGCTTCAGTGGGGACTTAGTGTGTAGGTTTCAACCTCACATTTCCCTTCCTCACTACCCTAGCAGAGGTTCTCCATGAGGGCCCCACCCCTGTGGCAAACTTCTGCCTGGACATCCAGGTGTTTCCATACATCCTCTGAAATCTAGGCAGAGGTTTCCCAAAACTCAAATCTTGACTTCTGTGCACCCACAGGTTCAACACTACGTTGAAGCTGCTAAGGCTTGGGGCTTGTACCCTCTGAAGCCATGGCCCATGCTGTACCTTGGTTTCTTTTATCCATGCCTAGAGTGGCTGGGTTGCAGGACACCAAGTCCCTAGGCTACATACAGCAGGGGGGCCCTGGGCCCTGCTCAGGAAACCATTTTTTCTTCCTAGGTCTCCAGCCCATGATAGGAGGGCCCTTCTGCAAAGGTCTTTGACATGCTCTGGAGACATTTTCTCCATTGTTTTGGTGATTTACATTTGGTTCCTCATTACTTATGCAAATTTCTGCAGCTGGCTTGAATTTCTCCTCAGAAAGTGGGATTTTCTTTTCTATGGCATCATCAGGCTGCAAATTTTCCAAACTTTATTCTCTGTTTCCCTCTTAAAACTGAATGCTGTTAATAGCACCCAGGTCACCTCTTGAATGCTTTGCTGCTTAGAAATTTCTTCCGCCAGAGACCCTAAATCATCTCCCTCAAGTCTCCCTCAGATCTCTAGGACAGGTGCATAATGCCACCAGTCTCTTTGCTAAAACATAGCAAGAGTCGCCTTTACTCCATTTCCCAACATGTTCCTCATCTCCATCTGAGATGACCTCATCCTGGATTTCATTGCTGGTATCATCATCAGCATTTTGGTCAAAGCTATTCAGCAAGTCTCTAGGAAGTTCTAAACTTTCCCACATCTTCCTGTCTTCTTCTGAGCCCTCCAAACTGTTCCAGCTCTGCCTGTTACCCAGTTGTAAAGTCACATCCACATTTTCGGGTATCTTTACAGCAGTTCCTCACTCCTGGTACCAATTTAGTGTATTAGTCTATTTTCACGTTGCTGATAAAGACATACCTGAGACTGGTAATTTATAAAGAAAAAGGGGTTTAATGGACTCACAGTTTCATGTGGCTGGCCTCACAATCATGGTAGAAGGTGAAAGGCATGTCTTACATGGCAGCAGGGAAGAGGGAATGAGAACCAAATGAAAGGGATTTTCCCTTTTAAAACCCTCAGATCTTGTGAGACTTATTCACGACCAGGAAAACAGTATGGGGGAAACTGCCTTCATGATTCAATTATCTCCCACCGAGCCTCTCCCACGGCACGTGGGAATTATAGGAGCTACAATTCAAGATGAGATTTGGGTGGGTACACAGCCAAACCATATCATATATTCACACTAATCAATTCACTTATTTAAAATGTCATCTGTTGTCATCTGATCCTTTGACAGAGCCAATTGCTTAAAATAAGTAAGATGATTTATATTACTTTTTTTTTTTTTTTTTTTTGAGACAGAGTCTTGCTCTGTTGCCCAGGCTGGAGTGCAGTGGCGTGATCTCGGCTCACTGCAACCTCTGCCTCCTGGGTTGAAGTGATTCTGCTGCCTCAGCTTCCAGAGTAGCTGGGATTACAGGCATGCACCACCATGCCTGGCTAATTTTTGTATTTTTAGTAGAGATGGGGTTTCACCGTGTTAGCCAGGATGGTCTCGATCTCCTGACCTCATGATCCGCCTGCCTCGGCCTCCCAAAGTGCTGGGATTACAGGTGTGAGCCACCGTGCCCGGCCAGATTTATATTACTTTTAAAGTCATTTGGCCCTTGGCTAAACTGTACCGTGCTTTGCTCTGACTAGAAGTGCTAAAGTCAAAGTCAGGTGATTTCTGGATAGCATGTATGAACGGTTTTTGTGACTGAAGATCACACCGTTCAAAGAACCTCAGGACTATTGTTGTGGGGGGGATGTGTGTGTTGTGTTTGTAATAGTACTCTTCTAAAAGAAATGATTTGAATGGCATAATCACTGCTATGGCTGATGTTTTAAAAAAATTGTAAAATAAAAACCCCATGCAGCCAACATCTATATTCTTATGGGTCATATTCACTATAATATCATATGTACTATGTCATACTGGGAAAGGTGACAAATTTTCAAGGGTTACCTATGTAAAATAAAGTGATATGTTGTCTGCTATTCAATATTAGATGGTGCATTTAACTGTCTTTATTCTAAAAACACACACATGCACACCTTTCCCCATAACCTCTTGCCTACTTTCAAACCTTCAGTGGTTTAATTTTTTCTTATACTAGTCTAGACCATGACCTTTCACCTGATTACCTACAGTAGTCTCCAGATTGATGTTTCTGCTTTTCCTCTTAGTCCTCTAATTTTGTTTTTTTCCCACATAACTGTAAAGTGACCTTTAAGAGATAAATTGTTATATTACTGCTTTAAAAACCCTTTGGTGTTTTTCTCTTTTGTAGTTAAAACATAAATCCAGATTCCTTAACAGGTCTATGTCCTGCCTCTCTCTGCAGCCTCATCTAATGACATTTTTTCTTATTCCCTCACCAAATTTCACCCATATGGAGTCTTCTCTGGTTCTTCTGTCATACCAGACTTGTTTCTTCTGTCTGTCCTATCTCCCCTTTCCTCCCAAACCCTCCCTTCCAATTTCTTTCTATGCCCACTTCCTCCTTCAAGTCTCCACTTAAATGTCATTTTCTCATATAAGGCTAACCTGAATTCACAGTCTAAATTGTTTGCCCTGCTATTCTTTCTTACAACCGTCTGGATGTTTTTGCCACAGCATTTATCATAGCACTATAAGTCTGTCATACTTCTGTTGACAGTGCATTTTATAAATCTGTGGCAATTTTACAATGTAGTATGCTTGTTAGTTTCCGTGTGATGCCAGCAATGGCCCAGAGTAAAAAGGTAATCAGTAAATATGATAAATGTGACTTTAAATACAAAGACAGATGCTTTATTGCAAGGAACTTTCTTGATTATTTTTATTTTTGTTTTTATTTTTTTGAGATGGGGTCTGGCCCTGTCACCCAGGCTGGAGTGCTGTGGCGCAATCTCTGCTCACCGTAGCCTTCAACTCTCGGGCTCAAGCGATCCCTCCATCTCACCCTCCTGAGGAACTGGGACCACAGGCAATGCCTGGCTAGTTTTTGTATTTTTTGTAGAGATGGGGTTTCACTGTGTTGCCTATGCTGGTTTCAAGGTCCTGAGCTCAATCAGTCGTCCTGCCTTGGCCTCCCAAAGTGCTAGGATTACAGGTGTGAGCCACGGCTCCTAGCCTTGATATTGATTAAAGAATTTGTCCTTCGGTTTATTTTATTGTAATTGGGTGAGTAAATACTTAAAAAAGTTGTTAGTTATATGTGGGGATTGGGAAAAGCTCCTAGCAGGGAAGAACCTTGCTGAAGTTACTATGTTACTATATTGCTGTTTAGAGTTAATGCTTTTTAAGATTAAAAGTAATTGCTTTAAGTGTCTCTCTTCTAATGAAAGATGTTGCTGGTAGCTTATGGGGGCAAGAGTAATCATTTTATTGTCTGAGACAGCTTTCAACTCTAGAGTCTGGGTGGTAAATCAGACTACCCTTTATCTATTTTAGGCAGGCCTTGGAAGAAGTTGGAAACTATTAAAGATAGCATGGAGCAAGTGTTTTGAAACTGTTCACATTTTTCCCCTTTTCCTTGGAGCCATTTGGTTTTAGATTAAAATCTTATTGTTCTTGGTTTCTCATGGGGCGGTTCTGTTCTCTACTGAAGGAACTCTGCCTTTGTAGGTCTCCTGAATCTGAGTAAGACTAGGTAAGTTGAATTTCTCCTTTTTCCTGCCAGAACTGAGTTGGTCAGAGCTTTTCACAGACTGTTCGAAGTCGCAGAGGTAATTGAATCCTTGTGCTGAATAAAGACGACTTTAGAGCAAGGGGGAAGATAAATACAGGGCACTGGCATAGGATAGGATTTTTTGAGCAGTTGTATGTAGTGGCTAAAGAAGAGTCCATGGTGACTGCTTGTTTTCTTTCTTGAGTAACTGGATAGATTGTGGTGACAGTGGTTTTTGTGAACACTTTGTAGAGAGTAGAGGATTGAGAAATTTCAGAAAGCTGTTTTAGGCATCCCTTGTGCCATTTAAGTGGATATAGTCATTTTACAATTAACATATTTCTCTGGAGTAGAAGAAAGGCTACAATGGGAGTGATTGAGGAAGATAATCCACTATCAACAGTACATATGGTAGATGTATATTAGATCAGGGAGGATGTGAGAGGTGATAGAAGGCTCAAGAATGAACCCCAGGAAACACCAACAATGAAAGGGCAAGGAAAATCACCATGAAAGATACTGAAGAGGAGCGAAGTGGTGGGAGGAACACCAGGAGGTAGTGGAATCACAGAAACTTTGAGTTTGGGAAGTAGGGAGCTTGGGGGAATGATCAACAGTAACATGCTTTAGAGATGTCAAGGAGGATTAAGATTGTAAAACTGGGTTTGATATCCTTAGTAAAAGCAGTTTCATTGCAGTACAAGACTATAAATAAGTACCAAATGAATGGGAAAAGTGACAGCGAGTGTCCGCTACGAGTAAGCTTAGGTGGGAAGGGGAAAACAGCAAAAGCTAGAAGGGTTGGAGCAGGGATGTTATGTTGTGTGAGTGCACACATGCCCTTGTATTCGAGTTATGAGGCACTTGAGAGTGTGGTTAAGATCCTGAGCTCTGGAGTCAGACTTCCCAAATTCCAGTCTGGACTCTGCCACTTGCAGCTTTGTGGCCTTAGATAAGTTACTTAGCTTCAGTGACTCAGTTTTCCCATGGCTAAAATGGGAATGATCAAGTTTTGAGAATTAAATGCTAGTGCATGTTAGGTGCTATAAATAGCATATAATAACTGCTGAAAAGTGTAAACTATTATTGTAATTATTAGTAAGAAAATGTTTAATTATTAATTTTTTATCATTGACCTTTAAATATACTTGCTTCAGTTATATTTTAAACTTTAAATTATTAACAATTTGGGCCCCATGCTGTGTAGCAGGAGGAACTACTGTTATACCACTTAAATTTTTTTCCTAGCTTCTTTCTTCCACCAGTCTCAACTTTCATTAATAATAGTTTTTCTGTTTGTCAGATACTTGTAATATTTAACATCTTTTCTGTGATTATAATTTTCATGTTTTAGTTTTAATTTTATAGTTTAATGGTGGGTCCAGATCTCAATGTTAGTACTTTTGTCATAGCTTCTTTATTCATCTCTTGGTTAGCTGAAGTTGTTTTTCCTGGGATTTTGTCAAAAAATTTTCGAAATTTTGGCAAGTTAACATGCTTTTCTTGTATTTGTACTCAAATAATAGTTTGGTGGGGTATAACATTCCAGAATTTCATTTTTTTTTCCTTGAAACATTTTATGCATTTGTTGTTTCACTGTTCTCTTTATTCATATTGCTGGTAGAGGTCTGACGCCAGCCTGCATTTTGCACCCTTTTCATGTATTTTTGTTAAACTGCACTCTCACAATAAAACATTCTTTGAATAATCAATCACGTGTTTATTATTTACTGGATTTTTTTCAGTGTCTGACCTACTCTACACACATCAAGGGATTCAATTTCTTTGGCATTCAGTAATTGTACTATAATATGGCTTGACATTGACTGCTCTGTTAAACTTCCCTTGGACACAGTATGCCTTTTCAGTCATTAGATTCAAGTTAGCTTTTATTACTGGGAAGTTATATATAATGTTCTTGAAATAAGTAAAATAATGGAGATCAGTTAAATACATATGGGCTCTCCACTGCCTACCTTCGTTGTCTTTTCATATCTTTAACAAAAAAAAAAACCCTAACACATAACCAAAGAAAACTTTATTTCTACTTTTTATTTATTTCTCTTCACCATTGTCTCTATGGCTCTTACTGTGTTTACAGCGGCATGTGCTTTTCTGTTTGCTGCTTCCAACTGTAGTATTATTTCTGGGATGGTGTTGCTTTTGCTTCCACTTTAGTTTTGCCAGCTCACGTTTCATCTCGTTTTGTGTTATCTTTTCTCTGAGCTCTTTTATTTTCCAGAGATGATTACTATATTAGATTTTTAACCACAGTTTTTTCCTGCTGTGTGATAACCTTTTTCTGGTGATTTTTCTTCACTTGTTATTTGTGTTTTTCTTATTTTCATTTTTTGGTATCGTGTATAGATCCTGTTTTGTTTTGTTTTGTTTTGTTTCATTTTATTTACTACTACTGTTCTTCCAATGAGGGGTGTTTTTCTTGGATCATCTTTGTGCTAGAGCTTGGTGTTGTTGAAGGGTCAGGGATGGCTGGTGTTCTCCTTGGGGACTGTGTATGTAAAATGATTTTTTTAGCCTTTGCTGCTTTTCAGATAAGAGGCTTAGGGTCTCCCTGTAGAGAATCTTTTGACTGCCTCACTGGCTAGTTGCTCCCTTTGAGTGATGTTTTTCCTCTTGAGATGTGGGATTTTATCTGCAACTTTTTTTTTCTTTTCCTTCTTGAGACCTTCTTCCAAGAAAGTTCCTGCTTGCAATCTTTGCACTTGTTTGTTGTTTCCCATGTCAAGTTGGGGATGGCTGGTTTTACCTTTCAGGATGTGCCTGTTAATTTCAGAGAACTACACATCTATGGCACCTCTGTAGCCATGGGTATATTCTGACAGGGTCGTGGAGCATCTGAATTTGATCTTTACTATATTTGGTGGTCTTTCCTTATATGCTTTGAGATTACAGGTTACTGTCATTCATAGCAGCTTACATTTTGGTTTCATATTCTCTCTTTTGATCTAGCAGGAGAAGGAGGAAATTACTGTCTTGACTCTGAGTTTAAAACTGGAATTCCTGTAGTTCTTCGTAAAAATCTGTTCCTTGGTTGATATGTATCTAGTTGGAAATTTCAGGATACACAACATTAAAGAGATTTTTCTGAATATTTCACTGATCAGTATTTGGCAGTTATTTTACTTTTTATGTAGTACAGAACTCTGCATTGACCCAAGAACACTTGATGTTAGATACTTCATTTTCATAATTTTTTTTTAATCTTAGCACCTTTTATTTTTTATTTTATTTATTTATTTTTCTTATACTTTAAGTTCTGGGATACATGTGCAGAACGTGCAGGTTTGTTACATAGGTATACACATGCCGTGGTGGTTTGCTGCACCCATCAACCTGTCATCTACATTAGGTATTTCTCCTAATGCTATCCCTCCCCTATTCCCCCACGCCCCGACAGGCATGTTGCCCTTCCTGTGTCCATGTTCCCCTTCCTGTGTCCATGTGTTCTCATTGTTCAACTCCCACTTATGAGTGAGAACATGCAGTGTTTGGTTTTCTGTTCTGGTGTTCGTTTGCTGAGAATGATGGTTTCCAGCTTCATCCACGTCCCTGCAAAGGACATGAACTCATTCTTTTTTATGGCTGCATAGTATTCCATGGTGTATATGTGCCACATTTCATTTTCATAATTTTTATTAGCCCATGGTAACTATTACTAATTCTGCATTGCTTTCTCAATTGCAGTCAAGTAAGGGAGAATTGACTACGCTTATACATCAGCTTCAAGAAAAGGACAAGTTACTCGCTGCTGTGAAGGAAGATGCTGCTGCTACAAAGGATCGGTGTAAGCAGTTAACCCAGGTGAAGACATTCTTATGTACGAGGGATATACTTCCCAAATCAGAAGCAACAAAAGATTTTAGAAATTGTCCATAATCAGTAGTTTAATTATTTGTAATTTATGTCCAACAAAAGTAACTTTCCTTTAGAGTTTTGGGAGGGTAGATAGAGCTGTCTCTCTCTTTTGTGATATTATAGCCTATAGTTGAATTATTTAAAATAAGAGTACTTACAGATATCCTAGCTTCAGAATAACAAAAGCACTCTGTACAGAAGCATGGGAATTTGTTTTAATTGGATCTGACCTAGATCTGTTCTCAATAGAAACACAGAATTTGGTGTGATCTTGTTTAAGTCTGATTAATGGAATAAGTGTGAAACTCTTAACATAGGTAATTTATTTATGGAGCTTCTTGTGATAAGTATAATTTTTTGTCAAGTTCTTCACATCTCAGAAATTTTACTTTGAGAGGTTAATAGTAAAAAATACCAGAAAAGCCAATCTTTAAAACATCATGAAACTGAGAGAACAGAATTGAAACTATAGAAAATATGGTTTAATTATTCCTGAAGTGCTTGTTTCTCTTTCTAGGGATTAAATGCAGTAGAATACATGATGTTTATTTATGAGTCATTCACCTAGCCACTTGATGACATTGTAAGAGTGAATGGCTTTGTTTGAATATAAATCCTTTATGTGAATTTGAAGTAAATAAAAAAAGTCAATGGAAAAAGTTGGCAAGATTAATTAAAGTTGTTAATAAAATTAGAAACTTTAACATAGTTTTTTGTGACTATATGACTATATAAAAAATTAAAAATTAGGATAACTAATTTGATAATTCATTGAGCCGCATACTTATGATGTGTATACTTCTAAGTATGTTATACAGGAGTATAACAATTTGTAAAGATGAATGAACAAACTCAGGCAGCCATAAATTATGTAATATCTCAAATTTTGTCATACAATTGCTTTAGAGCAGGAACATGATTAGTCCTAATGATACCTGCAGCTAACTTTAAAATTGCTTGGCTTTCATGTACTTTGATAATTAATATTTGTTCTAGGAGTTCATAGTACCGGCAAAACAAAATGAAATCCCTCATTTAAGATTTGACTTAGTGGCCGGGCGCAGTGGCTCATGCCTGTAATCCCAGCACTTTGGGAGGCTGAGGCGGGTGAATCATGAGGTCAGGAGATCGAGACCATCTTGGCTAACAGGGTGAAACCCCGTCTCTAATAAAAATACAAAAAAAATTAGCCGGGCATGGTGGTGGGTGCCTGTAGTCTCAACTACTCGGGAGGCTGAGGCAGGAGAATGGTGTGAATCTGGGAGGCGGAGCTTGTAGTGAGCCGAGATCACGCCACTGCTCTCCAGCCTGGGCGATGGAGTGAGACTCCGTCTCAAAAAAAAAAAAAAAAAAAAAAAGATTTGACTTAGGAAGATGATAAAACTTTGCTTTCTGAATTTGCTTTCCCTTGTTTCAAACTTTGACTCTGCTATAGACATCTTATCCCTATTTTTTTCCCTTAGGAAAGAGAATTATTTCCTTCTAGGCCTTTTTTCCCTGAAAGAGAACGTGTACCTGGGAATGATAGAGAATGAACTGTTGTGCTTTAAAATGTTCTTTCGTGTAATCAAGTTAGAATGTAGGATTTATTCTAGGTTCATAGTCTTTAACTCATAATAAACTAGAAAGTGCATTTGAATTAAGAGTAAACAACAGTGGCAAAGTGTTTATGAAGGGAATTGGCGTGAAGAGCAGATGAGATGCAGAAGACTGTTTTTAAAATCTTTTGACCTTGCTTTTTTTAAGCAAGTACTTAATGTTTTATCATTCATGATTATTTTACTGATGTTAAATAACATCATTGTTTATCATTGTTGCAGGCTTATGATACTTATTAAATAACAAGTTTTTAAATTTCTGGGATATTCTTTTAGGAAATGATGACAGAGAAAGA
This sequence comes from Homo sapiens, assembly GCF_000001405.40. Classification (NCBI taxonomy): domain Eukaryota; kingdom Metazoa; phylum Chordata; class Mammalia; order Primates; family Hominidae; genus Homo; species Homo sapiens. The sequence goes on from NC_000014.9 coordinate 55,629,977, forward strand.
AAGAAGCAATGTGGTTATAACAAGGATGAAAGATCGAATTGGAACATTAGAAAAGGAACATAATGTATTTCAAAACAAAATACATGTCAGTTATCAAGAGACTCAACAGATGCAGATGAAGGTATATTTTCATTCTTTGGAAACAAGATGAAATGGTTGCATTCACTTTATTAGCAAACTTTTAAGTGGCTAGTATGTACAAGGCCCTTTCTTGGGCCATCAACATACAGTGGCTAGTGAAGTTCACTCTGCGTCCTAAGTAAAACAACTTTTCTAGGTGGGGATGAGGTAGGGAGGCCGGATGCAGATAAATATGATGATAGAGATAAGTATTGGCGACTTTAGAGCAATGGTGATGGGAGGTAAGGAAGAAAAGGATTTGATAGGGAAGACTTTTTAGAAGTGATATGCAGACTGTGTTAAATCTTTTAAATCAATTAGGCATTATCAAGTAAGAGAGTAAAGAAATGGGCACTGAGGATAAGAGTTACTTGGTGTGATTTCTTAGTCCATCTCTGGAGGTGATAGTTCAGTGGGTATATTTTGGGACCCAGGACTGAGCTTTTTAATGAGTGCACTCCAGGTGTTACCAGTACAGATTGTCTAGAGTAACTGCTCTATGAGAAATACAGTAAGAGTTGTGGTATTTGGTAATGAGGGCTGGAATGAAGAAGGGATATTGAGAAGTAGATAGAGGCCCCATCTTAAAGGGCCTTGTATACCTGAAGACTGGGGAGCCAGTGAAGGAGTTTAAGCAACGCAGCAGTCGCTGGAATTATACTACTATTTTAAATTTTCACCTTGGTAGCAGTGGGGAAAGTGGAGCAAGGGATAGTTGGAACACTTTGCTAGAATTCAAGTCAAAGAACAAGGGCCTGAAATTAGATGTTGACAATGAGAGAATGAGTTTGAGTATACAAAGAGTTAGTTAGATAGGGCTTGGTGTTAGTGTGAAGGGGAGAGGTGATAGTGAAGAATGACTTCCAAGGTTTTGGCCTGAGTGATTTTGTCTGTTGTTGCTTCCTACCCTTTCACCTGTCTTCTGTCAGAAGGCTCAGTTTTTACAGTCTGTCTTTTGTATATATTTTCCATTTTCATGATTCTAGTTAGGACTAGACCAGTGAATTTTTTTTTTCTTATTTTTGAAAAGATTGAAATATCTTTATTACTGCTAAAGAGGTTATTGAAGAATATGGCTTGAGTCTGCTTGCTTGGTGGTCATGTAATACCTTCCTTAATTTAACTTTCTTGACCAGTGACTTTTTGAAATTGTTACTTCCATCTGCTGGCTGATCCTTCAATTTGGAAGGTCTGTCATTACCTCAGATTTAATATATGTCTAAAACTCACCTATTGATAAGGTTGATATATATATATATATATATATATATATGTATTTTTTTTCAGGCCAATCATGAGCAATGATGTTTTTAATATTTTGAGGCATTATTATCTTTATGCTTGAATCCTGTGACTTTTCTCTGCCTGGCTTAGGCTACAATTTGTTCTGAAATCTTAAAGACACTTTATTTCTATGGCTAGGTGCCGTGGCTCATGTCTGTAATCCCAGCCGAGGTGGGAGGATCACTTGAACCCAGGAATTTGAGAACAGCCTGGGCAACATAGTGGGACCCCATTCTATAAAAAAATTAAAAAGTTTGCCAGGCATGGTGGCATGCCCATGGTCCCAATTACTCAGGAGGCTGAGGTGGGAGGCTTGAGCCTGGAAGGATGAGGTTGCAGTGAGCCATGATCACACTATTGCACTGCAGCCTGGGTGACAGGGTGAGACCCTGTCTCAAAAAACAAAAAACTCCAAACCTCTTTATTTCTAGTTACTCTTGCATTCAATTCTTAGACATGTCTTTAGTTTATTATTACATACTGGGATAATTATGGCTGATATTAATAGGTTTGTCATTTTCATTCCGTCTTGTATTTGGTACCAGATTTTTTTTTGGTAAAATATTGCTTTGATAATATCGCTAGTCTGCTAAAAATTTTAAAATATTCTTTGCTGCTTTCAGAGTCCCAGTGTTTTCCTCTGAAATGCCACTAATAGCAAAAAAGAAGTGAATGATGCTGTTTTCATGTTCTTACCCTATCCACTGCTTTTAGCATTTGTTTAACTCATTCCTTCATCTTCTCATCCCCCAGCAATTTGAGTTAGTGAAGAACTGATTTTCCTAGCCTCAAGTGATCTTTTCTTCTTAATTCCTAATTCCTGTTAATTTGAAAATTAGGCAGATACTTGTAGCAGCATCTTTTGTTGAAGGTGAAAGGTATTTAAGTGATTCATCCTGTTTTACTTGATTACTTACAGAGGTCAGGATATAGATTCCATATGATAACTTCTGTGAAAAATAGAAATGTATACCTTAATTTCCCTTAATAAGCAACAGTTTCTTTTGAAAGAATTATTAATAAGATTATTTCATACAAAAACATGTTCTTATGAGAATATAAGAGTCAGTGTGCCTTTATCTTTAGATTCTTTAATCCAAAATTTAAAAATTAGAAGAAGAAAGTTAGAGTGGTGGTCGCCAGGGGCTGCAGGGAGAGGAATGGGAGTTATTCGTTAAAAGGTGTAGAAGGTGTTTTACACAATGAAGAGAGTTATGGAGAGATGAATGGTGGTCATGATTACACAGCATTATGGATATATTTAATACCAGTGAACTGTATACTTGAAAATGGTTAGAATGGTACGTTTTATGTTATATGTATTTTATAATGTAAAAACTTGGAAAAAAAATTAAGAGGTCAGAATATTTTAGCAAGCAGGTTTTTGTGTTATCTATATGATTATGGCCCAATTTGTAACTTAATATAAAGTGTACCAAACATATTTTCAGTTTTTAAACTTTGGCTTACTAAAGACTTTAAGAATATTGCTAATGTATAATTGACATAAGATCAGGACAAGCTTAATTTTGTATGAATCTATTCGGTAGGAAAGAAATCCTAAATCATATTTAGTTCTGAAACATCATCTCTAAGCATGTTTATCTTGTATTTCAAATATGATAGCAGCTAGCATCTACTTGTATTCTTGAATGTGGTGACAGTTTGTATTTGATTTGCATTCATCACTAACAAAATATAATTCTTTTAAATTTGTTTATATTTATTTGAGAAGAATGATTCAAACTTCATTCTATTGATGTTTTTTATATTCTCATTTTAATAAAGTTTATTTTAAAAGTTAGCTTTGACAGTCTTTGTTTTCTAAGTTTTATGTGTGTAAAATAATTTTAGTTTCAGCAAGTTCGTGAGCAGATGGAGGCAGAGATAGCTCACTTGAAGCAGGAAAATGGTATACTGAGAGATGCAGTCAGCAACACTACAAATCAACTGGAAAGCAAGTATGTTTCCAAATACCTTATTTTTTAATTGAATGGCAGAGTATTTTCTTGAATCATCAAAATATTAATAGCGTTTGATAGTAATTGGTTAGACTTTTGTGTTTTTACATTTGTTTCTAAAATGAGTTACTTTTAAAAACAATTCTCTTTTGCTTTGTGAAGAACTTCTTCAGTTATACATATGTAAACTATGTTATATTAATGTCATACTATTATATACTTATACAAATACATTAATATATATCATATATTACATATTTATATAAACATGTATGTGTATATTGTATATAAACTATGTAATAAATACTAGTACCACCAATGGAATGGTCTACAAGCTTATGAGTTTATAAGTTTTAAACCATCTGTCCCCTTTCACAGTAGCTCCCAAACTTCAGTGTTCTGAAGAACACCTGGCATTCTAATTAAAAGGTGTATTCTTGAGTCCTCCCCTTAAAAGATTATGATTCACTGACTCTGAGGTAGAGCCCAGGAGTCTACATATTAAGACACTTTCGGGCCGGGTGTGGTGGTTCATGCCTGTAATCCTGGCACTTTGGGAGGCCGAGGCAGGCGGATCACCTGAGGTCAGGAGTTCGAGACCAGCCTGGCCAACGTGGTGAAACCCCTGTCTCTACTAAAAATACAAAAATTAGCTGGGCTTGGTGGCACACACCTGTAATCTCAGCTACTCGGGAGACAGGAGAATCGCTTGAACCTGGGAGGTAGAGGTTGCAGTGAGCCCAGATTGTGCCACTGTACTCCAGCCTGGGTGACAGAGTCACACTCCGTCTCAAAAAAAAAAGACACTTTCCTTGTGATAGTGATTGGCTCTGAGGCCATACTTTGAGAAATAGTACCTTAGAGAGACTAGTAATACCGGTACACAGTACCCTGACTGGCTGATTTTTAATACGTTTTCAGAAGACCAGTTTGAAGGTGACACTATTTATGGTCATCCATTTTTCTTGATATTTTACAGTGATTTTAGAATTTGAATAACTCATTAGAATTATATAGGAATTATACAACTAAACTTTATTGTTAGTAGTCACTTGTGTTCTGTTTCAGTTGGGCTGTAAATGGAACTACTAGCTCAGCTCAGCAAAACTAACAAAGTATGTTTTGTTTATTTCTTATATATATTTGTAATAACGGAAGGCTCCTAATCCAGTTACTGTTTTCAGGCAGTCTGCAGAACTAAATAAACTACGCCAGGATTATGCTAGGTTGGTGAATGAGCTGACTGAGAAAACAGGAAAGCTACAGCAAGAGGAAGTCCAAAAGAAGAATGCTGAGCAAGCAGCTACTCAGTTGAAGGTGATATATTCTCACCTTTATTTGTCATTTCATGAATAATATAGGCGTATTAGTTCGTTTTCATACTGGTATGAAGAACTGCCCGAGACTGGGTAAATTTTTAAGGAAAGAGGTTTAATTGACTCACGGTTCAACATGGCTGGGGAGGCCTCAGGAAACTTACAATCATGGCAGAAGGTGAAGAAGCAGCAAAGCATCTTCTTCACGAAGCAGCAGGAAGGAGAAATGCCGAGCGAGGGGGAAGACTCCCTTATAAAACCATTAGATCTTGTGAGATCTCACTATTACAAGAACAGCATGGGGGAAACCATGCCTATGATTCAGTTACCTCCACGTGGTCTCTCCCTTGACACGTGGAGATTATGGGGATTACAATTCGAGATGAGGTTTGGGTGGGGACACAATGCCTAACCATATCAGTAGGTATTTAATTTGATGACTTAAATGTGTATATAGGTTTGAAAAATATAGTTTGAAGCTTAATGGGACCTGTAGTCTAAATGCTATGCCCTGATGAAAGAAAAAGAAGCATGTGCCCTATTGAAAGAATTGAATATAGGCTTGAATTTGAAGTTAAAGACCGTTTGAAGATATGGTAAATGATGTTAGCTGATTGACAGATATAAATTGTAGAATTTTATCATATATATGGGGGTTAGGGTCTACAGTATAGGGCAGAAATCATGTAGTTAAAAATTACCCTTAATACCACTTTATCACCCATAGCTTGGATTTTTCAGTAGGTCCAGCAGAACCTAGTTTTCTTTCAGCACTGGAATAGGTAGTTTTTCCTTTGCTTCAGCACAAGACTAAGTAGTGTTCCAGTGGCTTGCACTCGACCCATGATGTACAAAAAGTCACATACTGTATCTTTAGACGCCAGAGTGTCACTTGGTCCAGTGAGATGCTTATACTATGAAGAGATGCATGGCTTTGCTCAGGCTGACTGAGGGAGGAGCAGATTCATTTATCTCATTTTATATGCATTCTGAAGCATATGTACATTGAATAGAATGATGAGTATAATTCTCTATTCCTGCTTTTATTGAAGAGGAAATTTGTTGAAAGTATAGTTCAATTTGTGTAAGTTAAATGCTACCTCATTATAATAGATTCCTACCTAGGTCATTGATAGAATTGTACTTTGATACCAGTTCCAGAGTAGGAGTTAAAAAGGCTTCAAGAGTAATTGAGTATGGAAAATAGTGTTTTTCTTAAGTCTTGTTGGGAGATTGATATAAGTATCCTTTCTTTTATTTAATATTGATCTTGCTGGTGGGTTTACTACTGGCATAGATACGGAAGTCTGTTCTCTGTGGATATGGATAAATAAATGACATTAAAGATTATAGTCATGATTGGAGTGTTGTGTTATAAAAATACCTCAAAATAAGAATTTTTAGCTACTTAGATTTAGCAATAAAGACACCATCCTGTCCTTCGGAAGCTTATCAGCTAAAGGAAGGTTAGTGGGAAACAGGTTATTGCTAAGTGGATCAGATGTATATAGTAGTAGCTATCTTGATAGAAACTCAGCACAAATATTGAGTCTGAAATAATCTCCAAACTGTAAACCCTGTAATGTTGGAGGATAGGATGGCTATGGCTGATAAATAAATGGCTTTTAGACTGTGTGTATCTGCTTGTCTTATTGAAATGTAGGAGACTAGTTGCAATAAGCAGTTTTATGATACAACAGTAAAGGTAGAGGATGCTTTTTTTCCCTCTTTTTCAAAGTAGAAATTCTGTGTTTGTGCTAATTTATCCTTTCTCCCTTTTAAAATACCAAGGTTCAACTACAAGAAGCTGAGAGAAGGTGGGAAGAAGTTCAGAGCTACATCAGGAAGAGAACAGCGGAACATGAGGCAGCACAGCAAGGTAAGGGGAAGAAGTATTCATGTAAACTTTGTATATAATTTTGGGTAAAATTTCCTCTCTCTTCCATCTGTGAAGAAAGTATAATTTGGCATTTTGGTTATAGCTCAATAAAAATAGCTTTTATACTTTCAGAATATCTTTCTTTCTTTGACATTTGTTAGGGTTTTAAAATAAGTTACCTACTAGCTTTGCCTGAAGCATTAAAGTTGCAGGCAAAATTATAGTACATGATAGGTTAATGGGATCCTGGCTGTGTGTGTTTCTTTTCTGTAGTTATTCTCTTTGGTTCTTTGGTTAATTCTTTTTTTTTTTTCCCAAGAAAATACTCACTTCTTATTTTGAAGAGAAAAACAGAGCATTACCATCCCAGGTAGTTTACTTAAAACTGCCCATTTAATACATGCTAACGTTTACTCATTTACTCTTAATTTGATGGATCCATCTGGGAGATAATGGAGTACGTGTTATGTGTATTGTTTATTTCTCTACTACTCCCTTTCTCCCATGAAACGCAAGTATAGCCTGCTACAGGAGCATGCAAGAATGGAAGCAGGAGAGATTCAAAGAAGGTTTTCTAGAGGAGAGAATGCCTACACGAAAGATGAGTATGAGTAACTAGGCAAAGAAAGAGACCTCTGTAAAATGTAATGTTTTATTACAGATTTACAGAGTAAATTTGTGGCCAAAGAAAATGAAGTACAGAGTCTGCATAGTAAGCTTACAGATACCTTGGTATCAAAACAACAGTTGGAGCAAAGACTAATGCAGTTAATGGAATCAGAGCAGAAAAGGGTGAACAAAGAAGAGTCTCTACAAATGCAGGTTCAGGTATTTTTTCTTCTTTTTTTTTTTTTAAAAAAATACAGGTGGTCACTTATTAGATCTGTGTGTCTAGAAGAGAGACTAAAGTCTACCTTATCCTAATTCTGAAATGATGATGAATAATTATAACTTTGTCTTTTGAGCACTTGTCACAATATGGTGTGTTTGAAGGTGTGCTCACCCACAGTCTTAGGCTCTTTGTGTTAGATTAGGAATAGCACAAACATATCTTTAACTTCTGTCTTATAAGCTAACTCAGATTGTCTAATCATTGTTTAAAATAATGCCTTTTGGAATCTAAGAATGCCTTAAAAAAAAAAAAGAAAAAGATAAACAAATGTACCTATAATACATTGTGTTCATATACATGGGGTTATTTATTAGCATGCTTTTTCTCTTTTTGGTTGCTATTTATGAAAGGATATTTTGGAGCAGAATGAGGCTTTGAAAGCTCAAATTCAGCAGTTCCATTCCCAGATAGCAGCCCAGGTAATGATGCTTTCTTATTGCTTATGATTAATAACTTGCAGCCATTTAAACACTCACCTGAATGTCTGTTGAGTGCCAATTACTGGATTAATAGCTGGGAGACTAGTCAATGAATCAACAAATGATGATCCTGAGTGCTAAACACTTGCTAATTATGTACGGTGCTGAGGGAAAACACTAAGAAAGAAATCCATACCAACTAATTGGATGAGGGGAAGGTTAGAGAGCTTTTATTATACAAAAATGTCCCCAATCCTGTCACAAAACAAGGAGAGAGAATTGGCCAAATCCTATCTAGAATAGTGGCTTATGTATTACAGATGTTCATTAAATATCAGCTAGCTCTGGAAAATCCTAATATATCAGCAGGGGGAACAGTATGGTAACCATAGATCACAGATTATATTTGCAAAATGATCAATTGAAAATTTGTACCTCAGTTTAGTGACTCAGCCTTCCAAAGTTTTCAAGTGATAGTGTAAGACCTGTTATTCTTTGATGTGACATACATGTCTTTATAAATAATATAAAGAAAATCAAATAAAAACAAGTATTGTGAATTTTGAGCTTCAGTTTTTCAACTTGAAAATTCTGAGAGTTATTTGTAGCAAAAAGTATTGGCTTAGAAGTCTGACATTTCTGTATAAAAAGTGGTTTTTAACATTAAAATTTTGTTTTTAAGGTTCGGAGAAGTTCAGACTCCCAAAGCTTTGACCATATAAATATATTTTTCCCAGTTGCTTTATCTGTAGAAATTATAGTCTAAAGTAATTGAGGAAGAATTAATGCAGGAAAGGGTGCTGGTGTGGATGTGTATGTATATGTGAATTACCAACTCAGATTGAATTGTGATCTTTAGTTATCAGCTGAGAAGTAGCTCTAAAAAATTTATCAGGAGTTAAATACATAGAGAATGCTGTAAGAATCTTTTAAATAGTAAACATGAACATGGGTATTACTAAACTATATTAGTCATGGAATGGATAATTTTATTATTAAAAGTTGTTACTAAGGAGAAGAAACACAGGATGACAAATGGCCTTTCTGGCTGTTTTTCCTACTCATTTGTTGCTTGTCAATTATTTAGTTTCCAGGCCTGTCAACTTGTTTTATTCTAAATGTCTTGTGATATGTAATTCGTGACTACTGGCTGTTGGTGATCAAACTTGCTTTCAGAATGATAGTTACTCTTTATTGAACACTTACCATGGGCCAGATACTTTCATAACAATTTATATACATTAACTTCTCTTAAAATTTAAAGCTGTTATGATTATTGTATAGCTATAAAGCTTTCTCTTAAATACTTTTATGTTGACACTATTTTTCTTTCTTAGACCTCCGCTTCAGTTCTAGCAGAAGAATTACATAAAGTGTAAGCCTACCTTTTCACACTCTTATAATTGTGTAGTCACCACTAACTGATACTTGTTAGATGCGACACTTATGATTAACTTTATACCTCTGACGACCTGTTCAGAAAATACTCTGAACTAGATTTGGAGCAACTTTTGCTTTTTTTTTTTTTTTTTCCTTTTTCCCATTAGTGAGTTGGGTCCCTAAACATTATATATTCTGCTTTTATTTATGTTTTTATTATAACAAGAGTTGGGGAGACTTTCATTTGAGTGTTAGCAATTATGTGGAAGAGGTAATTGTTTAGAAAGTAGTGGAAGTAAATTAGTTTTTGTGTCTTATAAGTAGTTGTAGTTCTTCTGTGTCCAGCTCTGTGGTAGTATACCCAAAACAAAGTTATATGCTTTTTTTGTGCCGTATAATTTTGCATGGACACTGATCACTTGAGTTCGGAAGATCTGAAATCTGGTTTTGACATAGCTAGCTTTAACAAATTAACCTCTTTTATCTCGAGTTTTAAAACAGGGTTATGTATTTTAAGGAGTTATAGTAATGTGTGTGACAGTTGTTAGTAAACTGAAAGGGGCTATAGAAATGGAAGGTATATGAGAACTACTGAAGTAAGGATGATGCTTTTTAAGGCTTTAAATCCTTTTGATTTGTGACTTCTGAATGTTTATTGAATGTACAAATGTCTTTCCTTCTAAAGGATTGCAGAAAAGGATAAGCAGATAAAACAGACTGAAGATTCTTTAGCAAGTGAACGTGATCGTTTAACAAGTAAAGAAGAGGAACTTAAGGTATAGTAATTTGTATAAATGGCTGCAATATTTTACAGAACTGAAATTTAAATTACTTTGATGCACATAATCAGTAAGTGTATATGAAAAATGGAAAATAGTCTAGAATTCATTTGAAATAACTGTTTTTCTAAACTACAAAATTCTCTAGCTCTCTACGAGGAAAAATTCAAAGGGCTTCTCTCATGTGATATAATTTACAATAATTTGATAGGAATATGCTAAATAACAGGAATTGGTGGTTTCTCTTGATTATTTGGGAAATTTTGTAAGTTGAGACATTTGCTTAACTCTTTTGTAGAAAAGATGCTTTACAAACTTTAAAATCAGTTGTATTAAGTATTTTAAATGCTATTTTTCCTTGTTCTAGGATATACAGAATATGAATTTCTTATTAAAAGCTGAAGTGCAGAAATTACAGGCCCTGGCAAATGAGCAGGTAGATCTTTATTGCTTTTGAGCATTGATCTCAGAATTTCAATTTGCGTATTCTTATTTTCATTGATATTGTGAGCCCCAATTTGATTGTGTAAGTAAAAAATATAATGGTTTATCATCTTTGGCTGCATGATTTGATGTTACTGTTTTTATGTTGAAATAAATGTTTGATCCAGTGAATTAATCACTTCAAGATATCACAGGAGGCAGTTAAAATTATCTTACTATGCTGGTTTGTTTGAGTCTTTTATTTGAGCCATTTAATTCAAAAAGGATATACCTTTTTGTTAGTGTATATGAAGAATGGAAAATAGTCTAGAATAAAAGAAGTAAAAAATATCGAACAGCAAAACATGTTACAGAAATATACAGTATTGCTGTAACTTCAAATATATGGAAATACAGCTTTTTAATATGTAAAAATTAGTGAAAAAAATAGTTTTGAGCACTTCCTGTGAAGTGATATCATTTTCTTCTCATTCCACACACAGGCTGCTGCTGCACATGAATTGGAGAAGATGCAACAAAGGTGACTAAAGTATTGTACATCTAGTCGTTCATACATTTATGTTTAATTATAATTGTTGCAGAAAATATTGCTGCTTATAACTGATAGTTGTGCCCATAATTCTTGTAGATTTTCTGAATGTATGAAGTATTTTAATTTTTTTTTTCACCCTCATAGTGTTTATGTTAAAGATGATAAAATAAGATTGCTGGAAGAGCAACTACAACATGAAATTTCAAACAAAATGGAAGAATTTAAGGTGTGTGATTAAGCTTGTACACTCAGGTTTCTTAGAACAACCTTGTATACTTTTCAGTTGAGTGATTCCAGAAATACTACGTTTTGTATGAAGTCACTCTGAAACAGTGTTTCTGTAGTTTATTAGGGGACTTATGCAAACCATGAATTTTATCATAGACTTTCCCCCTAGATTATCTGTTCTTTTAGTGGAGCTTGGAGATTTATTTTTGGCCCCCAATCTTTTCTCAGCTGATAGTTTCTATTTGGGACTGTCTTATTTGTCTCCACTGTTGCTGTAGTTCTAGTTTCTGGTCATGGCCAACCAAGTGCTAGGGTGCATCTCTGTGTCCAGTGAAATTTGAATTATGTCAGTGTATAATTCACCTGTCACTTTGAGGACTGAAAGCTGAGATAAAGGTTTGATTGTTCAAAAACCCATTCAAATGATTGCTTTATTACCTTTTTTCTTAATAAAACAGTAAATTGAGACTCTTTCTTCCAGATTCTAAATGACCAAAACAAAGCATTAAAATCAGAAGTTCAGAAGCTACAGACTCTTGTTTCTGAACAGGTAAGGCTTTTCCTAAATTACAAAGTAGAAATACTTGTTATATAACAAGATCTGGTTCTTCTTATTTAGGTACCAAATTACTAATTGAGAAATTTTGCTTAAGCTTAGATATGGCTGTTATTGCCTTTCTATTCATCCTGTATCTAAATTCAGGAAATTTTTTCTCCCTGAGGTGAAGCTAATGCCAATCTGCTCAAAAGCACATTCCAGAAAAATAAAAATGTGTAATAGGATGCATAAAAATAATTTAAGCCATTTTGATACATTTGACTTTCAGAATAAATGTCCTGCCTTAGACTTGGAGCCTCAGCTTTTTCTTTTAGGGAGCATGGTGTCTTTAAAGGTTGAAACTTATTACTAGCACTTAAAAGCAGTGTGATGTTGATCAAATAGCTTAACCTTTGTGACACCTCTCATTCCAAGCCTTTCACATGGAGATTATATTATATTTACACCATAAAGTTGTTAGATTTGAAAGGAGAAGCTTATGTATGGTGCCTAGTCTAGTGCTTTGTTTATGACAGGTATCTAAACCTTAATTCTTTTCCCTTAGAGTATTTATTTTATCCATCTCATCTCCATCCCCTGCCACCATCACTATTCATTTTATATTTATAGCAAGACATCAAAACTATATCAGCTTTGAATAAGCATGGTTCCATAAATTAGAGCCCAGTGGTATCTGTTCTCTGCCTATTCCTCAGTGCTGCCTTCGTACTCTTCTTCTACGCAGCTCTTACAATTACAATTTATTAATAAAACACAAACTCTTGATGACACATTAGAATAGGAAGTTTGCGTTTGTTCCTAATATTAAGTTTTTGAATTGTACTTTTATTGGAAGCCGAAATGTAAAGCCATTGCAAATGATAGCACTTCTTTAGCAAATGCATGCGTTCTTTCATTTATTTTAAAATTCACATTTATGCAGATATTGAGCTGGTGTAAGTAGCTGTGCCTCTGGAAGTATTTTGTTAACTTGTCAAGAAATAATCCATTTATTCTACCTCCCCGTATGATATTAAGTGCATTATTACATAGTCTTACTACTTACTTTGTATTTGCTTTACCCTTGTAAACTAAAGGTAATAGAGGAGACAGTGCTGAAGGGATGATATTTAGTTTAAATGGCATTTAAGGCTTATTCTTTTTTTTTTTTTTCTTCTTGAGACAGAGTCTTCCTCTGTTGCCCAGGCTGGAGTTCAGTAGCACTATCTTGGCTCACTGTATCCTCCACCTCCCAGGTTAAAGCCATTCTCGTGCCTCAGTCTCCTGAGTAGCTGGGACTACAGGCATATGCCACCATGCTCCGCTGATTTTTGTATTTTTAGCAGAGACGGGGTTTTGCAATATTAGCCAGGCTGGTCTTGAACTCCTGGCCTTAAGTGATCTGCCTGCCTCGGCCTCCCAAAGTGCTGGGATTACAGATGTGAGCCACTGTGCCCAGCTAAGGCTTATTTTTGTCTTATTTCCTTTTCTGGTATAGCTTACAAAAAAGATATGATACCAATTATAAGATTTCTCTCCCCCCACCCTCCCTTACCATCTCTGAAATAAGAATGTATCTTGTAGTCTCTGGTTACAGTTTAGTTGTTTAGTTGGCAACATTTTTAATTTTTACTGTTAAATAGCAGTGGTGAGATATAACATTGGTGACTTGGATTAGATAAAATGTAATAGATTTTTGTGTGTGTGTTCTTACTTGGAAAAGCAGAGTATAGTTTCTGTGTGTTAGTTACCAGAGATTTTTGAAATGCTGATAACCAGTGTATGAAGTTTTAAACTTTAAAATTAACTTCATGGAGGTAAAACAAATGCTTAGAAACTTCTGAAACTGTCCTAGAATTCTTATATTCTAGTAGTATCCAGGTGCTGGCGACTCTTATTTAAACAGAAAACTTCTGTTCTTTGCTAAAAATGGTATTTTCCATCATTAGATAAAAGTAAAACCACCAGCCTTAAATTTTTCTTTTCCTTTAAAATCATGTAATACCTTGAGAAATGCCATTGTAATACCTTATGTAAAATTCCCAATCATATTTATGAAAGTTAATATTATTGCTATCTTATTAAGTCAGCCTTTTATTATAATGTTTCTACGTACTTTTAGATGTTTTGTTAAAGTGACAACTTTTAGTATGAGATGTGCTTTTGTTATGAAGAATAATTCACAGGATAAAATTTTATAGCCACATTTTTTGATTTATTTAAAAGAATTATTTGATAAGGGGGAAACTCATTTTGTGATACTAATTTAAGATCTGTTGGGTAATTCTTAGAATTGTTCTTCTGACTCTGAAAGCTTTTTATTAATAGTCTAGAAAGCATATGACTGAGGTTTTGGTTATAGTTGAGACTTCTTTCATCTTGGCAGACAAAGAATCATTTCTGTGGCTTTTCCTCTAGTCGTTTTTATTGTTGCTGCTAGTGAAAGAAGAGAAAAGATTGGTATAATCTTAATTTCTGTCATTTCCACTTTTCTTTAACCCCTTTCTATCCCACAGTCAGAATTCCAAGTGACAGTTGAGAGATTGAACAGTTTAGTTATGTAAAAATTTCAGTCCTTTTACCCCATGGATTTTTATTCTGGAGGAAAAGATTGAGCGTATAAAAGCAGAAACCAATAATGGTGCCAAGTTGTTGTTTCTTCAGGTGTAGGAAGCAGAAAGACAACAGGTACCAAGTAAGTTAACCTGTTGATACCCTAAAGGAGGGAAGGCTGCATTTGGATTTAGGCTTGCAGATGGTCAGATAATGCAAATAAATCATTTACTAATATTTCATTTACTCAGAATAAGACTTTTTTTTTTTTTTTTTTTGCTGTGGGGGAGCACATTTTGACTTTTAGTGAAGGAGCAGCATGACATTCTTATTCCAGTAGATTTTTAAGATTCAGTGATCAAGATTATTAAGTGAAAACTATAAGAAGTTTCTTCTTTTTGCCCTACTGCCTTGTTAAATTGTATTGCAGAATATATTGTATATGGTTTAGTTTTGGAAATCATCTAGGGGAGGAAACAGTAGGATTGGATTAAACCAATAAAGTATGAAGTAAAGTAAAAATGTTGGAGGAGATGCAAACTAAGCTGAGTCAGGTTTATGCAATAGAGTATTTGATGAGCTGCAGACCAAGAATACTTTCTAAACTGGAACTTCATTAAAAAAAATTCATCAAATACTTATTTACTAGTTGAGTATATGCTAGTTGCTTACCTACATGCTGAGGTTGCAGAGATGAATGAGACTTGATTCTTGCCCTCCTAATATGGAGATAGATATGTTAAACAGAAAGTTATGGTGAATGAAGTTTCTGAACTCTATACAGGTTTAGAGGAAGAGATAATGCATTCTATTAATATTTGAAGGAGGTGGGGAGGTAACACAGGGAACAACTAAACCTCGTTTTGAAAAATGAGCATGAATTTGCCAAAGAGCTAAGAGACAGTCCAGGCTGAGGGAATACAATGTTCAAAGACATGACAGTGTGGCAAGATTGGCATATTCAGAGTATTGGTATATTGCAGAAGTACAAAATACAGGAAGGATGTAAGGAGTAGAGAAAGATTTGCTAAGACCTAATTATGAAGGGCTTTGTATGCTGTGTCAGGACCATGAACCTGATGCAGCATGTGGGTAAGCCACTAAAGAGTGTTGCAAGGATAAATGAGCATTTAGCCTAACATTTTAGAAAGAATACTCTGGTAGGTAGGAGTAACTAAAGGTACAATACAGTAAATGGTTAAGGTGCAGGTAACTTAGACTTAATAGTGTTATGTCTTTTTGTGAGATGGCATTCATTGAAAATATAGATGGACAAAAGCCATCTTCATGAATGATTTAAAGGCTTAATGCATGATTTGTTTTTCATAGTATAAACCTGATTTAATGTACTTTTGACAACTCCTATTTCCCTTCTCATGTTTGGATTATTTTTTCCCATTGGGAAGTTTTTTCCTGTGCCTCCTACAAAACAATTCTTATGAACTAGAAGCAGAGAGAAGAATTAGGGTATTATGATATTTGAGATGAGTAAGCTGAGGGCCAAAACTTAGGCATTAAAGAGAAGGGTTTAATTTCATAAATATGTACAGAGTGGAATTTTAGGACTTGGATAGGGCAGTGGAAAAATTAATATCATTTGTAAAAAATGATTGTAATAAGATTGGGAAAAACAAAAAAATGGGAAAAAAGTAAGAAACTAGCAAGATTGGGAAAGAGGTGCACAGAAGAGAATGTTCTAGGAGAAAGACCCTAAATCTTTTTGGTCAGGCTGCTTGGCTGTCTGAAGATAAGGGAAGATAAGGGAATACTGAGGGAGAAATCCCACTTTGGACATAAGATAAATTTTAACATTGGGGACTTGTGTGTGTACCAGAGGATGCCAGGAGAAGTTTCAAAGGGGACTCATCTTACATGTCATGTTCTAATGCTTTATAAATAGAATGTATTCCTGTTGCTTTTGCAATTTACAATCAGTTTTAAAACATTTTATATCTTGATCTGGTTGGTAGTTACATAATATCTATCTACCAAAATTCACTGAGCTGTGAACAGGATTTATGCACTTGTCTACGTAAATGTTACACCTTAGTATAGAAAAAAAATCAATTAAAAGAGCCCATGTTTGTCTGTCTTTCTTTCTTTCTTCCTTTTTTTCCTTTCTTTCCTTCCTTTCCTTTCCTTTTCCTTTTCCTTTTCCTTTTCCTTTCCTTTCCTTTCCTTTCCTTTCCTTTCCTTTCCTTTCCTTTCCTTTCCTTTCCTTTCCTTTCCTTTCCTTTCCTTTCCTTCTCTCTTTCTCTCTCTTTCTCTTTCTCTTTCCTTCTCTTTTCTTCTTTTCTTTCTTTTTTTTTGGACTTGCGAGGTCTTAGAGTCTGGATTCTTTGTATTTGAAGAATTGAATTAATGTAAAGGAAGTGAGGCAGATTGTCTTAAGGTTATCTTTTCTAGTGATTAAGATTTTTTTCATAAGATACTAATTCATTTTGCCAGCCCATTTTACACTGCTACTTTTTCTGTGTCTCTTGTGTAGATGTATCTCTTTGTTTTGTGTTTTCTGAATTTTTTAATTATCAAGTCTTCAGATAAGTTATTGTCCTAAATTTTGTATCTATTTAATAACCCTAAACAATTTTCACAAAATTACATTTCTCATCTGGTTTTACTTCATGCAAATTTGGTAAAGTTAAACTTTTTTTGGTGATTTTTATTTTAGCCTAATAAGGATGTTGTGGAACAAATGGAAAAATGGTAAGAGTTTAGTTTTCTTTTTATATTTTGATGAGTTACTTCTACCAAATTAACTACATTAATTAGAGTTTTAAAATTCTCTTTAAACTTTGTAATGGAAGAAATGTAGTATGCTGTTGATTTGGGATTACATTACCGTTTGTGGGTTTCACGTGTGGCAGTAATTTTACTTGTTGAGGCTAGCATATAAGAATGAATTACTTGAGTACATTTTACTTGTAAAGAGGAAGTATCCTCAGACCATGATCAAAGATCCCTAGAAGCCTTTCTAGAATTAAAAGTTTATAAGAAATGATGGACAAAAGAGTTGATCCATTTAAAATGATTAGAAATAATATCATTAACTGCTGGGCGTGGTGGCTCACACCTGTAATCCCAGCACTTTGGGAGGCTGAGGCGGGTGGATCACCTGAGGTCAGGGGTTTGAAACCAGCCTGGCCAACATGGCAAACCCTGTCTGTACCAAATGTACAAAATTAGCCAGGCATGGTGGTGCATGCCTGTAATCCCAGCTACTTGGGAGGCTGAGGCAGGAGAATCACTTGAACCTGGGAGGCAGAGGTTGCAGTGAGCCGAAATCATGCCATTGCACTCCAGCCTGGGCGACAAGAGTGAAACTCTGCCTCAAAAAAAAAAAAAAAAAAAAAAAAAAAGAGCCAGGCATGGTGGCTGATGCTGGTAATCCCCAGCACTTTGGGAGGCCAAGGCGGGTGGATCATGAGGTCAGGAGATCGAGACCATCCTGGCTAACATGGTGAAACCCCATCTCTACTAAAAATACAAAAAATTAGCCAGGCGTGGTGGCGGGCGCCTGTAGTCCCAGCTACTCGGGAGGGTGAGGCAGGAGAATGGCATGAACCCGGGAGGCGGAGCTTGCAGTGAGCTGAGATTGCACCACTGCACTCCAGCCTGGGCGACAGAGCGAGTCTCTGTCTCAAAAAAAAATAATAATTATAATAATAATATCATTAACTTTGAAAAATAGTTAATACATGTGTTACAAATTTATAATTTCAGCATTCAAGAAAAAGATGAGAAGTTAAAGACTGTGGAAGAATTACTTGAAACTGGACTTATTCAGGTGGCAACTAAAGAAGAGGAGCTGAATGTAAAGCATTTTGTAGTTTTGTTTTCCTTGTGATTATTCAGTGACATAAAAGGATTTCTCTGTAATTTGTGTAAGGTTTTTCCCATAGATCTTAAACTTAATAGTACCTCTCACATTTATAAATTTATATAATGCTTTTTTAATTAAAGTTTTTTTAGAAGTTAAAAATGCATAACATTGACTGCCTTAATGAGGTAGATACTATTGTTATAGTTTGTCAGTTTCCCCACTTGCACCAAAATTATAACCAAATGATAACTAGCAGACTTAATTCATGAAATAGTACTGGAGGCCAGAGAAGAGATTGCCATTCTATTTTATGGTTGTCATTAGCTTTACCTAACTTGATTGGGAAAAGGTTGCGGGAAGAAGTAAGTTAAAAGATGTATTTGAATGTAGGGAGAGGAGTAGCTTAACTAACAAGTTGTATACTGTATATTTTTGAGGTTGTCCAGACATGAGTGGAAATATATGTGGATGTAATTGAATTAAAAATTTGTTTGGATAGCTATAGAAGTTACAGAATTATAGACATTACAGAATTATAGACATGGAAAAAAGTGAGAGTTTTGGGCCTTCCAGAGTAGAAAAGAAGCAGCTAAAGAAATGAGAAACTAATGTATTTTGAAGCTAGCTATATTTTTCAGAGAGTAAAATCATGTTTTGCTTATGTGTCTTTGAAAAAGGCAATAAGAACAGAAAATTCATCTCTGACAAAAGAAGTTCAAGACTTAAAAGCTAAGCAAAATGATCAGGTAATGTAAATTTTTACAACTGTTCTTTGTCTCTGTGTTTTTTGTTTGTTTGTTTGTTGTTTTTAAATTAAAAGAAACGGGGTCTTGCTCTTTTGCCCAGGCTGGAGTGCAGTGGTACAATCATAACTCACCGTAACCTCGAACTCCTGGGCTCAACCGATAACTCCTCCCTCAGTCTTCTAAGTAGCTAAGACTGTAGGCTCATGCCACAATGCTCGGCTTTTATTTTATTTTTTTGTAGAGATAGGGTCTCGACATGTTGTCCAGACTGGTCACAAACTCCTGGCCTCAAGTGGTGCTCCCACCTTAGCTTCCTAAAGTGTTGGAATTATAGGCATGAGGCACTGTGCCCAGCCCATTCTCTTTTAAACAGTGGGCAAACTGTTGCATAAAAACAAGTCTGTTGTTTCTCTTCCTCCAGGTTGGAATATGTCAATTATAGTTTTAATTTATGAATGATAATCAGTAATAGAGGCTGCAATTTAATACTGATTGCCAGGTACTGTGACAAATACTCCAGATAGGGTGCCATTGCCTCTTACTAGAGTGATAAAAAGGTTCTAAGTATACAAATATAAAGTAAGACTCTAGTAAAAGAGGCCGCCTGAAATTAGGCAGTTTCTTAGTTGTGTTTTCTCTATGGTTGGAATTATTGATTAAATAATTTTAACATTTATCTAATGATTTTTTCTTTTGGCATATTTATAAGTGACCTTAAAGCTACCTATGTTCAAAATGCTATTTGTTGTCATTATTATGACATTAAAAAAGTCTCGAAAGAATGCCTGGGCTTTTCCCATTTGGATTTTGATTGTATTGGAAAATCTAAGGATAATGTGCATTTCTATTTCTGACCCATTTCTATTTTGAACAAATTACTAAGTAGGATACTTTCCTATTTCCAGGTTTCTTTTGCCTCTCTAGTTGAAGAACTTAAGAAAGTGTAAGTGATAACATTATTATAAACTGGTTTTTCTTCTTTGGTCCATTTTTTTTTTGTGTGTGCTTAGAAATCTAGTTTTATTGTGCAGTTGGGACAGCTGATGTATGTTTAACTTTCACTCTATAATTTTTCTTAATGGAATAAGAGAACTTAGCTGTGCTTTCCCAAATTCAGTATAATTAAAAAAAAAAAAACAAAAAAAAACTATTTCCAGAGGATGGGAGTCAGTATAGTTGAATGGAACTTGATTCTCCTCTGTATTCCTCAGGGTACAAATCTTATATTTCTGATGTACTTCTGAAGCACTTAACTGACTTCTTGTGTGCATAGGCTTCAGCTGTCTGTTAGGAGGAGCTTTATGTTCACCCTGGCCATTCTACAAAGACATGTTGCTATTTTATTTAAAATGGGAAAGGGTTGATTTGGAGAGCCATTTCATTATTTGGTGCTATTTTTATATCTTGGTGGGTCTTGGTGATTTCTAATCAAATTATACTGCATTTCTTTATTGAAGGATCCATGAGAAAGATGGAAAGATCAAGTCTGTAGAAGAGCTTCTGGAGGCAGAACTTCTCAAAGTTGCTAACAAGGAGAAAACTGTTCAGGTATTGGGAGACAGAGAACTGTGTTTTATGTTTTTGTTTATCAACTTTAGTTAATATCATTTAATTTCGTGTGTTTTTGTCTGTGCATTGCATTTTATGTCAATTTCTGTGTTTCCATTGTCCAATCTTGTCTGTTTTGTCATTGTCAAGGATTTGAAACAGGAAATAAAGGCTCTAAAAGAAGAAATAGGAAATGTCCAGCTTGAAAAGGCTCAACAGGTAAAAATCCCAGAGCCATAGCATGACAGATTTATTAGTTGTGTTATTTATGAGCTATTTGATTTTTTTTCTTGTTACTCAGAAAAAACTTAGTATGCTGTAGGTATATTGGGTTATGTGCTTTTAATTTTATTTTTTGCCTGATTTGAGAAAGTATTCTTGATATTTTAATCTGTATATCTTAAAAATTTTAACTGTTAATGGTTATTTTCTAGAACATTTTTTGTGTTAATGTTTCATTTTAGTTTGCCAATTACAAATGAAACACGAAACAGTTTGGCAATTTTTTTAATCCCCCTGCCCCCTTCTAAAAGAAAACTGCATGGACCAAAATGTTATTTGAATATACATTGCTCTATCTCTGCCTTAGAACAAAGTACAAGTTTCATTGGGATTTCAGACATAGATGTGATTACTGGAAATTGATGAGTTTTGCTGATTTTAATCTGATAAGGCTTTCTTGAAAAAATAGTGAGATTTCATTGAAGAGATGATTCATTCATCTCATAGATTCATTCAGCAATATTTATTGTCAAAGCAGTACTTGTCAAAGCACTGTACTCGTGATTGGTGGATCACTAGCTAGTGATTGGAGATAATGTGTTGAATGAAACAGGTAGGATGAAAAGATCATACTTTTCTAATATAGATTGAGAGTTCAGGAAAGTCTTCTCCTGAGGAACTGACATCTAAGCCAAGAATCTGAAGGGCCTGTGAGAAGAGAGTGGAGGATAAAAGGTATTATCAGACTGTGTATGATTAAGAAAAAATTAAAAAAGGACATCATAGAGTACTGTTGAGTAGTTGGCCTTGAAAACTGGGATGGAGAAGAGCTCTGATACAGTAGGGAGGTGTGTGGAGAGTTAATATTCTAATTTTCAGTACTGTAGAAGTATGACTGGTCTGAGTGCAGTGGTGTTTACAACTGATTGATCACAACCAGTTACAGATTTCTTTATTCCTTCTCCATCCCACTGCTTCACTTGACTAGCCTAAAGAAAAAAAGCATCACATTAGTTAGACTTATTATTCATAACTATTTTCCTTGTCCCTCCCCCTTATTATTTTTAGTTTATTAATTTTCCTGTTATTGGAGTCAAGAGGAGGTAAACTCAAAACACATCTCATTTTGTCATGAAAAATTCAGCTAGTTTCTTTGTAATTTGAAGTGTACACATTATAAAGACTTATAAAGCTTAATAAGTTAAATTGAAAGGATTATTAATTGATTTTTCTGTCCTTTGTATTTCAGTTATCTATCACTTCCAAAGTTCAGGAGCTTCAGAACTTGTAAGTACCATTTATCTCATTTCCTTTTACTATTTCTTTTTCATGAGTTAAATAGAAGTATAATGAAAATTATAGCTTCTTGATTTCAAGTGGTGTTTTAGAAAATACGAAAATACTGATTATCTCAAAACTCCTAAGGGCCCTAAGTTTCTTATTTGGCTTTAACCTATTAAGTTTTTTTGTGGGAAGGAGGTAGGAAGTCTTTTCATGATTTATAATCTGAATATAACCTCAAATTGAGATGTTGCTCTTTGCCTATTTTAATAGCCATGTGAAATTGGTATCTTCCACATCCAGATCAATTGTAGTAAGTTTTCCAAATTTGTTTGTATTGACTTAAACAAGGTGATACAGGGTAGAGGTACAGCTAAACTAACTTACTCATGTCTGGATATTCAGTGATAGAATGGTTTTCCTTAATCATCCTATGCTTCCTGATTTGATTGTCTCCAAAATCTTAAATGCCTTTTTTTTTTTTTTTTTTTTTTTGAGATGGAATCTCGCTCTGTCGCCCAGGCTGGAGTGCAGTGGCATGATCTCGGCTCACTGCAACCTCCACCTCCCGGGTTCAAGTGATTGTCTTGCCTCAGCCTCCCGAGTAGCTGGGACTACAGGCGCGTACCACCACGCCCGGCTAATTTTTTTGTATTTTTAGTAGAGACGGGGTTTCACCGTGTTAGCCAGGATGGTCTTGATCTCCTGACCTTGTGATCCGCCCGCCTTGGCCTCCCAAAGTGTTGGGATTACAGGCGTGAGCCACTGCGCCTGGCCTTGTATGCCTTTATACTTGATAAGTTTTAGTTTAGTTCAATCAGCTGGTCTGTGAGTACTACCCAAAATATACTTTTTTCAGTGTCTAAGATTTTTGCTTTTTATGGTCATGTAACATTTTCATTTAGAGTTCTGATTAATTTATTATCAGATTAAAAGGAAAAGAGGAACAGATGAATACCATGAAGGCTGTTTTGGAAGAGAAAGAGAAAGACCTAGCCAATACAGGGAAGTGGTTACAGGTGAGAAATTAAAAACAATAAAAAATAGCCTTTTTATACTTGACTATCAATTTAATTTACACCTATTCTTTTTAAGGATCTTCAAGAAGAAAATGAATCTTTAAAAGCACATGTTCAGGAAGTAGCACAACATAACTTGAAAGAGGTATAGTATAAACAAATTACCAACATGTTACATAAGGAATGATAAATCTTTGTTTAAGGCATTAGAAAGTAAAGATGTTAATATGTTCTGAGTTTCTTTGCCAGAAAAATTATGTTGTACCATAGTTTTGTTGTTGTTTAAATAAGTTAGCTTTTATTTCTGGCAAGTCATACTTAACTGCTTAATCTGTCAACCTGAGCCTACAAGCATTTCCTTATCTCTACCTTTTCAAATAGACTCTTAGTTCATCCTTAACTATCTGTTTAAAGTATTAGTCTTTAATCTTTTAATAAGTATGAAAAATTGTTTAATAAAACTCATTCTGTCCTTGCTTTATAAATGACCCAATCTTAAATTTACTGCATATAATTATGTTTTTGTTTTTATTGGTGGGTGATTCCATATATATGTTTTAGCACCTACAACATAACATTTAATGCTAACAGCATTAAAAATATGATTCTGTTTCTCAGGCCTCTTCTGCATCACAGTTTGAAGAACTTGAGATTGTGTAAGTATGCTTTAAGACCACATTTTGAAGAGAAACAAACGTCTCATTATTTTCCAGGGTGTGCTTGAATATAATGATGAGTTTCCTGTACATCATTAACTTTATTGTTAAGTGGAAATTATAATTCCAGACGCAAATAGGCTAAGTCTCTGTTGGGTAAAATAAAGGTTATTTAAATGCTTTCAGATACCTGGAGACTTTATCCTTTCCAAATCCATCAAACCCATTTTTTCAATTATTCTTTCTGCAAATATAGGCTGGTTTTAAGTTATTTTTTAAAACAAAATATGCAATTATTATAGAGATTAAACTTATTTCAAATGAAAATTAGTATTTGAATTAGATGTTAGTAACATCTCTGAATTAACCAAAAGATAATCTTAGCCATAATCTTGATAATGAATTTTAAACCTTTCTGTAATTTTAATTTATTTATAGGGAAAATGGAACTTGTCATATTATCCTGTGCTGAATAGGAAAACTGAATCTAGTCAGCATAAGAGGTGTCAGTTTCTGTAGATATTAATCTTAGAAAATGTTTTATTCTAGAGAGTCTGTTGTCTTAAGGTACAGCAGGTTACAATGGTGGGAAAGGGTATCTGGACCTGATCTTTTTGGCCCCCTTTAAAATTGCTTTTAACAAATTTTTCTTGGTGATACCATTACTCTTTATTGATATTTGTTTTAAAGAAGTGCCCCGTTTTAAACTGTCAAGATATTGAGGATATTTATTAGGTTATTATCTTTCTAAAAGGGAGATTACTCTGTTCTTGGAAGATTACTCATTTGTACAATTATTGTTTGTCTTTTGGCTATGGTGTAACTGTCGAGGTGCTTATCTCTTATTTGCTTGGAAAGCTTAGGGCCTCATTTCTGGCCTGTTTATAGTAGAGATATGTAGACCATTAAAGTAGGTAATTTTAGGTATATTTCTGCCTTACATTTTTTTTTTTTTTGCCATTTTCTTTTTTAAATTAATAGATTTTATTTTTTGTGGTGGAGAACTTTTTATATTTATAGGAAAAAGAGAAATACCAATTCTCCCTATTAACATCTTGCATTAGCATGGTACATTTGTTACAAGTGATGAGCCAATAGCAGTACATTGTTATCGTTGTTATTAACTGAAGTTCATAGTTTCCATTAGGAAACTATGTGGGTTTTAACATGTATAATGACATGTATCTATCATTACAGTATCATACAAAACAGTTTTACTGCCTTAAAAATCTCCTGTGTTCTACCTGTGTATCCCTCCCTCCCTTCCTCCACATCCCGGCAGCACCCCCCGGCAACCAATGATCTTACTGTCTTCAGAGTTTTACCTTTTCCAGAATATCGTAGTTGAAATCATACAGTATATGGCTTTTCTGGTTTGGCTCTTTTCTTTTCTTTTTTTTTGGGACAGAGTCTTTCTCTGTGGCCCAGGCTGGAGTACATGGAGTGCAGGGCTGTGATCATGGCTCACTGCAGCCAGGACATCCTGGGCTCAAGCGATCCTCCCACCTCAGCCTTTCGAGTAGCTGGGACTACAGGCACATGCCACCATGCCTGGCTAATTTTTTAGAAACAGAGTCTCCCTGTGTTGCCCAGGCTGGTCTTGATCTCCTGGGCTTGAGTGATCCTCCCACCTTGGCCTCCCAAAATGCTGGGATTACAGGCATGAGCCACCATGCTCACCCTTGGATTGCCTTCTTTTACTTAGCAATATGCATTTGAGTTTTTCCCTTTTTATACATTTATCTCACTCTTCATGTATGCTGTTTTGTCATTTTTTTCATATAGATTTATAAGCATCTTGAAATTCTGGATCAAGGTGTGGTAAAAATAAGTGTTCAGCTCAACGAATACTTGAGACTCTATTATGTGCTTTCTGGCATTGGGGATACCGAAATGGATAAGATTTCCTATCCTGAGGAAACAGTTAAACACATCATTTTGATGGTGGTGTTATGCTAGCGGTCTATTGCTTAGGATGACCAGGGCAATTGAGATTCACTTGGGCTAGATAGAGTAAGATTTACGTCAGCATTGGGTAAGGGAAAAACAGATTAAATTATCCATAGCATCTCTTCAGTACAAAGGTTAGACATATTTTGTAATTTCCAGGGTCAACAAATTATGACTAAGATTCTTGGGGGCAAAACTCCTTGCTTTTGAAGTGGTAATTTTTGCAACAATTTGATAAAATATAGTTTTGTTCTTAGTTTTTGTTTTAGAGTTTCTTCCTAGATAAAGCCACATTTGCTTAAGAAATGTTAAGTATGACTGAGTAGAATGATCCTAGAAATATCTTTTTAAACAAACTTCTAAGTTGGTATAATATGGGGGAAAAAAAGCTGGTATGTATTGTTTCTGCCATCTTTTTTCTTAGGGGTGATATTGGAGTCTGGTTTTCCTTTTTTATGTACTTTAGTTAATGCAGATCTTTGTAAAAAATTCTAGGTTGAAAGAAAAGGAAAATGAATTGAAGAGGTTAGAAGCCATGCTAAAAGAGAGGGAGAGTGATCTTTCTAGCAAAACACAGCTGTTACAGGTGAATATGGTGACTTAAAATTAATTATTTTGTAAATTATTGTCTTTGCATGCTTTAAAATAATTTTTAACTGCTGCCAAAAAATAGAGTACAGAATGAGTCTCCCTCCCACCCAGATACTAGGTGTCATTATTGGCATGTTTTTTGAGTAAGTACCCATGCATAAAATGTGTGTATGTATGTATACTTGTTTATTAAATACTCTGTTGAACTATACTAACTTGTATATTTTGCTTTCTTCACAATTAACAGTGTTTTCAAGATCTTTCCATATAAAGCACATTTCTGCCTTAACTTTTAATAGTTTTATGATATTGGATGGTTATATCATTTATTTTATTTTTATTTTTGAGACAGAGTCTTGCTGTGTTGCTCAGGCTGGAGTACAGTGGCGTGATCTCGGCTCGCTGCAACCTCCTCCTCCTGGGTTCAAGCCATTCTCCTTGCCTTAGCCTCTAGAGTAGCTGGGACTACAGGCATGCACCACTATGCCCAGCTAATTTTTGTATTTTTTAGTAGAGATGGGGTTTCAGCATGTTGGCCAGACTGGTCTCGAACTCCTGACCTCAGGTGATCCTCCCACCTCGGCCTCCCAAAGTGCTGAGATTATAGGTGTGAGCCACCGCAGCCAGCATATATCATTTATATAACCAATTCCAGTTGATGGATACCTAGATTATTTAGGGCTGTTTTTTCTGCACAAACAGTGCAGCAGTGAATATCCTTGCACATGTTTTGAATACTTTTACTAGTGTTATCTGTATCCTAGAAGTGAAATTCTGGATCAAGGCTTATGTAGCTTTTTTGTTTGTTAAAAGAGATAGTTAAATAGAAAATCAATATCTTACCTTCATGCAGTTAGTATTCAACTTACTTACAGAAGATTGATTTGAAGTCATAGCAAATGTGTAGATGCCTACATTGTCTTGGATTAATCTTGCTCACATTACATGCTTCAAGGTTTGAGTCTACCACATTCCTTCTCCCTCTCATGTAGGTTCATTTTAAATTTTGTTAGACAATGCTAGATAGACCTGCAAAAGTGTTTTCACTAATTGACACTCTCACCAACTAAGGGCCATTTCACCTTCTTCCTTTCCAACATTGACAAGGATAAAAATTTTTGATATTATACTTGAAAGATGGTAAGATTATTTTTAATTTGCATTTGACTGCGAGAGAAGTTAAGCATTTTTCGTATGTTCAAGCCATTTTTATATGAATTGTCCTTTAATTTTTCCCACACTTTTTCCACTGAGTTGACGTTTTTTTTTTTTTTACTAATTTGTAAGATCCTTTTTATGTAATAAGGGAAATTAAATAACCTTTTGTTATTATATGAGGTGATTTATTTTCCCCATTTTTTCTTCTGACTTCATTTGTGTTTTTCCCCTTTTTGGGAAATTTGAAACTTTTATGTACTCAAATATAAGTAATTTCTAGAGTTTTAAGTCTCTGGAAGAAAGGTATCTCTCTACGATCATAAAAATGTATTCGGCTGGGTGTGGTAGTTCACAGTAGTAATCCCAGCACTTTGGGAGGCTGAGACAGGTGGATCTCTTGAGGTCAGGGGTTCGAGACCAAACATGGCCAACGTGGTGAAACCCCGACTCTACTAAAAAAATACAAAAATTAGCCGGGCATGGTGGCAGGTGCCTGTAGTCCCAGATACTCGGGAAGCTGAGACAGGAGAATCACTTGAACCCGGGAGGCAGAGGCTGCAGTGAGTTAAGATCACACCACTGCACTCCAGCCTGGGTAACACAGCAAGACTGCCATCTTTAAAAAAAAAAAATTACATTTTCTTCTAATGTGTTTATAATTCTTTTTGTTTGTTTGTTTGTTTAGCTTATTTAGTGTAACTTATTTCAGTAAGCTGTAACAATAACATTGTAACCATTAAAAAGAGAAGGCTAGCCACATTATTAAATAATCCATCATAACAGTAGTAATTCCGTTCCCCAGGGGGACATTTGTCAATATCTGAAGACATTTTTGGTTGTCACAGCTGGGGCAGGCGGGCTGGGGCATCTAGTGGATGGGTGCCATGGATGCTTCTAAATGTCCAGCAGTGCATAGGATAAAACCCCCACAACAAAGAAAAATATGAAACCCAAAATGTTACTAGAGTTGAGGTTGATTTGAAATGTCACTTCATACTAAATTCTTAGAGCTATTTCGGTATATTTCTGGATTCTATTTTGTTCCATTGAGACATGCAAACTCCGCAGCTAGTACTAATATAAATACTCTAATTTCATCATATGTTTTAATAAAGAGCTTATTACACCCTTTAAAATTATTGCTATTTTGGAATTTTTCTAGCTTGTATGATCTGTTTCTAGCTTGTATGATCTAAGTTTATGTGGAAAAAATCTGTTTAGATACTGATGTTTAATTTTTATTTAATTAGGATGTACAAGATGAAAACAAATTGTTTAAGTCCCAAATTGAGCAGCTTAAACAACAAAACTACCAACAGGTAGGTATTATTAGATGTCTTGCCTTTCACTTACGTGGCAAAAAAATTATATAACCAGTGACATATGAGTATTTTTGCCATTTCTGCATTTTCATTGAGAATGAAGTATGTTTTATTTATGTTTATCAAATTTTATATAAAAGAAAGCAACTTGCTATGTCATATCCAAAGTAAAACAAATCTATAAAGTATACACAAATAATATTATTGCCGGTATTCCAGCTCTGTTTTGTATTCATGTGTGTTTTCTGATCCTAGAATTCTTAGCAAGTCAGTTTAAATACTGTAGAGGTTGGGTTAAAGATATGTGTACACACTCTTATCTCCCCTCTTCCCAAATGAAACATTAGTAACTGGAGAGAAACTAACAAATGTATCATAAGCAATAGTCTACTACTATTTAAAAGAGGTTTTCAAGTTATAATTCTGCTTGGTAAATCAAAAGTGTGTTTTTATAAAAGATGCTACCCAAAATAGCCTGTAAATTAATTTATGCATGTATATGGATAGACTTGATAGTATTTTGAGAAACAAATGAATTGGAGTCCTTGCAAACAAGAAGCTTGAGAGATTATTGTCACCAAGGAATAAATACCATATATGAAGGGCTGTGTACCTTTGCATGTTGATGTATAAATAACTTTGTTAAACGTGAGGAAACATAACTTGTCCTAGTTTTGCTTTTGATTTCTGTTTTTTTTTTTTTTTTTTAACTTGGAAGCTTAACAGTTTTATGTAGTCAAATTTGAATTGTGCAGTTTGAAAATGTAAGGTGTGCTTCCATGCACATAGTGGGAAATTGATAAATACTTATTAAATGAAGAGTTCAAGTACGTTGCGACAGTAGAGATTGGATTTAGCATTCCATACATTTTACAGATTTGTACATGTTTTTATTAAAATCACTTGATTAAAGTCAGGGTTACTGGCATATGAAATATATACTATTTTTACTTTTGTTGTTTTCTTAATTTATATTTGAGAAAAGCTTCAATGTTTTTAAGTCTCCTGAAAAGTTTTGTTCTGAAATAACATTTAACTCTTTTGATAGGCATCTTCTTTTCCCCCTCATGAAGAATTATTAAAAGTGTAAGTAATAAGTTTGAGTCACAGTTTATAAAGTCGTAACTATTTTTATGTGGTAAACCATTCTCAAATAAGCAATTTAGTGTAACTGCAAATGGCACCTGATTTTTACAGTTCTATTTGGATATCTTGAATTGCAGTTTAGAGTTGAGTAGTACCTTTGGCTAAGATGCTTTTTTTATGGTATTTGGATTTGAATATTTTGTTGAGGGAGATGTTTGTTTTTGTTTTTTTAGGCATTCAGAAAACATCAAATCAAGTTAAACTATACTTTGCAGGGTTTTCTAAATCACCTTCTATTATGTCAGTTATCTTACTGGGTCTTCTTTCTTCTAGATGTGATTGTGTAATTGAATGATGCAAATTTTGTCTTAGCTTCATTTTTTAAAGAAATTTTAGGATAGATGTGGTAGCTCACGCCTGTAATCCCAGCAGCTGGGGAGACTGAGACGGGAGGATCACTGAGCTCAGGGGTTTGAGATCAGCCTGGGCAACATAGTCAGACCTCGTCTCTACGAAAAGTTTAGAAATTCCGGGTGTGATGGCATGCACCTGTGGTCCCAGCTACTCGGGAGGCTGAAGTGGGAGGATCTTTTTAGCCCAGGAAGTTCGCACCATTGCACTCCAGCCTGGCACCAAGAAAAAAAAAATACATACATATAGTCTTTATGATTGTCTTTCTTAAGGAGTTTTTTTTTTTTTTTTTTTTTACTGATACCTTTTTCTTGTTGGCCTGTAATTTTCTCTGTGAGGCTACATTTAAGGTCATTTCACATAAGTTAGTGTGTTTCAACATGTTAAAATGTCAACCACATTAAGTATATTAATAGATGATGTAAGTGATCTATCATTGGGAATATTGTTAATTTTTTTTCTTTTAATCTAAATGTTTTTCCATCTTGGTTGGTTTACAGAGTTGCTTGTGTACTAGGTTAGAATTATTGACTATTAAATCGAGTCTTGAGTTTGACTATATAGAGAAAAGGTTGGCAAATATTTTCTGTAAAGGCCCTGATAGCATTTTAGGCCTGTGGGACCCATAGGTCTGTTTTATACATGTGTATATATATGTGTATATGTGTGTACATGTATAAATAAAACAACACTTTAAAAATGTAAAAACAGCTCTTAGTTTGAGGACCTACAAAAACAGACTGTGGAGTGGGCCCATAGCCCTAGTTTGCCAGCCTCTTATATGGACACTGATTCTCAGGGAAGAGCTATTTGTTATTTAACTTTCTACTCCAGCCACTCTCAACTATAACAGAATCAAATTATGAATCTTTGCCATTGCCTTCTGCGTTTCTGGGAAACAGTAGCAGAAAAAAACATGAATGTTGAGATTGGTATGAAAATGGCAGGAAAACACTGAGCTCATTTTAATATTATACTTTTGTTGTGGGTTAGCCATTTAAAGTTATAACTGATTCATTGCCCTCTGGAAAAAAAAATATATTTAAGGGACTGCTTCTACATCAGTTTTAACTCCTCTAAAAATAGCTACTGTGTACTGACCCAGGTAAAACTATAAATAGCTACAACAGTTCATATCTTCATAATATGTTTCTTAGGGGATGAGATTTCTCTTTAGCACAAGCCTGAGCATACCATATTAGGCATAAAAACTTATATTAGAAATCATTTCTGAAATTCATAGGATGGGCTTTGTATGGTCAACAGTAGGTAGACTCTTTAATGTACTTTTCAAGGTGCTATCTCTTGATATTTTTATTTTGTAATAGCAAATGTTGATAGGTAGGGATCTAAGTTGTATTACTGTTTACCTAAAATCTTGCTACATGTATTCATGTTCTGGTTTAGAATTTCAGAAAGAGAGAAAGAAATAAGTGGTCTCTGGAATGAGTTAGATTCTTTGAAGGATGCAGTTGAACACCAGAGGAAGAAAAACAATGTAAGTAGATCTTTATCAGAATGAAGCTTTTCTTTTTATTACTTTAACACTGAAATATGGTTCAGGAATTTTTTTTAAATCTACTTTTACTTTAGATTTCTTAATCTTTGTAAGAAAGTACTATTTTCTGTGTGTAGTTTTTTCGGGGGGCGGGGCATTATTGGAGAACAGTTTTTTTTAAATAAGTGAAAAGATGAATTCTTATTCTTATAAATATTTAAATGTTGAAGCTATAATTATTATACCTTTAGTTATTTTAAAAAGCTAAAAATGCAATTGACTTTTTGTTGAACTTTTATTTGGAAAAACATGTTTTTCAGCTTGGTATTTTAAAATCAAAGATATTTCCTCTTAGATTGGGCTGGCCTTTTTGTAAACTAAAAGTAATGCCAGTATTCAAACCCAGTATACTCAGTAATGGGGTCTTTTGAAAGCCTTCTGGAACCTCCTCCTGCCCTTTTTTTTTTTTTTTTTTTAAGACAGGGTCTCGCTCTGTTGCCCAGGCTGGAGGTGGCTTGAACTTGGCTCACTGCAAACTCGGCCTCCTGGGTTCAGGCGATTCTCCTGCCTCACCCTCCTGAGTAGCTGGAACTACAGGCGTGCACCACCATACTCAGCTAATGTTTTTTGTATTTTTAGTAGAGGTGGGGTTTTACCATGTAGGCCAGGCTGGTCTCGAACTCCTGATCTCAAGTGATCCACCTGCCTCGGCCTCGCAAAGTGCTGGGATTATAGGTGTGAGCCACGGCACCTGGCCAGAACCTCCCATTTTTAACTGAGAGGTGGTTCAAATTTTGGTAATTAAGTGTGTTAGAGGCTTTAGAACCTGACTACATTTATACTAGAAAGGGAAGGGATAGTGCTTTCAGAAATATGAACCCTAATAACTTACTGAATAGACAAACAATTTAGTGGAATTTCTTAACTTTTCTCATACCAGAGGGCAACACCTGTAAGTAGAGTCCAAGCATTCTTGCTAGAGAAGAAATTTTTGTACACTGTAGTGTGATTGCTAAGACTTGAGCAAGGATAAAATGTTACTGAAATCTAAGGGAGTATTGCTAGTAAATGGATGTGTGTTTTCTGTTTTTCAAAGTTTGTGTTAAATTGTTAATTTAACAAGTTGACATTTTCTTGTACCCCTGAGTTTGTCAAAATTAGGTACATGAATTGCCACTTCTGTGTTGGTATAACAGTACTAACAGCATTGCTTAGCCACAAAACTTGAGGTGAACTTGCCGATATACTGCTAACATCTTAACTGTGTTTTATTATTGGACTTCTGAGATAAGGAGGGCATGGTAATGCAGCAGCAGCAGCAGCGCTGGAGACATTGAACCCGTGTGAAAAGAGCCAGGACACTGGAGGCCAGCAGATAGCAGTGTCAGTCTTTCCTTCTAGTTTTGCCACTTCGTTTTCTGTGTATACTTGGCTCAGTTTCCTAACTTACTTGAGCTGTGGTTTCCCTATCTATAGAATGGGAATAAATACCTCATGGGGTTGTTGTAACGGTGAGAATTTGTGAACTGCCAAGTACAGTGGTTGGCATATATTAAGTAATAAATGGTGATTATTGGCTTTTTATTTTTCGTTGTTGGTTTTTATCTGTTTAGATTTCTCATTCTGAAAAAAAAGACTGAAATATAGCAGATTATATTTG
Source organism: Homo sapiens (assembly GCF_000001405.40). NCBI lineage: Eukaryota > Metazoa > Chordata > Mammalia > Primates > Hominidae > Homo > Homo sapiens. The sequence goes on from NC_000014.9 coordinate 55,663,273, forward strand.
TGAATGAAATGCTGTTAAAATCCAGATCTCTCAATTTTTAATAACCTCTTTCGCCTCCAAGAGAATCTATTTTATAGCCTTCCAGCCTTCCCCTTTGCTTTGATCAACTAGCTCATACAATTCATGTAAGGTTGTTTTGTGGCATGAATGTTTGGCCATGCCAAGAAAGACATAGGACACAGTGGGTTACTATGGGATTCCTAGGTAGATTTGAAACATGTTAATTGTATTAAACCATAGAGAAAAAACGTTACACTGCAGTGGAAAGTCCTATGAGTGTTATTGGGCCTCGTTTAAACATCACATGAAAAGCTTTTTATAATACTTCTATATTTGCTCTGTCTTTAATCTTCTAATGTTCAATGTACCTGAAATCATGTATGTATTCTTGGTTTGTGTCTTTACTTTTGAATGCTTTCTTCTTTGTCACATGTGCATAGTAATTATTTTAAAAGCTGGCCTATTTGATATATATACTAAAACATGGAAAGTGGGCGTCTTTATTTTCTCATTCAAACTTCTAAACATTGCTTTTTATTTTTTTGCTAATATGCATATTTTCCCATTGAAATAATTTTGCAGTAACCAGCATTTAAATGCAGTGCAAAATACTGATGAAGTAAAAAAGCAAAAATCTTTCAATAATGGATAAACTGAAATCATTCTTTCTAAAAATGATTAGGACCTTCGGGAGAAAAACTGGGAAGCAATGGAAGCATTGGCATCAACTGAAAAAATGCTGCAGGACAAAGTGAACAAGACTTCCAAGGTTGTAATGCTAACTCCTAGAAACAATCCACTGAACAGAGAAAATCTGCAGCTTGTCTTAAAATCAGACTAAAGCATTTACTTTTACTGCAATTTAAATATAAAATCTCCTTATCCATATTTATCATCTCTATCATCTCTGCTTTTTTCATCTACTCCTTGAAGCTTTAATTTTGGGCATGCTGATTTGTTGTGATTACCTGATTGTTTGGGCTTTGTTGAGCACAACTTTAAGCTGAAGAGTCTCAGAAGACCGATGTTAACCTCTTGTCAGACAATATGCGCCTTTTGGGTTGGTTAAGATAACTTTCATGAAAACTTTGAACCAAAGAAATCTAGGTGAATTAACAAACACATTTGAATATGTAGGATGTGCCATAAACTACGTGTTTTGGAGGGCACACCAAGATGTCTCAGATAAGGTAGAGAAATGATCAAAGTCTTAAATACAGGAAAGGCATCAACTTTGGGTGTGTTGCTTGGAATGGTTCCTTAGAGGTGGTGGACTGAAACTTCATGTATTACTGGCTAGCAATGACACATGGCATGTTTAGATGAAATATTACTATCAAGGGATAATTCTCTTGACCAGAGTATGTAAAGTACTCCTGAAATATATAGCCCCCTCTGTCTTCAGAACAATGGAGGACATTCTCCTTGAGCTCAAGTTGTACCATTGGGTGTGAAGATTTCTAATGAATTGTAATAGAGAAGTTGTTTTTAAAGATTGAGAAAATTGAATCTGCCAGTCCAGTTAAGTATTTTGAAAATTCCTGTCAAGTGTAAATGTGAAACAGGGGTATTGAATTTTGCAGACAGGTAAAAGAAAGAACCTACATGATTAATTTTAGCACTATGAAAATATTTTGTGTGCCATGGTACTCTATTGAATCTTTAATATAAGTCTTAGTGACACCTGAAGGAATGTTTAAGCATAAAATAGTTCTGTAAATTTTTTTTTTTTTTAGCAAGTATACGTTTGTAGTTACATTTCCTGTAGCTTAGTGGATTTGTATTTAACTATATCCCTATTTATCTAGCCATAATTTTCAGTAAAGGTTAAATTCGAGATAGCTGAGAGGTATATTGGGACCAGAGAGTAGGAAAATCTAGGTCAGATAGGACATTTCATTATTATTTCACTGGGAGTAGTTGCAATTGTACAGTCATTTCTGTCAGCGATGAGGGTTTTAGTGTGGTTTCTGGTTGTTTATATTACTTTGTTTTTGATGGTTAAGAGCCACCTTTTTGGTTTTATTTTTTTAGTGGGACTGGGTATGTGGGTGCTAATCACACCATTCCTACAAGAAGTTACATGCTACTTGCCATAGGCATTTTTGCATTTTATGATTCTAAAAGAAAGAATTTTTGTGCATAATGCCTTCTTGCATAGCTAAAGATCTACAGAGAATAGAATTGAAAGTCTTCTATATTTCAATGGAATTTAGACAGTCCTTAGATAGCATACGTGTAAAGGGATGTTGATTGACCCAGTGCCATAAATTATGTTGTGATGAAAAGGAACTATGTGAAACACTTTTAGTATTTTAACTAGAAATAAGTTACGGTCAGCTTACCTAAAATGTAAAGAGGATGATATATGCTGTCTTTACAGGATTATTTTTAAAGGCTAAATACTCTTGAGGAGCTACTGAAAGAAACTCTTATACATTTCACTTAAAGATGGTATGCAAATTATAGTTCAGTTTTCAATATTAGATCTTTCCCAGATGTTAAAGTGGAATGGAAATTGCTGTCTATAACCAAACTACTGTGTCAGATGAAAACTACTTAGCTAAAATTGTTAATACCAAATAAAAGTAACTTCCCATGTTTGTGGCTCTTGGTTATGTTAGATACTTTGTTCTTTTAGTTAGTCTTTTTTTTTCCTTGGAAAGTTTTCAAAAAGCTGTTCCTCAGTGTCTCTTTTCCTAACCGGTTTTCTTTAAAGATTAGTACTTTGGTCAAATGATAAGAATTACCTCTTAATGTCCTTGAAATAGCATTAATTATTTTCCTTATTTTATGCAGTTAGGTGTATTCCTGAAAATTAGTGGACTTCATTGAATTATTGAAAATATCCTATTAAAACACCTATTGTAAAAATACTGCTGCTGATCTTTAACAGCTTTTTGTGTGTATGGAAAATGGCAAAATCTGTAGCTGTTGTGTAAATTTTCATGTGATTAGATTTTCTAAAATTGAAGTGTGTAGACCTTGAATCAGTGATAGATTTCAAATTTCACATATAAATGTTGGGGGAAAGATATGGTTGAGATGTTTCTAGCTTGCTTGCCTTCTTGTCACCTGTTGAACTTTGTGACTGTTGTTTTTAGATGATTTTCTTGGCTTGGTTTAGATGTGCATTTTTATAGGGGTCTTTTTTTTCAAGTCTTGTGGAGGTAGTTGAAATGTTACATTTTTGTTTTTGGTGCGTGATAAGTCATTACCCTAATTTTGACAAACCATGGTTTTGAGTTTATAATTGATATCCATTAGACTTGGATTTAATATCAGCACATTTAGACTTAGACATTTGTAATATTTGTAAATTTATAGCAGAGTCCATATACAAGTGTCAGAACTAGTTTTTATGATGTGTGGCATTAGTGAAGTAATATGCCATCAGTTGCTCCTTGTTCTTTCTTTTTCCCATTTATGTCATCCATCAGATTTTGATGGTCCTCCTTGTTTAGCATAAATACTTCACATGACCTTGAAGTTGGAAATAAGAGAGTTACCATTTTAATGCCATGATGTTATATAGTCCATCAGTGATGCATTTTTTAATAGAGATATACCAGCCAATAAAGCTCAGTTGTGTTCCTCCAATGTGTATTTTCTACTATAGGTAGTTTATAAAGTTTTAGCTATAAGAAATGCTTTTTGTGTGTCTGATTTTGAATTGTTCCTGGACAGGCAAATCACTTGATTTCTAAATGCCAGGGAAAATGTCCATATTGTCAGATATTGCTAAGGCATTATTTGATATTTAGGATGCTTTAGAGATTTTGCAGATTTTTTCTTATGGGAGCATTTTAATATCTTAAAGTGGGAAATTTTAATATTTGTTAGTATTAAAAATTTTTTTTAAACTTTTTCTTCCCGTAGAATTATAAAACACTATAGTTTTTTTCTTTTCTTTTTTTAAAAACATTCTGTGATCTTGTAAGTTTGATTTGGCTCATCTTCTGCTTTAGGAAAGGCAGCAACAGGTGGAAGCTGTTGAGTTGGAGGCTAAAGAAGTTCTCAAAAAATTATTTCCAAAGGTGTCTGTCCCTTCTAATTTGGTAAGACTAATTTATTATTTTTTTAACATGATGACATTATTCAAGAAAGGTGTGAATAAGCAACATCATTTGCACTCCACTTGGTTTCAGTAGAGTGCTGATTTCTTGATCTTTCCTATTGTTAAGCTGGTGCTTTTCAGTAAAGATTAATAACTTGGTTCAAAACTCATTTCTATTTACCTGATACTATTGTTTCTATAAAATTTTATATATGAGACATTAGAGGATTAAAAACATCATATTTGGGAAAGAAATGTTTTTTAATGCTAATAAAACCAATATGGTAACATTCTTAATGGCTTTATTTAAAACTTAATTTTAAGTGATTGCTTCTTAGTTTTAGCAACACTTCCTTAATGTACTTGATACTATGAACTAGGCTCTTTACATTTTAAAACTCAAGATTTTTGGTCATCTATTACCTTCTTCAAGCAGAAATCTTACAGATAATATAGAACAACTTGGTTTACTTGAGGTAGTACATGTTCTCCTTTGTTCAGAGAATTAATAATTATTTGAGGGCAGAGAAAGTCAGTGAATGTGCATGTGAGTTTCCTAAAATAGAGTGTAGGGTCTTTTTTTTTTTTTCTTATTTAATGGAAAACTGTTCAACAGTAGAGAGACGAGCATAATGAGGCCTGATGTACCCAACATCTCTCCATAGCACTTATCAGTACATGGCACGCATATAAGCAATCTTCTTTTACCTCCCACCTTGCATTCCCTAGATTATTTTGAAGGAACTCAAACATCAGAGCATTTCTTCTGTAAATATTTCAGTACACATTTCTAAAACATAAGCATTTCTTTTTAAAAAGTGTGATATTACACTTAAAAATACATTCTTAATTTTGTATAGTATGCATTTCTCCAGTTGTCATAAATTGTCTGTTTTATTAAATAATAACTTACTGTAGTTTGTTTTAATCAGGATCCGAATAAGGTCAGTATGTAACTGGTTTGAGACATCTCTTAGATATTTTTTAATCCTCGGGTTCCCCGACTCTTTCTCAGCAACACCCCACCTCCTTTAAAAAAAAAACAAAAACAAAACTTAGTGGTTTCCTATGAAGTTTCCCACAGTTTGGATTTAGTTGACTGCATCCCTGTGGTGTTAGCATGTTCCTCTTTTCTTTATGTATCTTTTATGTATCAAATCTGTAATCAGGAATCTGATTCCTGGTCAGATTAAGGCTCAGTATTTTGGGGGTAGGGTAGAGTAGGGGCAAGACCACTTCATGGGCGGTGGTGTGCACTTTCATGAGGAGATTCGTAATGTCTGCTTGTCTTCCTTTGGCCCATTGGAACTTATTTAGGTTTGTTACCAAGTCGTTTTGACACAATGCTGCTAAACTTTGATAGCTTCTATGCTTTGTGGTATGATAAGGTGCTCCTGATTTATCATATACATTTCCTGCCCCAAACATAGAATCAACTATTTCTCCAAGGAGCTCTGTGGGTGCTAGGGGTGGGGTAAGTAAACTTAATGGCTTGTTCTATTTGTAGTCTGAGTTAAGTATAGCCTACATTTATTTCAAGTAAGGAGAGAAAACTCCTTTGTTTCCATTGTAACTATCGAGGATATGTTCCGATCTGATCAGTTTAGGAGATCTCTACCACTTTTGAGTTGAACTGATGAAATACCTAGCACTGAGTAAACGTATAGATACACTATCAGTTCTAGTGCTGTTGTTAAATTGAACCTAAGAGAAAGGGTTGCTATTAATATATTCAATTTTTTTTTCTTTGTGGCATAACCTGTTTTTGTTTCTACTTTATATTTATGGAAATAATACTGGGGGATGTATTTTTTGGCAGTACTTTATGAGCCAAGAGAATTAATGATTGATAATTTCTGTTCTTCAAAGATTGTATAAGATCACCAGCAGTAAAAATTTTCTTTTCTAACAGCAATACTACCCACTCTCAGTAACCAGATCTTTTTGACACTAGAAATATTTATAAGTCATCATAATAAATGGATGATACTGTTTGGCTTTTGTTCATATACTTGTCAAAAGTTGAATATTTCTGCATATAGTCTACAAGAAATGTACTAAACTTTCTATGTGCTAACATTAGAGTCTGGCATTTTAGGTTTGTAAAGATTTGAAGGACAATAAACTATTTATGTTATAAAATAATAAAGCAATAAGCTTCATTAATATTAAGATAAGTCAAGATAATTAGTAGATATAAAAATATATAAATTTTTTTACTGTTTCCTCTTGCTGTTTTGCTGAGCAGTCAACATAGGAGAGATCTAAATTATATGACCTAGAAGGAAATTTACAAACTTTAAGCAACAAAACTAGTTTTTTATCTTATTTTAATTTATGTTGGGTACCAATAGTTGAAACTGTTAAGTAGGATTCTGATAGTGTACATTTAGTCTTGGTTCAGATTTATAATGTGAGAATGTTAAATAGTGTTTTAAAACTAATTTGATATTAAAGGTATTGTACTATGGAGTGACTCAGCATCTACTTTTGTTTTTTGTTATTTGATAGTTTCCAGAGAATCCTGATTCTGCTGCATATGTAACAGTTTATATTATAGCAGTTAATAAAAATTTCATGAGTTTTTTTCTTAAATTTAATCCAAAGACTTAAAAGAAGGAATAAGAGGAAATTTGATTTAAAGTATGTAACACACAGATACACTTTATCAAAGTGTAAAATTCAGATAAGCATCAATAATTTAGAGTAATTTATTCTAAAATTTAGAATAAATGCCAAAACTGTAATACATGCATATTTACATCAGCTAACCTGTCAGCACAAATTGAGTTTTTGTTGGATTTAAACAAGTGAATGTGTATGCATATCACTTCTCATTAGGATTTTTAAAATACTGAATAATATTTCCTAATTTGAATGAAATAATTTTAGAGTCCTTGGAGCATTTTCACAGAATTTGAAATCCTCCAAATGGAACATCTTTATGAACTCAAAATACTTCACTTTCACTTTATGAACTCAAAATACTTCATTTTTGAGAACTGATTTACCTGGAAACAGTTTTGAAAAATTAGTCTGGGTTTTTTGTGTTTTAAAGATTATTTGTCCTGGTGCTAGTAAGTGGTAGAGGCCAGATTTGAACCCAGGTTTTTCTACATGCAACTGCAGAATTCAGTTGAAAATACTCTTGGTTAGGTATATAATATTTTATTTTGATGGTAGGTACATAGGTCTGTTTTTAGTGCTTGTTTTTCAAAGTGGGTTATGTCCAACTTATGCAGTAGTTACATTCCTCTTTGAAATTTGTAGCAATGTCCTGTTTGTCTGTGTAGGTTTCTTTTATAATTATCTAATTTGGTTATTTTAAATGTTTCACCTGTTTTATTTGGATTTTTTTTTTCTTTGGAAATTAATGATTTTAACTTTTCTCGTCCACAGAGTTATGGTGAATGGTTGCATGGATTTGAAAAAAAGGCAAAAGAATGTATGGCTGGAACTTCAGGGTCAGAGGAGGTTAAGGTTAGTTCAGCAAATGAACTGTTTGTAATTTAAACATAGAAAAAAGAAGCAAATAAGATTTTGTCTTCATAAGCTTGGAAAAGATAAAAGATAATCGAATAAGGCTCTTTTGAGAAAGTGTAAGAAGGTGATTTCATTTTGTTTAAATTTTAGTTGAAATACAGTAAGTTGTCTTTGCATTTGATTTGTTTACAAAGCTAGTGTTTGCCATTCCTTTAACTCTGTATTTTAATTGTTTCTAAAATTGAATATTTATCCCTTACTATCTTTTTAGCCTAGGTTTAAAAAGTAAAGATTAGTCGAGATAGGTAGAATCTCACTGGTTTGCTGAAGCATCCCCAAATACGTCATTAGAGGTATTTAGAAACTGGATTGGTTTTTATCCTTGGCTACTGAAATTGGGGGGGATTTATTATTATTGTTTTCTTGTATCTCAAGTGGCATGAATAAAATCCTCTTTCCCATGTGTGTAGCATAGGCATTGTGACCATACTTCACATGTGGGTCTGCTTTGATCTTACCACCTGACTAAAGACTTTAGTACCAAGACTATTTATTATAACATTGTTTAATAAAAATGACCAAAAGGGTTATTGAATGAACTTCATCGCTACTTAGAAAGGTTGAAATGTAGTGTTTCCTTATAAAACACTTTGAAACCATTTATCATAATACAGTATTAAGTACTAAAACAAACTTGAAGCATAAAACTTTCTGGTAGAATTATGGAGTTTTTCTTTATTTCGTTCTTTGCAGGTTCTAGAGCACAAGTTGAAAGAAGCTGATGAAATGCACACATTGTTACAGCTAGAGTGTGAAAAATACAAATCCGTCCTTGCAGAAACAGTAGGAAATGATTTTTAATCTACATTTTGATTTTACTTTAAATCATTACCTTCTTCCTTCATGGCCTAAATAGTTTTATCTTGGCATTAGAACATGAATTTTTCAAAACAACTATGCTTTTGTCTGTAGGAAGGAATTTTACAGAAGCTACAGAGAAGTGTTGAGCAAGAAGAAAATAAATGGAAAGTTAAGGTCGATGAATCACACAAGACTATTAAACAGGTATTTACAAAAGAAAAGCTTAGAGCAGTGGTTCTCGATGTGTGGGGCTTGAACCAGCAGCATCAGCATCACCATGCACATTCTTGGGCCCCAACCCAGCTACCAAATCCAAAACATGTATGTGGGGTGGCAGCAGTCTGTGTTTTCATGAGCCCTCCAGAATAGTCTAATGCCCACCCAAGTTTGAAAATCACTGGTTTTAAAGTATGACTAAAGGGTAATCATATAGAATGTAGAATGCTAGTTACAGAACTATTGTGTGATAAGGTAAAGAATACTGGGTTCAAAATCAGTTTTAAAGTATTTAACCCATAATATAGAATTCAAGAAAAAGTCATTCTTCTATTCCTGGGACCTGAATGTTATTTTGCAACCTTAATTTTTCTCCCTTTTACTTCAGCGTGATAAAGAGTACCATTACTCACTTATTTTTTGGGGCCAA